>NC_000020.11:36617749-36920779 GCF_000001405.40 Homo sapiens | reverse complement strand
TTTTTTTTTTTCTTTTGAAACAGAGTGTCACTTTGTTGCCCACCCAGGCTGGAGTGCAGGGCGATCTCGGCTCACTGCAACCTCCACCTCCTGGGTTCAAGTGATTGTCCTGCCTCAGTCCCCCAAGTAGCTGGGATTATAGGTGCACCCTACCATGCCTGGCTAATTTTTGTATTTTTTAGTAGACAGGAGGTTTTGCCATGTTGGCCAAACTTGTACTGTTGACCTCAAGTGATCCGCCCACCTCGGCCTCCCAAAACGCTGGGATTACAGGTGTGAGCCACCGCACCCAGGCCTGACAGCCCTGATTCTGTTTTTAAGAATAGTTTCTGGAGCAAGAATTGTTTCTGCGGGGGCGGGGAAAGAATAGTTATAGGGCAAGTTGCTTGTAATCCTGCCACTTTGGGAGGCTGAGACAGGAGGATTATTTGAGCCTAGGAGTTCAAGACCAACCTGGTCAACAAATCAAGACCCTGCCTCTACAAAAAAATCTAAAAATTAGCTGGGTAGGGTGGTGTGCACCTGTGGTTTCAGCTACTCGGGAGGCTGAAGTGGGAGGATCACTTGAGCCCAGGAGTTCAAGACTACAGTGACCCCATGATCACATCACTGGACTCTAGCCAGGGCAACAGAGCAATTCCCTGTCTCTTTTTTTAAAAAAATATAGTTATAGGATAATTCAGGTTTTGTTTTTCATCTTGAGTTAGTTTTTGGTAGGATCTAGGAAAGGGCAGATGTCTTCAGGAGTTCATTTGATCCTTTACATTGATTGTGAATGAGTGAGCAGAGAGAGATGAGCAAACAGGCCAATTGGAGATTTCAAGGGAGATCTTTGTTTTTACTGGCAAGTTTGCAGTTACCCCTTTTCACCACTAGATGGTAGTGCCTAACAGAGCTTATAACTGCACGTGTTCAAAGGCTGATGAAAAAATAAAATTCAATTTTATGATGATATTTATTAAAATGTAATTCTGTCTACATGATCTTATAATATTCATTTAGGAACTGTAAATGATTATATCATTAAATGCATTAAATATGTTTATGAAATAAGTTTTGTAAAAGGTTTGTAGACTACTAGTAAAATGAAAAATCTGACAGGTTTTTAAAAATGTTCCTAAGATTGTGGTTAGAAACTAGAGAATTAATATGCAATAGACCTTTATCTCAGAATTACTTGGAATTGAGGATAATTTTGTTAGTCAGGGCTCCCAATGGGCTAGAATCTTTAACACATCATATTGTGCTTACTTTTCCTAGCATGAACAAGGCTCAGTTATGATGTTTGAGCACCTTATTAATTCTAATGGAATTAAGCCTGTCATGGAACAATATGGTCTCATCCCTGAAGAAGATATTTGCTTTATAAAGGAACAAATTGTAGGACCACTTGAATCACCTGTCGAAGATTCATTGGTAAGTTTATGTACAGCTTAATTTTAACTGACTGGTGCTTTTCATCTAGCCTTTTCATGATTCCTTCTGAGTTATACATTTGGCTATTTTAGAGGCTAAATGATAAAATATGAGTTCTATGTTTCTACTGTTTAATGCAAAAAATAAAAGGCTTATATTTTTTTCTACCTCTCAACTGAATTAGTTAGAAGTTACTTCCCAAAAATATATATACAGAAATTCTTTTTAGAGACAGGGTCTTACTCTGTCACACAGGCTGGAGTGCAGTGGCACAATCTCAGCTCACTGCAACTTCCACCTCCCAGGCTCAAGCGATCCTCCTACCTCAGCCTCCTGAGTAGCTGGGACCACAAACGTGCACTACCATGCCCAGCTAATTTTTGTATTTTTTGTAGAGATGGGGTTTTGTCACGTTGCCCAGGTTAGTCTTGAAATCCTGAGCTCAAGTGATCTGCCCAGCTCTGCCTCTGAAAGTGCTGGGATTACAGGTGTGAGCCACTGTGCTTGGCATAAATTCTTTTCTTTTCTTTCTTTCTTTCTTTTTTTTTTTTTTTTTTTTTTTGAGATAGAGTCTTACTGTGTTGGCCAGGCTGGAGTACAGTGGCATGATCTCAGCGCAGTGCAACCTCTGTCTCCCAGGCTCAAGCAATTCTTCTGCTTCAGCCTCCTGAGTAGCTGGGATTACAGGTGTGTGCCACCACGCCCGGCAAATCTTTGTATTTTTAGTAGAGACGGGGTTTCACCATGTTGCCCAGGCTGGTCTCAAACTCCTGACCTCAGGTGATCCACCCGCCTCAGCCTCCCAAAGTGGTGGGATTACAAGCGTGAGCCGCCACCGCGCCCGGCCATAAATTCTTTTTTAGTGAATATATATGCAGTATTTTATTCATTAAAAAAAATTTTTTTTTTTGGAGATGTGGTCTCACTATGTTGCCTAAGCTGGTTTCGAACTCCTGGGCTCAAGTGATTCTCCCACTTTGGCCTCCCAAAATACTGGGATTGCAGGCGTGAGCCACCATACCTGGCCTGCAGTATTTTATATAGAAGCCTAAAGTAACTTTGTTTGGAATGTAAATGTGTATGTTTTATTTAACCATTAAAATGAACATATTTGGCCAGGCTCAGTGACTCATGCCTGTAATCCCAGCACTTTGGGAGGCCATGATGGGAGGATCACTTGAGCCCAGGAGTTTGAGATCAGCCTGGGTAATACTGAAACCCTGTCTCATGCCTGTAGTCTCAGATGCTTGGGAGGCTGAGGCAGGCTGCAGTGATCTGTGATTGTGCAACTGCACTCCAGCCTGGGCAACAGAGCTAGATCCTGTCTACAAATTTAAAAAAAAATCATATTTGAAATATTTATAGGAAGATCTACAAAAAAGTTGAACCAGTTCAATGGAAAATCTGTTTTGTTTCCTTTTTGATCTTTTGTATTTTTTTAATTAAAAATAAAGTTGGGAAATAATTTCCCCCTGAGATTTTTAGGGCTGTTTCCTCAAATATATACAAGTGTACTTACAGTATAAGATAAACAGATGAGTTTTGTAGCAAATATCCTATTTCCAAAAAAGTGGAGCTCAAAGAATACATTCAACAATGCATATTATTTAGACTAGGTATGTAGCTACTTTGAAAGATAGTACTGTTTTAATGCATGAATTCAAGCATTGTTAGTTTATTATTAGATTTTATATTATTTATTTATTTATTTTTGAGACGGTGTCTTGCTCTGTTGCCCAGGCTAGAGGGCAGTGGCACAACCTCAGGTCACTGCAACCTCCGCCTCCTGAGTTCAGGCGATTCTCCTGCCTCAGCCTCCTGAGTAGCTGGGAGTACAGGCACTTGCTACCATGCCCAACTAATTTTGTGTTTTTAGTAGAGACAGGGTTTCACCATCTTGGCCAAGCTGGTTTCAAACTCCAGACCTCGTGATCCGCCCTCCTCGGCCTCCCAAAGTGATGAGATTACAGGCGTGAGCCACCATGCCTGGCCTAGATTTTATATTTTTCAAAAACTTATAAACCAAGAAAACACAAAAGTTGTTGGTTTTGGGAAATGTAATAGAGTTCAGATCTTTTCAGTGGCACAAGAAAATGTGGTAACAATAGGGTATCATATACCTTAGCATTTCTTTTCCCTTTCTACTAGTTTTGAAATGAAGTGGAAGAAAGAAAGAATAGAACCTTCTAGTTTATCTCATATTCCCAGTCAGGTATCTGTTTATATTTTACAGATTAATAAAATTGCTTTGCTTTGTTTATAAATAGATTTGGTGCCTATCCTAAAACTTCCAGTGGGTTTTCTTGCCTTCCAGTGGCCATATAAAGGGCGTCCTGAAAACAAAAGCTTCCTTTATGAGATAGTATCTAATAAAAGAAATGGCATTGATGTGGACAAATGGGATTATTTTGCCAGGTATGCACTGAACACTTCTGAAAAGTTGGCTAAAATATTTATATAAATTTAGTATTACTATTTAAGGTACAGCTTCCTTGTTGAAAAATTTCATCTCTCTGTTTTGGAATCCTTCTAGGGACTGCCATCATCTTGGAATCCAAAATAATTTTGATTACAAGCGCTTTATTAAGTTTGCCCGTGTCTGTGAAGTAGACAATGAGTTGCGTATTTGTGCTAGAGATAAGGTAAGCTGTGCCAGAGGAGGCAATAAGAAGAATGTTGTTCCTGGTCTGAAATTTGGAAATAACCATTTAACAATTTGGAATAATTGGTAAATCGTCAGTCTCTTTACTTAATTCCTAGGATTTGTAAATATCTTTAGTCTCTTCCCTTCTACTGCATTATTAAATAATAATAAAATTAACATGGACATTTATTAAGTTTTGAGTTAGACACTGGTTTTGGGGTTTTTTTGTTTGGTTGGTTGCATTTTTTTTTTTTGAAATAGGATCTCACTGTGTTGCCCAGGCTAGTCTTGAACTCCTGAGCTCAAGTGATCCTCCCTCCTCAGCCTCCCAAGTAGCTGGGACTACAGGTGCACACTATCATGCCTGGCTTGTATGAGGCATCATTTTAAGTGCTTTGGACGGATCAACTCATTCCGTATAACCCTGTGAGATAGATACTATTATTCCATTCAACAGGCAAGCAAATTAAGGCACAGAGAAGGCATATAATTAACAAGTGGTAGAGTTGGAATTTCAACCCAAAAAGTTTGGTTCCAGAGTCTCTCTCTTTTTTTTTTTGAGACGGAGTCTCGCTCAGTCACCCAGGCTGGAGTGCAGTGGCACGATCTCGGCTCACTGCAAGCTCCGCCTCCCGGGTTCACGCCATTCTCCTGCCTCAGCCTCCCTAGTAGCTGGGACTACAGGCACTCGCCACTATGCCCGGCTAATTTTTTTTGTATTTTTAGTAGAGACAGGGTTTCACCGTGTTAGCCAGGATGGTCTCAATCTCTTGACCTCGTGATCTGCCCGCCTCGGCCTCCCAAAGTGCTGGGATTACAGGCATGAGCCAAGGTGCCTGGCCCAGAGTCTCATTTTTAATCACTGTATTAGTGTTGAAAAATTTTATACAGTTGACACCTGAACAAAATGGTGTTTAGGGGTGCTGTCCCCTCTCCTAGTTGAAAATCTGTATAAAACTTTTCTTTACCTTTTTTTTTTTTTGGAGATGGAGTCTCCCACTGTTGCCTAGGCTGGGGTACAGTGGCATGATCTCGGCTCACTGCAAGCTCTGCCTCCTGGCTTCAAGTGATTTTTCTGCCTCAGCCTTGTGACTAGCTAGGTTTACAGATGCATGCTACCACGCCCAGCTAATTTTTGTCTTTTTAGTGGAAACAGGGTTTCACCATGTTGGCCAGGCTGGTCTCGAACTCCTCACCTCAAGTGATCCACCCGCTTCAGCCTCCCAAAGTGCTGGCATTATAGGTGTAAGCCACTGTACCTGGCCTGCATATAACTTTTGACTTCCCAAAAACTTAACTAAATAGCCTTCTGTTGACCAGAAGCCTTATTGATAACCTTAATGGTCAGTTACACACATTTTGTATGTTTTTTGTTTTCTTTCCAGACAGGGTCTTGCTGTGTTACTCAGGCTGGAGTACAGTGGCACTATCATAGTGCATTGTAGCCTTGACTTCCTGGGCTCAACTGATCCTTCCTCCTCTGCCTCCCGAGTAGCTGGGACTACAGGCCTATGCTTGGCTAATTCTGAAATTTATTTTACAGAGGTGGAGTTTCACTGTGTTGCCCAGGCTGGTCTCAAACTCCTGGGCTCAAGCAACCCATCCACCTCAGTCTCCTAAAGTGCTATGATTATAGGTGTGAGCCACTGCATCCAGCCTATTTTGAATGTTACGTGTATCATATACCATATTCTTTTTTTTCTTTTTGGATACAGGATCTTACTCTGTCACCCAGATTGGAGTGTAGTGGTGCGATCTCAGATCACTGCAACCTCCACCTTCCCAGCTCAAGCAAATCTCCCACTTCAGCTTCCCGAATAGCTGGGACCACAGGCGCATGCCACTATACCGGGCTAATTTTTCTATTTTTTTTTTTGTAGAGACAGGGTTTCGCTATGTTCCCCAGGCTGGTCTCGAACTTCTGACCTCAAGCAACTTGTCCTCCTTGGCCTCCCAAAGTGCTGGTATTACATGTGTGAGCCGCCACGCCCCATCTACTGTATTCTTACAATAAAGTAAGCTAGAGAAAAGAAAATGTTATTAAGAAAATCATAAGGCAAGGCCAGGCGTGGTGGCTCACACCTGTATTCCCAGCACTTTGGGAGGCCAAGGTGGGCAGATCACCTGAGGTTAGAAGTTCGAGACCAGCCTGGCCAACCTGGGCAACATGGTGAAACTCCGTCTCTACTCAAAATACAAAAATTAGCTGGGCGCAGTGGCGAGTGCCTGTAATCCCAGCTACTTGGGAGGCTGAGGCAGAAAAATAACTTGAACCCGGGAGGCGGAGGCTGTGGTAAGCCGAGATTGCGCCACTGCACTCCAGCCTGGGCGGCAGAGCAAGGCTCCACCTCAAAAAAAAAAAGAAAGAAAGAAATTCATAAGGCAGAGAAAGTATATTTACTATTCATTAAGTGGAAGTAGATCATCATAAAGGTCTTCATCCTCATCGTCTTCACATTAAGTAGGCTCAGGAACAGGAGGGATTGGTCTTACTGTCTCAGGGGTGGCAGCGGGGCAAGGAAATCTGTATAAGTGAACTCTCACAGTTCAAACATGTGTTGTTAAAGGTCAACTGTAGTTAAACAGCTGAAATCACTAGGTCCCTGTTAGATGGCAGTCATGTAATCAAAAAGTAGTATAGTACTATACTATAGAAAGTCAAGAAGGGCTAGGCGTGGTGGTACATATCTGTAATCCCACTACTTCGCAAGGCTGAGGTGGGCAAATCTCTTGGGCTACCGAGTTTGAGACCATCCTGGCCAACATAGTGAAACCCTGTCTCTACTGAAAATACAAAAATTAGCCAGGCGTGGTAGCATACACCTGTAATCCCAGCTACTCAGGAGGATGAGGTACGAGAATCGGTTGAACCTGGGAGGTGGAGGTTGCAGTGAGCCAAGATTGTGTGCCACTGCATTCCAACCTGGGTGACAGAGCGAGACTGTCTAAAAAAAAAAAAAAAAGTCAAGAATGAAGAACATAAGAATAGTAATACCTATTTCCTAGAGTTATTGGGAGGATTAAAATATATATATATTTAATTTAAGATGCCTAAAACGGAAACTGTCACAGAGTTTGAGCATGTGATAGATTTTAGGGTTTTTTTTTTTTTTCTTTGAGTTGGAGTCTTGCTCTGTCACCCAGACTGGAGTGCAATGGCGTGATCTCCGCTCACTGCAACCTCCGCCTCCTGGGTTCAAGTGATTCTCCCACCTCAGCCTCCCTAGTAGCTGGGATTACAGGCACCCGCCATCATGCCCGGCTAATTTTTGTATTTTTGTAGAGACAGGGTTTCACCATGTTGGCCAGGCTGGTCTTGAACTCCTGACCTCAGGTGATCTGCCCACCTCGGCCTCCCAAAGTGCTGGGGTTACAGGCATGAGCCATCGCACCTGGCCTAGTTTATTAAGAATGAAAGTTCTTGGCCGGGCACAGTGGCTCACGCCTGTAATCCCAGCACTATGGGAGGCCGAGGCGGGCAGATCATGAGGTCAGGAGATTGAGACCATCCTGGCTAACACAGTGAAACTCCATCTCTACTAAAAATACAAAAAAATTAGCCGGGCTTGGTGGCAGGCGCCTGTAGTCCCAGCCACTCGGGAGACTGAGGCGGGAGAATGGCATGAACCCAGGAGGCAAAGCTTGCAGTGAGCCGAGATGGCGCCACTGCACTCCAGCCTGGGCAACAGAGCGAGACTCCATCTCAAAAAAAAAAAAAAAGGAAGAAAGAAAAGAAAAAGAATGAAAGTTCTTGCAATGAAGGACTTGTACTCCAGCCTGGGCAACAGATCGAGACTCCATCTCAAAAAAAAAAAAAAAAAAAAAAAAAACAAAGAATGAAAGTTAGCTGGGTACAGTGGCTGATGCATGTTATCCCAGCAAGGCTGAGGTAGGAAGATCACTTAAGACCAGCCTGAGCAACATAGCAAGACCTCATCTTTTAAAAAAAAAAAAAAAAAAAAAAAAAATGAAAGTTGCAAGCCAATAAATGGCTTTACTAATCTGCCTCCTCATTTTTTAGTGGGGTCAAAGGTGTTAATGAAGAAGCCCCGGTGCATAGCCCTCTTGTCTGCCACTATCCCTTTTCCTTCCTTGTCCTATATACTTGTCTCTAATAACGTTAACATAATCTGATCCTATTAATATTTACTTCATGTTTTCCTGCAGGAAGTTGGAAATCTGTATGACATGTTCCACACTCGCAACTCTTTACACCGTAGAGCTTATCAACACAAAGTTGGCAACATTATTGATACAATGTAAGAAACTTGATTGTCATTTCCCTATAAAATTTTCCTTGATACTTGGCTAGAGTATCATACTAGGCTCAACTAGACATTTCTAGATGAGTTCAAGTGAATATTAAGTGATTAAATTGAAAATGGTTTCCTTAAAGAAAAAAAATCTAGCATAAAGTTAATTTAGTTGGAGGAAAAGGAGGGAAGTGGATAAAGGGGCAGATGGAGGGAAGTGGATAAAGGGGCAGATGAAGGGAAGAAGAGCTGGCTTAGGCCAGACGTGAAGCGGCAGTGCTGAGATCACTCAGGACCTCGGCACAGGTAGTCACTTACACACCATTCTCATCAGGAGAATGGGAGGTAGGACATGAATATTTAAATTCTGAGATTAATGACAAAAGTTAACTTTAAGGATTAAGATTAATGTCTATTTGTATCCTTTCAAATATTTATCAAAATTAGTACCAAATGGTAAAACCAACAGGAATTTTACCTCTTCCTGACCCAGTCAGAACCATAGCAGAAAACTGTACAGCCAGGTCTCTCCGTGACTCAAAGATCCATAAGGAGTTATCAAACACTGGGTGTGAGTCAAGTTACTTCTTCCATGTCTCTAAAATAGCCTTAAATTGATTAACTTTTCATGTTCGTTTTCACATTTGTGTTGAGGAAGTATATCTTCATTCCTATTTTTTACCTATCCTTTGTCATGAGCAGATTACTTGGAATACCTTCTCCTATTTGTATGTTAATTCTTCGGTAAGAGTTTTTGTTGTTGTTATTGTTGTTGTTTTGTAATTCAGAGATATCTAGTTTCAAAGCCTGGCACTGTTTCTTCCTAACTTGGTTAAATCAAAATTTACTTCATTTCTGCATCTATAAAATGAGGGCTGAATACACCTACCTTATTGTTGGGAGGAATAAATAAGATGGTGAATGCAAAGCCCTGCGACAGTGCCTGGAACACAGTAAGCATGGCAGCTCACAGCTTACCAAGCACAAATTTAGTACGGTGGAGAAGCAGTTGTCTTTAGAACACTGTGCCTCATTATTTTGTTTCCCTAAAGTAGAAAGATTTCCTTAAGTAAGACATAAGGCAAATATTCAAAATTTCTCATAAACATAAATTTTTGCAAAATGATTTTTAGGATTACAGATGCTTTCCTCAAAGCAGATGACTACATAGAGATTACAGGTGCTGGAGGAAAAAAGTATCGCATTTCTACAGCAATTGACGACATGGAAGCCTATACTAAGCTGACAGGTAAGAAGTAACAGGTAACATAGATGGTCCATCTCAGATAAACTGTAAGAAGTCCCTGAATTGCCAATGAGTTATTTTTCTTTCTTTTATTTTTCATTTTTAAAGATAATTATTTAATTTTAAAAAAATAAAGAAAGGGTCTCACTATATTGCCCAGGCTTCTCTCAAATTCCTGGGCTCAAGCGATCTTCCTGCCTTGACTCCCAAAGTGCTAGGATTACAGGTGTGACCCACTGTACACAGCCGATGGAACGATTTTAGCTTCCCAAGTAATTATCTCCTTTTGAATTTGAGTTTTATTTCTGTCTTGTACCAATAAAGTGACTTTGATAAAGGGATTTGACCTATCTGAATCTTTCATCTATAAAATGAGGGTAATGATACCTAGCATATAGTTTTGTTGTGATGTTTAAATGAGGCATAGCACCTAGTATAGACTTGATACGTAAGTACTCAATATACATTATTTAACTTTTTTTTTTTTTTTGGAGATGGAGTCTCGCTCTGTCACCTAGGCTGGAGTGCACTGGCACAATCTTGGCTCACTGCAACCTCCACCTCTTGGGTTTCAGCAATTCTCCTGCCTCAGTCTCCTGGGTAGCTGAGATTATAGGCATGCCCCACCATGCCCAGCTAATTTTTGTATTTTTAGTAGAGACAGGGTTTTACCATATTGGCCAGGGTCTTCTCGAACTCCTGACCTCATGTGATCCACCCGCCTCCATCTCCCAGAGTGCTAGGATTACAGACGTGAGCCACTACGCCCGGCCCATTATTTAACTTTTAAATTTAATTTTTTTTTATTTATTTATTTTCAGACAAGATTTTATTCTGTCATCCAGGCTGGAGTGCAGTGGTGCCATCACAGCTTATTGCAGCCTCAACCTCCGGAGCTCAAGTGATCCTCTTGCCTCAGCCTCAGCCAAGTAGCTGATTTGGCTACTTGGGACTATAGGCATGTGCCACCACACCTGGGAATTTTTTTTTTTTTTTTTGATACGGAGTCTTGCTCTGTCGCCCAGGCTGGAGTGCAGTGGCACAATCTCGGCTCACTACAAGCTCTGCCTCCCGGGTTCACACCATTCTCCTGCCTCAGCCTCCCGAGTAGCTGGGACTACAGGCGCCCGCCACCACACCTGGCTAATTTTTGTATTTTTAGTAGAGATGGGGTTTCACCTTGTTAGCCAGGATGGTCTCGATCTCCTGACCTCATGATCCGCCTGCCTCAGCCTCCGAAAGTGCTGGGATTACAGGCGTGAGACACCGCCCGGCCACACCTGAGTAATTTTTTTAATTTTTGTAGAGACAGGGTCCCATTATGTTGCCCAGACTTGTCATTATTTAACTCATACCTGGACTAATATTGAACACCAAAAAACTGACTTGGCCATTTAACATTATTTTCATTATAAAAACACAAGATGCCAGGAACATCTGTCCACACTTCTGCAGAAACAAAATCTGCAGCTTAGTGTGGAAAGGAGGAAAGAGAGGTAAAGGGTAAAGGTGGTTCTTTTTTTTTTTTTTTTTTTTTTTTGGAGGGGGGTGGACAGAGTTTTGCTCTTGTAGCCCAGGCTGTAATGCAATGGCACGATCTCGGCTCACTGCAACCTCCGCCTCCTGAGTTCAAGCGATTCTCCTGCCTCAGCCTCCTGAGTAGCTGGGATTACAGGCGCCCACCACCATGCCCAGCTAATTTTTTTGTATTTTTACTAGAGACGGGGTTTCACCATGTCAGCCAGGCTGGTCTGGAACTCCTGATCTCAGATGATCCATCTGCCTCGGCCTCCCAAAGCGCTGGCATTACAGGTGTGAGCCACCGCGCCCAGCCACAGCTGGTTCTTTAATGTGGGAAAGTATTGACTGAGATAAAGCAAAAGAAGTAGAACAAAAAGTGTACACCAGTCAGAGTTCTTAGTTACAAATTATGAAACTGTTTAACTAAAAATAAAATTGGGCCGGGCACGGTGGCTTACGCCTGTAATCCCAGCACTTTGGGAGGCCAAGGCAGGCAGATTACCTGAGGTCAGGAGTTCGAGACCATCCTGTCCAAAATTGTAAAACCCCGTCTCTACTAAAAATACAAAAATGAGCCAGGCGTGGTGGCACGCACCTGTAATCTCAGCTACTCAGGAGGCTGAGGCAGGAGAATCGCTTGAACCCAGGAGGCAGAGGTTGCGGTGAGCAGAGATCGCACCACTGCGCTCCAGCCTAGGCAACAGAGCAAGATTCTGTCTCAAAAATGAATAAATAAAAATAAATAAATAAATAAAAATAAAATTGGAAAGCAATCACATAGCTTACAGAATCCGTGGAAAGGCTGGAGGCTCTGAAAATGGAGAAAAACAACAGAAGCCAAGTGACCTAAGACACAGCCTAATCACTCTACCGTAGCTTCCTGCCGAGAGTGCTGCCGTTCTACCACAGCTGGATTCTATTTGCTGCACACTGACAGAATGAAACCTAAACTAGCTCCTCCTAAACTGTGTTTGAAGAACCAGTTTTTAAAATTACCAACCCCTTGCAGATTGATATTTCTGTAAAGTATGATAAAAATGAATTACTAGAAAAATGAAATGGGGGGAAAAGGCATGTAAAATACAAGCCCAAATTTTTATTATTCAACTTGACAGACTTCACATTACACCTTTCAGTAAATTCAATCAAAAGATAAATAATAGGCCAGACAAGGTGGCTCGTGCCTATAATCCCAGCACTCTGGGAAACCAAGGCAGTTGGATCGCTTGAGCCCAGGAGTTTGAGACCAGCCTGGGCAACATGGTGAAACCCTGTTTCTAAAAAATTTAAAAATTAGCCCTGGTGGTGCGTGCCTGTAGTCCCAGCTACTCAGGATGCTGAGGTTGGGGGGATCACTGGAGCCCAGGAGGCCGGGGTTGCAGTGAGCCAAGATTGCACCACTGAAGTCCAGCCTGGGTAACAGAGCGAGACCCTGTATCAAATAATAATAATAATGATAGAGAAAAAATTTAAAAATTAAATTACAAGAACTATATACATTGTTCTTTAAAAATATACATGTAAGGCTAGGCAGGGTGGCTCACGCCTATAATCCCAACACCTTGGGAGGCTGAGGCAGGTGGATCACTTGAGTTCAGGAGTTCAAGACCAGCCTGACCAACATGGTGAAACCCTGTCTCTACTAAAAATACAAAGTATTAGCTGGGCGTGCTGGCGGGTGCCTGTAGTCCCAGCTACTCGGAGACTGAGGCACGAGAATCAATTGAACCCAGGAGGCGGAGGCTGCAATTAGCTGAGATGGCATCACTGTATTCCAGCCTGGATGACAGAGCAAGACTCCTTCTCAAAAATAAAATAAATAAATAAGTAAAATAAAAGTTAAAAAAAAAATTGAACAAGCTGAAGATATTTACTTTTAATTTTCATTCATAATAATGCAAGTGATGCCATATTTTAAAAAGTCAGCCAGGCATGGTGGCTTACGCCTGTAATCCCAGCACTTTGGGAGGCCGAAGTGGGCAGATACGAGGTCAGGAGTTCGAGACCAGCCTGGCGCCTGTAATCCCAGCTACTCTGGAGGCTGAGGCAGGAGAATCATTTGCACCCAGGAGGCGGAGGTTGCAGTGAGCTGAGATCGCACCATTGCACTCCAGCCTGGGTAACAGGGTGAGTCTGTCTAAAAAAAAAAAAAAAAAAAAAGTCATCTTTATCCAGGTGTGGCGGCATGTGCCTTTAGTCCCAGCTGTTCAAGAGACTAAGGCAGGAAGATTAATTTTTTCAAATTATATTTACATTTAAACTAGCTTTTGGTTTAGCTGGGCATGGTGGCATGTGCCTATAGTCCCAGTTACTCAGGAGGCTGAGGCGTGAGGATTGCCTGAGTCCAGGAGGTCGAGGATGCAGTGAGCCATGATCACGTGCCACTTCACTCCAGCCTGACAACAGAGCGAGACCCTGTCTCAAAAACAAACAAAAAAAAATTTAGCCAGGCATGGTGGTGTACGTCTGTAGTCACAGCTGCTCAAGGGCTGAGGCAGGAGGATTGCTTGAGCACAGGACTTTGATGCTGCAGTGAACTATGATCGCGCCACTGCACTTCAGCCTAGGCCACAGAACCTGACCTTGTCTCCTTAAAAAAAAAAAAAAAGGCCAGGTGCAGTGGCTCATACCTGGAATCCCAGCACTTTGGGAGGCTGAGGCGGGTGGATCACTTGAGGCCAGGAGTTCGAGACCAGCCTGGCCAACATGGGGAAACCCAATCTCTACTGAAAATACAAAAATTAGCTGGGTGTGGTGGCATGTACCTGTAGTTCCAGCTACTCAGGAGGCTGAGGCACGAGAATCACTTGAACCTAGGAGGTAGAGGTTGCAGTGAGCCAAGATCACGCCACCGCACTCCAACTTGGGTGACAAAGCAAGACTCTGTCTCAAAAAAAAAAAAATTGCACAGATATATATATATGGAGAAAGCGCATGCAGAAAAACATTAACAATTGTTGAATTTAAGTGAAGGATATTTTATTTTGAAATTTTTCAAAATAAAAATTGGGAGAAAATGAAAGAAAGGAAAAACATTTCTTCTACTCTCATCATCGAATGGGACATTAAAAAATCATTGTTTTATTATTATAGAAATTTACAAAGCCATGTACCTGTCACTTAGCTTCAACAGTTATCAACACATGGCAGTTTTGCTTCATCTACCCACTCTTGTCAAACACTGGACAATTTAGAAGCAGATCCTAGACATAATTTTGCTTGTAAATACTTCAGGACCGTTCTCTTTTTATTATTTTTATTTTTTAGATAGTGTCACTCTGTCACCCAGGTGGGAGTGCAGTGGCGCCATCTCGGCTCACTGCAACCTCCACCTCCAGGGTTCAAGCGATTCTCCTGCCTCAACCTCCTGAGTAGTTGGGACCACAGGCATGCACCGCCATGCCCGGCTAATTTTTGTATTTTTGGTAGAGGCAGGGTTTTGCCATGTTGGCCAGGCTGGTCTCAAGCTCCTGACCTCAGGTGATCCACCTGCCTTGGCCTCCCAAATTGCTGGGATCACAGGTGTGAGCCACAGCGCCTAGCCACCATTCTTTCTTAAAGACAAAATAAAACATGTCAACAATAAATCCATACACCTTTATGTGCCCATCACCCAGCTCAGCAGTCATCAACTCCAATGCAGTCTTATTTCTCTCTATCCTTCCCCACTCTCTGGATTACCTGGAAGTAAATCCAAGACATTGACAGGAACTTTTTTTTTTTTTTGAGACAGTCTCTCGCTCTTGTTGCCCAGGCTTGAGTGCAATGGCACAATCTTGGCTCACCGTAACCTCCACTTTCCGGGGTCAAGCAATTCTCCTGCCTCAGCCTCCTGAGTAGCTGGGATTACAGGCGCCCGCCACTACACCCAGCTAATTTTTTTGTATTGTTAGTAGAGACAGGATTTCACCATGTTGGACAGGCTGGTCTTGAACTCCTTACCTCAAGTGATCCGCCCGCCTCGGCCTCTCAGAGTGCTGGGATTGCAGGCATGAGCCACTATGACTGGCCGACTGGAACAGTTTTAAAAGGTTTTTTCACTTAAATCTTTTAAAAATTTTTCTCACATTGCTAAAATAATAATGTACCTACATTTGCGAACTGCCTGTTAAGATCATTTCAATAGAATAGCACTATATAATTCTTTAACTCTGTGTTTTTATTTTAATATAACTGAAATGTCATTAAATTGGCAGATAACATTTTTCTGGAGATTTTATACTCTACTGATCCCAAATTGAAAGACGCACGAGAGATTTTAAAACAAATTGAATACCGTAATCTATTCAAGTATGTGGGTGAGACGCAGCCAACAGGACAAATAAAGATTAAAAGGGTGAGTTATCAGGCATCTTTCCATTAGTGAAAGGTTATCTCTGTCCTCCAAGAGGAGACCACTAACCTATCGTGATACTATGACTCTGTACTAAGTGCTTTACGTTTATTCTCATTTAATCTTCACAGTAGTGCAGGGGTCTTAGGCCTGTTTTACAGATAGAGAAACTGAGGCTTCACTGAGATTAAATAACTTGCTCATGAAAGCATATTTAGCCAGGATTCAAAAGCCAGGTCTAACTTAACTCCAAATCTTTGATCTCATCCAGGAAGTGAGAGTGGGTCTCCAATTTTGGCTAGATTCAGACATGAGAAAATGAATATAAGGGAAAGGAACCTCAAAAGAAAGTGCCTGCATGAGCTTCATTGAGGCTGTGGTGACCTGTTGTAATGACTTGGTTCCTTCACAGGATATCAGTCTCCCAGATGGCACATACCTGTCTTCTTTAGCTCAAATATCTATTTTCACCTCCTACTTGTTGAAGAGTTTTCTGTTTGCCAGAAAGCCGTAACACAAGTCATACTTATAACCACATCCTACCTCAATAATTTCTTGGGTTATACTTTACTTCCTCTTGTTGTACTAATAGGTTAATGTCACTTTTTTTTTTTCAAAATGTGAATTTTGTTTGTTTGTTTGTTTGTTTTTAGACAGAGTCTCGCTCTGTCACCCAGGTTAGAGTGCAGTGGCGCGATCTCAGCTCACTGCAACCTCCACCTCCCGGATTCAAGCAATTCTCCAGCCTAAGCCTCCCGAGTAGTTGGGATTACAGGCACCCGCCACCACGCCCAGCTAATTTTTGTATTTTTAGTAGAGACGGGGTTTCACCATGTCGGTCAGGCTGGTCTCGAACTCCCGACCTCATGATCCGCCCACCTGGGCCTCCCAAAGTGCTGGGATTATAGACGTGAGCCACTGCGCCTGGCCACTTTTTACAATTTTTTACAAAAATGCTCTCTTTGTTTAACGAGTGACATTGGTAGGAGCTATATTTGTTAAGGATATCTCTAATCGTTTTTCTTAGTTAGGTGCCATTTTCATAAAGAGAACCTGTTTGTGGCTCAAAGACTTGATGAAAAATGGATTCTAACATGGGGAGTCTTGTGTTTTCCAGGAGGACTATGAATCTCTTCCAAAAGAGGTTGCCAGTGCTAAACCCAAAGTATTGCTAGACGTGAAACTGAAGGCTGAAGATTTTATAGTGGATGTAAGTAATTAGCCCAGTAATAAACTGAGTGAATACGTTTTAAAGATAAAGCACCCACCATTATAAAAGTAGTACATGTTCATTTTAGCAAATTAGAAAAATACAGAAAGATGATGTGCCCTCACAAAGAGAACCAATATTATTAACCACAAAAACATTTTGTTCATGATGTTTTGCCATTATTTTTAATATAATTGTGGTCATGTGATTACATTGTCTATATTAATTAAAAATTTTTAATTACACAAGTAATACATTTTAATTTTTTTTATTGCCTGCATACAAGCACAGAGGAAAAAGTTGTGGGGCCAGGCACGGTGGCTCACGCCTGTAATCCCAGAACTTTGGGAGGCAGAGGTGGGTGGATCACCTGAGTCAGGAGTTCAAAACCAGCCTGGCCAACAAGGCAAAACCCCATTTCTAGTAAAAATACAAAAAAATTAGCCGGGCTTGGTGGTTTGCGCCTGTAGTCCCAGCTACTCGGGAGGCTGAGGCAGGAGGATTGCTTGAACCCAGGAGGCAGAGGTTGCAGTGAGCCGAGACCATGCCACTGCACTCCAGCCTGGGCAGCAGAGTAAGACTGTCTCCAAAAAAAAAAAAGAAAAAGAAAAAAAAAATTGCTGGGCACGGTGGCTCATGCCTGTAATCCTAGCACTTTGGGAAGCCGAGGCGGGTCGATCACAAAGTCAGGAGATTGAGACCATCCTGGCCAACATGGTGAAACCCCCATCACTACTAAAAATACAAAAATTAGCTGGGTATGGTGGTGTGTGCCTGTAGTCCCAGCTACTCAGGAGGCTGTGGCAGGAGAATCGCTTGAACCTGGGAGGCGGAGGTTGCAGTGAGCCGAGATCACGCCACTGCACTCCAGCCTGGGCAACAGAGCGAGACAGCACTGCACCTCAGGCCAATAGTCTCAGCAGATTACACCCTGGACCTTATCAACATTCAAAACTGCCCTCCCTGTAAAATCACTAGTTTAACATACTTTTCTCTGTCCACAAACCCCTTTCTTCCTCATCCATGTTTTCCTAGCTCATCAGGCCCTCTAGTTTATTGTGTCCTCACTTTCTTCGAGCTTGTCAGTGGCCTTCTATCTTCATTTCTCTCCACGTGTAGGCCGAGTGAGGTGGCTCACGCCTATAATCCCAGTACTTTGGGAGGCCAAGGCGAGTGAATCACTTGAAGTCAGGAGGTTGAGACCATCCTGCCCAACACGGCGAAACCCCATCTCTACTAAAAATACAAAAAATCAGCCAGGTGTGGTGGTGCGCGCCTATAATCCCAGTTACTTGGGAAGCTGAGGCAGGAGAATTGCTTGAACCCAGAAGGCAGAGGTTGCAGTGAGCCGAGATCACACCACTGCATTCCAGCCTGGGCGACAGAGTGAGACTCCATCTCAAAAAAAAAAAAGTATCTTAGATAACGTGATACAGTAATTCACTCATTTTCTGCAGTTACCCTCAACTCTCTTTTCCTTCTTTGCATCTACCTAGCAGAAGGCCAAACAACCTAGATGAATCAAATCTAAACATCTCCACACCCATACCTGGACACATAAATGCTCCTGGATACCATCACTATACAGGCATATCTATAAATTTCCGGTCACGAAACTAAGCTGGGCCTTCTGGCAGGCTTAGTGTGATTCTCCCAGTCTCTAATAATCATTTCAGTCCAGGCACAGTGGCTCACGCCTGCAATCCCAGCACTTTGGGAGGCCGAGGCGGACGATCACCTGAGGTCAGGAGTTCGGGACCAGCCTGGCCAACATGGCAAAACCCCATCTCTACTAAAAATACAAAAATTAGCCAGGGATGGTGGTGGGTGCTGATAATCTCAGCTACTCAAGGAGGCTGAGGCAGGAGAATCACTTGAACCTGGGAGGCGGAGGTTGCAGTGAGCCAAGATCATGCCACTGCTCTCCAGCCTGGGCAACAGAGCAAGACCCTCATCTCAAAAAATACTACTACTAATAATCATCATCATCATTTCAAACTGTCCTCCCTCCTCTCAGAACTCCAACCATGCTTCCCACCTCCAGCTGTATTCATCCTCATGAGTAACCCAACCTTTGGCTCCTATTTCCAAGATAAACTATAGGCCATTAGGTAGCAACTCCTTAGACCTTTCTCACCAAAGAAACAAGCCTTCCTCCATCTGTCACTGTATTCAGTATTCCCATTCTTATAGTGGGGAAACAGCTTTGTTCTTGTCAAAGGCTTAGGGTAATTCTACTTGTGTTCTAGAGAAGTGTTGTCCCATAGAACTTTCTGCAGTGACAGAGATATTCTTGGTCAGTGATGTCCCTTTCCATAGTCACTAGCTGCATGCAGCTGTTGAGCACTTAACATGTGGTTGCTGTAACTGAATAACTTCATTTTTTATTGTATTTAGTGTTAATTATTTATTTATTTTTTAGAGACAAGGTCTCACTCTGTTGCCCAGGCTGGAGTGCAGTGATGTAATCACAGCTCATTATAACCTCAAACTCCTGGGCTCAAGTGATCCTCCCACCTCAGCCTCCTGAGTAGCTAGGACTACAGACATGTGCCACCATGCCCAGCTAATTTTTAAGTTTTTTGTATAGATAGGGTCTCACCATGCTGCCCAGGCTGGTCTCAAACTCCTGGCCTCAAGCAATCTTGCTGCCTTAGCCTCCTGAAGTGCTGGGATTATAGGCATGAGCCACTGCACCCAGCCAATGTTAGTTTAAACTTTTGTTTATCTTGAGACAGGGTCTCTCTCTGTGCCCCAGGCTGAAGTGCAGTGGCATGATCATGCCTTGCTGCAGCAAAACCCCATCCGTACCAAAAACACAAAAATTATCCAGGTGTGGTGGTGCATGCCTGTAGTCCCAGCTACTCGGGAGGCTGAGGTGGGAAGATCGCTTGAGCCCAGGAGGTGGAGGTTGCAGTGAGCTGAGATCGCACCACTGCACTCCAGCCTAGGCAACAGAGCAAGAGCCTGTCTCAAGAAAATCATGAACACCACACTGCTCTTCCCCTCTCCTCTTTTTCAGGGTCAGACTCATCTTCCCTTACCTTTCTAAGGCACCAGATTCCTCTCCAGATACTTCTTTCTTGCTGTCTTTTTTTTCCTTTATGTTTTTATTTTATGTATTTTTTAAATTGATAAATGATAACTGTCTATTTTCATGGGGTACATAGTGTATATAAATGTCAGATCAGGGTAGTTAGCATACCCATCATCTCAAACATTTATCATTTCTCTGTGTTGGGAACATTCAATATTCTCCTTCAAGCTATTTAAAACTATGTAATAGGCCGGGCACGGTGGCTCATGCCTGTAATCCCAGCACTTTGGGAGGCCAAGGCGGGCAGATCACAAGGTCAGGAGATCGAGACCATCCTGGCCAACATGGTGAAACCCTGTCTCTACTAAAATTAAAAAAAAAAAAAGTGAGCCAGGCATGATGGCACACACCTGTCATCCTAGCTACTTGGGAGGCTGAGGCAGGAAAATCGCTTGAACCCAGGAGGCAGAGGTTGCAGTGAGCCGAGAGCGAGCCACTGCATTCCAGCCTGGCGACACAGAAACTCCATATCAAAAAAAAACAAAAAAACTATGTAATAGATTACTGTTAACTAGGCCGGCCCCGGTGGCTCATGCCTGTAATCCCAGCACTTTGGGAGGCTGAGGCAGGTGGATCACTTGAGGCCAGAAGTTTGAGACCAGCCTGGTCAACATGGTGAAACCCCGTCTCTACTAAAAATACAAAAATTAGCTGGGTGTGGTGGTGCATACCTGTAATCCCAGCTACTTAGGAGGCTGAGGCAGGAGAATCACTTGAACCTGGGAGGCAGAGGTTGCAGTGTGCCGAGATTGTGCCACTGCAGTCCAGCCTGGGCAACAGAGCAAGGCTCTGTGTCAAAAAAAAGGAAATTACTGTTAACTATAGTCGTAGTCATCCTACAGTACTATAGAACCCTAGAACTTACTCCTCCTATCTAGCTGTAATTTTCTTTTCTTTAACATCTTGCCTCCTCTGAACAGCCAAAGTTCTAAGAGTTGCCTTCTCTTACATTTTTTTTTTTTTTTTGAGACGGAGTCTCACTGTGTCACCCAGGTTGGAGTACGGTGGCACGATCTCGGCTCACTGCAACCTCCAGCTCCTGGGTTCAAGCGATTCTCCTGCCTCAGCCTCCTGAGTAGCCGGGACTACAGGCGCCTGCCACCACATCTGGCTAATTTTTGTATTTTTAGTTGAGATGGGGTTTCACCATATTGGACAGGCTGGTCTTGATCTCCTGACCTCGTGATCCGCTGGCTTCGGCCTCCCAAAGTGCTGGGATTACAGGCGTGAGCCATTGCGCCTCTTACATTTTTGTTTCTCATTTTCTCCTGAACCTTTTTTTCTGTTGCCATCACTGTACTCTCTCCAGAATCACCGGTGACTTCAGAGTTGCTAAATCCAGGAGACAGTTTCAGTCCTCTCTGCCTCTGAGCTGTTTCCTCTGCCTGCAATTCTTTTTCTTCCCACCTAAGCCTGTTTGTTTCTTGCTCACTTAGTAAAGTCACTTTCCCAGGAAAATGTTTCCGGTCATTCTCCGGGCACCCTAGGCTACATCAGGTAACCTGTTAGAACATTTCAAAGCACCCTTTGCTTTTCAACTGTGGTTGAATACTTTTATAATTATTTGTTGAATTTCAATCTAGGGCTGCCTGGTTTGTGGGGGCTAGGATTTTCTTTACTTATTTATTTTTGGAGGCAGAGTCTTGCTCTGTTGCCTAGGCTGGAGTGCAGTGGCGCAATCTCAACTCACTGCAACCTCCGCCTGCCAGGTTCAACCAATTCTTGTGCCTCAGCCTCCCGAGTAGCTTGAACCACAGGTGCACAACACCACGTCTGGCTAATTTTTTTTTTTTTTTTTTTTTAGTATTTTTGGTAGAGACAGGGTTTCACCATGTTGACCAGGGTGGTCTCGAACTCCTGGTCTCAAGTGAGCCACTGTGTCCGGCCTGGGATTTTATTTTAAAGTGTCCTTGTTGTACCTCTAGTGTCTATCTGTGTCTGTCACATAGCAGGGATTGAGTTTACACCACACTTAGATCAAACACACAAGTGCATTTCCCATTCTTCCCAGATTTCAATACCAAATCCCTAAGAGTGGTCACGAACCAGTTATTTTTATTCCACCATGAGTCACATCAACATTCTTATTTCCAAATCCCCAGAAGGCTCTGTTCCATTTCTTTCTTTCTTTTTTTTTTTTTTTTTTTTTGAGTCAGAGTCTCACTCTGTCGCCAGGCTGGAGTGCAGTGGTGCGATCTCGGCTCACTGCAACCTCCATCTCCCAGGTTCAAACAATTCTCCTGCCTCAGTCTCCCGAGTAACTGGGGTTACAGGCGCATGCCACCACGCCCAGCTAATTTTTGTACTTTTAGTAGAGGTGGGGTTTCACTATGTTGGCCAGGCTGGTCTCGAACTCCTGACCTCGTGATTCACCCACCTTGGCCTCCCAAAGTGCTGGGATTATAGGCATGAGCTACTGCGCCCGGCCTCTGTTCCATTTCTTGTTATGCTCCTACAGCCCTGAGTTCAGTTCTCCTGCTTGCTATATGATTACTTGTGAATTGCTTTTATTTAGGTTATCAACATGGATTATGGAATGCAAGAAAAGAATCCAATTGATCATGTTAGCTTCTATTGTAAGACTGCCCCCAACAGAGCAATCAGGATTACTAAAAACCAGGTAACTACTTAGGCAAAACAAATATACTATAGTGGCATGTAGCAAATCTTTATAGTAAATTAGCATTTTATATGCAAATTAGGTTTTAAGGCATATCTTTACAATTAAAGTGGGCCTGGCACAGTAGCTCATACCTGTAATCCCAGTGTTTTGGGAGGCTGAAGCAGGACGATCACTTGAGACGAAGAGCTTAAGATCAGCCTGGCCAACAAAGCGAGACCCCATCTCTACAAAAAATAAAAAACTTAGGCATGGTAGCTCATGCCTGTAGTTCCAACTACTTAGGAGGCTGAGGTGGGAGGATCACTTGTGCCTGGGAGGTCAAGGCTTCAGTGAGCTGTGATTGTGCCACTGCACTCCAGCCTGGGTGACAGGGAGATCTTGTCTCAAAAAAAAAGGAATAGTTAGGAGCCTAGGGACCAGCTGATATCTCCAATGTGTGACTTCAAGGTGATAGTGAAATCTCTTCATTTTAAAAAGGTTTCACAACTTCTGCCAGAGAAATTTGCAGAGCAGCTGATTCGAGTATATTGTAAGAAGGTGGACAGAAAGAGTTTGTATGCCGCAAGACAATATTTTGTTCAGTGGTGTGCAGACAGAAATTTCACCAAGCCGCAGGTAGGTGGCCTGTTACTCACAAACTTTGCACAATTTTTTATTTTTAAGTAAAAACCAAAAGTAAGTCTATCTGCTGAAAAGTTCCCATTTAAGTTATAGTCATTTGGTTATGGTTTTGAAAATAAGGTCTTTCACTTTCTTTCCTTTTAAAATGTCTGAATCTGTGTCAGCCAGTGATTTCTTCCTACAGGAGTTGGGAATGGATACTGTTTAGCATTATTGTCCTAATAATAAAAATGTGAACATGTAAATAATGCTTTCTAATGTTGTTCACCAGTGGCCCTGGAAGGTTATTCATAGTGTCTCCATCTTTCAGAGGTTACCAAAGCTGAGTAGTTAACTTGTTTAACATAAAATTGATAATAGACTTCATGTTTCTAAACCTCGTTACTTCAGTATATTAGTTAGCTATTTAAATTATCTAGAATGTGAGTAGAGGGAAGAGGAGCCAAGCCACAGTTGCCAACCCTGTAGAGAAGGTTGTTAAAATTGTCTCTTACTGACCTACACATGGTAGGTGTCTGCACAGAGAATGTGGCCAGTTGGCATTTATTGAATGAATGAATGAATGAATATGATTGGCATGCAGGGCAACAGTGCTTTACTGCCTAGTCTAGAACTCTCCCTCACACCTCCCTGTGTGTCAGGTGCTAAAGGGAACAAAGGATAGGGTGAGACATGAAAGCGTAGCTCAGGATGTCGGTGCTTTATCAAGTGCCACAAGGCATGATCCAGGTAAGATCTCTGAGGATTCAGAGAGTTGGGAGATCTCTGGGAGAAGCCTGGTGAAGGGGCAGGATCTGCTAGATCTAGAAGGCAGGGTTGTGTTTGGATGAGTAGCAGGGAGAATGCAGGGTATATTTGGCAGTGGGAGGAGCACAAAGGCATGAAGCTGGAATGAGCTGAGACTGTTTAGGGGACCATGAGGAGACCTGTCAGGGTAGAAAATTCTTTTTTTTTTTAATTAATTAATTCATTCATTTTTTTGAGATGGAGTCTTGCTTTGTCACCCAGGTTAGAGTGCAGTGGCACGATCTTGGCTCACTGCAACCTCTGCCTCCCAGGTTCAAGCGATTCCCCTGCCTCAGCCTCCTGAGTAGCTGGGATTACAGGCATGTGCCACAATGCCTGGCTAAATTTTTGTATTTTAGTAGAGATGGGGTTTCATTATGTTGGCCAGGATGGTCTCTATCTCCTGACCTCGTGATCCGCCCACCTCGGCCCCCCAAAGTGCTGGGATTACAGGTGTGAGCCACCATGCCCAGCCAGAAAGTTCTTACTGTTAAGTGTGGAGAGGTTAAATGGGAAGAGTGGACTAGATTATTGAGAACCTTGGATAATTGGCTAAGAGATTTTTTTCTCTGTACAGTGGGGAGGGAATCATTGAGCATATTCAAGAATTACCATGCACTGTATGATCTACCTGAATGTGTGTCATCTCCAACTAGAGTGACACCCGTGGGAATAAGAGTAGAATTGTCCCTTGGTGTCTGTGGGGAACTAGTTCCAGGACCCCCACAGACCCCACAGATAGAAAAATCCATGGATAGGCTGGGCGCGGTGGCTCATGCCTGTAATCCCAGCACTTTTGGGAGGCCGAGGTGGGCGGATCACGAGGTCAGGAGATCAAGACTATCCTGGCTAATACTGTGAAACCCCGTCTCTACTAAAAATACAAAAAATTAGCCGGCGACTGCACTCCAGCCTGGGTGACAGAGCGAGACTCTGTCTCAAAAAGAAAAGAAAAGAAAAGAAAAATCCACAGATGCTCAAGTCCCTTATATAAAATGGTATAGTGTTTGCATATGACCTATACATATCCTCCTTTATACTTTAAATATCTCTAGATTACTTATAAAACCTACTACAATGTAAATCTATGTAAATAGTTGTTAATACTGTATTGTTTAGGGAATCATGACAAGAAGAAATTCTGTACATGCTTAGTATAGACACAGCCATCCATTTTTCCCCCTTCATATTTTCTATCTACAGTTGGTTGAATCTGCCCATGGATGCAGAGGGCCAACTGTATGTCTGTCCTAGGTACTGTGAAACTAAATCACTGAAACTAAATCACTGAAAACTCTAGCTGCAGATAGACTGGAACTTGGAGAGTCTGGAAATAGAGAGTCAAGAGAGGCTATTAAAGTTTGGCTGTGTCGTGATAACTACTATAAATTTGGTACATTCACTCACGGAGTGAGTATTTTGCCATGCCCTGTGTTAGGTACCTGGAACAGTACCTAAGATAGACAGTTCCTAATAACCCATGGATCCCATTCAGGTTGGGGATAATAATCTAGTTGGGGATAATAATAATTATTATTAATTTTTCTCCATAAGTTAATAATTATAGGAGCATGGTAAGTACTTTGGGTATAGGGTGAGTACACAGTCTTAGAAGAGGAAAAACAAGGAGGATTTAGCTGGTCTTGGTTGGTCAGGAAAAGCTTATTTAAAGAAGGGCTTATAAACTGAGACCTGAAGGTTGAGTGAGGAGTTGTCTGGGTTAAGGGCTGGCAGCAGGAGGTGGTGGTAGGGGAGGGGTTGAGGCATAGACACCACAGGGTTAGGTCGGAAGATGAGAAAGAACATGATGCATTTCAGGAAGGAGCATAGAGTGTGGAGGTGTCTGGGGCTTTATCAAAGTCCTGTCAGCCAAGAGCAGTAGGGAGCATTGACACTGAAGGGTTTTAAGCAGGAAAGTGACGTATTTGTTTACATTTATAAAATTCACTAGAACTGAAAGTAGAATGAGTAGAAATTAAAAAGTTGGCTATATGCTAGGCATGGTGGCTCATATCTGTAATCCTAGCACTTTGGGAGGTTGAGGTGGGAGGATTGCTTGAGCCTAGGAGTCTGAGGCTGCAATGAGCTATGATCACACCACTACACTCCAGCCTGGTTGATAGAGCAAGATGCTGTCTCAAAAAAAGAAAGAAAGAAAGCAAGCTGGGTAGAAATAGAGATGAGTTTAAAGACAAATAAATACTGTTGATTTTGAGATAGGCCTTTAAGTACAAGTATCATGACAATAGGATGACTTTTTTTTGAGACAGAGTCTTGCTCTGTTGCCCAGGCTGGAGTGCAGTGGCACAGTTTCAGCTCACTGCAACCTCCACCTCCCGGGTTGAAGTGATTCTCCTGCCTCCGCCTCCTGAGTAGCTGGGACTACAGGCACGTGCCACCATGCCCGGCTAATTTTTGTATTTTTAGTAAAGACGGGGTCTCACCATGTTGCCCAGGCTGGTCTTGAACTCCCGACCTCAAGTGATCCACCTGCTTTGGCCTCCCAAAGTGTTGGGATTACAGGCATGAACCACCACGCCTGGCCTAAATGATTGCCTTTACTGAGGTCAGGAGTTCGAGACCATCCTGGCCAACATAGTGAAACCCCATCTCTACTAAAAATACAAAAATTAGCCATGGTGATGCACACCTATAATCCCAGCTACTTGGGAGGCTGAGGCGGGAGAATCGCTTGAACCCTGGAGGTGGAGGTTGCAGTGAGCTAAAATTGTGCCACTGCACTCCAGCATGGGTGACAGAGCAAAATTCCATCTCAAAAAAAAATAATAACACATTTTTTAAAAACTATTTTTAATAGTTCTATCAAGTCAGATCCAGTGTAGTTCAACAGAAAAAATTTAACATGGGGGTGAGATACAAAAGTTTTGGCAGAGCTAAATGAGCATAGAGGACAGTGATTCAACAGCAGGAAGCTGCTACCACCTCTAGGATAGGAGAGACCAAGGGAGCAGGTGGGAGTCCAGGAGCTGGGGCCACCTGCAAAAGCTAGAACCACAGAATAGTCACTGCCACTGCCGCTCGTGCCAGAGGAGGTAGGGAGAGAAAAAACCTGACTTCTCTGCCCTCTTCTCACCTCCAGTCTCCCACCAGAGCCTCCCACTGACCAAATCTAACTGGAAACCAACAGGCATGGGAGCTGAGAAATGTAATTTACCGGAGTAGCTCCTGTGAGACAGAGTAGGGAGAGGAAGAGTGAAGAATGGATCTGAGAGCAAATAAGCAGATGAGGAGCACGAATCCTCCCACCAGCATTGTATTCCTGGTACAACAGAGGCTCTCCAAGATCGTGCATCATCTTGTAACCAAAGAAGATCTACCCACAAGTTCAGAACAGTTTAGCATAGAGTCAAGTATTAGGAGGCCTTGCTTCTTACCTCTATGGTTTCACGTCATTGTATCGCCTCCCTTTGGATCTCTCCCTTATTTTGGGTGGAGGAGCTTCTTTGGCTGGAGCCTATGCTGATGGGACCAACGTTAGAGCTTTGATGCAGAGAAAAATTTAAATTCTGCAGGTACATACTGTTCTTCCTCCCCTTCTTTGCCATCTTGTAGACCTGGGCCTTTTATTGCAGAGGGGACCAGGCGAGAGAGAAGCTAGGGGTTCAGTGCATCCCGTCTTTCTCCTGGGAAAACAGGACAGAGTTTGTGCTCCGTGAAGGTGTGTGAAGGAGGCCATAGAGGTGGGCAGTGGTATGCTGCTCCCAGTCATCTCTGCAGAGGCCAGTGGCTGTTTTCATGAAGGCTCTTCCTGCGTAAGACTGTAGTGTTTCTAATTTGCCCCAAGCACAGGGCATATGTAATTTGGAGTTTCCCTGGATTGAGGACAGCTAGAAGCAATCTATATGCAAGATGAGGATGTGCGCACTTGAGACTTTCACTCAGAAATAAGATGATGGAAACTGGCTTTTCTCTATTGCCTGTTTTTCTCTCTCTTCCTAATAGGATGGCGATGTTATAGCCCCACTCATAACACCTCAAAAAAAGGAATGGAACGACAGTACTTCAGTCCAAAATCCAACTCGCCTCCGAGAAGCATCCAAAAGCAGAGTCCAGCTTTTTAAAGATGACCCAATGTGAATGTCTGTAGTCAGTTGTTTACAAACTCCCTCTCCTGCACAATTCATTTAGAGGCTTCAATCATAGAATTCTGCAAATTAATGACAACTCATGCTTTAATTTTGTATTTTGAATGTACACGCATGCTGAAGCTAAGTAACTTTTAATCAAAGAAATAAGATGGTATTAGGCAAATCTTACTATACTATGAAAAGCATTACCTTGCCTATTTTTAATATTATTAAAGCCTTTCTCCTTCAGTAGTCTATTTTCTTAGAATAACAACTCTTTTATCTATTCTGAACTCTATTTTTTTTCTTTTTTAAGAGACAAGGTTTTGCTCTGTTGCCCAGCTTGGACTCGAACTTTCCTGGGCTCAAGCGACCCTCCTGCCTCAGCCCCCCAAGTAGCTGGGACTAAAGTCATGTGCCACCACACCCAGCTTACTCTGAACTTTTATGACAGATGATTGTTTTTTGTTTTTAATGTAGAAATGAGACAAGGGTACAAATTGGAACTAGAAATTGACATTGTCATTGACAAACATGGCTAAAAACAAAACATCAAATCCTGCCCCCGTGAAGAGTTCCCTGTCACCTCAAGTTTGAGGATAGTCCTCTAAGAGTGACCTAAGCATAAGTGAAAGACACCTCCCCTCACCCTTCTAGCCCCCTACAAGGTGCCAGGTTGGGGTAAAGAGTTGGAGATGATGGCCAGGAGTGGCCTCCAACACGCTGGTGAGAGGCCTGATTAGGTTTTGGGGAAGATCTGAGAGCTCTGGCCTCTTCGTGAGTGGAACATAAAGCCGCCTCTTGTTGGGAGATCCTACCCCAGTGACAGAGGAATCCCCCAAACTAGGCTGTGCCCTGGCTCCGTGGCGGCTCCAGACCCGGGTAGTGCCTTTGTCCCCTGAATACTCACTCCCCCGGTCCAGAGGGCCTTCCCACTGCCCAGCCTGGAGAAGGCCTCCCCTGACCTGCTCTCTCAGTATCCTGGAGAGCTGGCCAGAGGCCATCACAGGCATCATCCTCAGAGCTCCTCAGACCTGGGACTTTGTTTTTGCTGGTTCAGTGCATTTTGTGTATTTAAGAGCAAACACTAGCCAGGCGTGGCGGCGTGTGCCTGTAGTCCCAGCTACTTGGGAGGCTGAGGCAGGAGGATTGCTCGAACCTGGGAGGCGGAGGTTGCAGTGAGCCTAGATCACGCCATTGCACTCCAGCCTGGGTGACAGAGTGAGACTCCATCTCCAAAAAAAAAAGCACAAACACTGCACTGCCTGTGCTGAAATTAGTGACCACCCAGTGGGCTCCAGGCTCCGCTAGGTAACTTCGTTTTCCCAGCAGTGGAGTGGGCACCACCTTGGTGGGGCAGTGCCCCTGTGCCCAGGGCACACCTCATTCCCAGTTCTATAGCAATTCACCAAGAACAAAGTCTGCAGTTAGAGCCAAAGCTGGTGGTGGCCAGAGGGTGCTGAAGATACAGGCCAGTGGGGATGGGAGCCATGAGCCCCGAATGTCTTCTGCTCTGATGCTCCCCGGACTAAGCCTCCCTGGCACACTGGGAGTGAGGGGCAGCCTGAGCAAGTAGGGGAACTCAGACCACAGGCCAGCAGATTTCCCAGCAGTCCATCACTGGCCACCGTGTAGCCAGATTCTGTTCCGTCCACACTGGGGTGAAGAGTACTTGGAATGTCTGCCATCCTGTATGATCACCCCACCCCCTGTCCATCCATCAGTAGATAATAAGGGTTGGTTACAATTCATAAGAGAATAGTTAAAACACTTCTCCTCTCATGCCTACCATGGTGCTGTATCAAGGGGATTTGTTCACATATGGGCTCAGCAACGCACAAGTGAGGTCAGCCATGGCACTAGGTCATTCCCATTTTAGCCAAGGTGCCTCTATAGGGGTCAGACATCATGTGCCCAGACCTAAGGTCAGGAATGTCATATTTTTCTGTTAAAATCATTTTATTTCTGTGTATCTTACCTTTAAATCATTGTGGTTTACTCTGAGATTCTGTAGTCCTAATATTGTATCATTGTGCTGTCTGCAAAACAACTTGAATCTATTTTGTTTGCATCTTTTGTTACATGTAACGCAGCTGTACTTTATGTTCTTTGCAACTGTTTCCATTATGAGAACGCTGTGCTATTTACAAGGTTACATTTTTCTTGGCCAGGCGAGGTGGTCATGCCTGTAATCCCAGCACTTTGGGAGGCCAAGGTGGGCGGATCACTTGAGGTAAAGAGTTGAGACCAGCCTGGCTAGCATGGCGAAACCCAGTCTCTACTAAAAATACAAAAATTAGCCGGGTGAAATTAGCCGGGCGTGGTGGTGTGTGCTTGTAATCCCAGCTACTCGGGAGGCTGAGGCAGGAGAATCGCTTGAATCCGGGAGGCAGAGGTTGCAGTGAGCCAAGATCAGGCCACTGCACTCCAGCCTCGGGGTCAAGAGCGAAACTCTGTCTCAAACAAAAAGAAAGAAAGGAAGGAAGGAAGGAGGGAAGGAAGGAAGGAAAGAGAGAAAGAAAAGAAAGAAAGAAAGAAAGAAAGAGAAAGAAATATCTTTGCTATTTGTATAAAAATGGAAATTTTAACAGCTTAGCCTCTAGAGAGTTACTGAACGTGGTTACCTTGGGAATGTAAATAGAACTGCAAATTAAAATGACTGGCCACTTCAACTGGGTAAGGGAAACAGCTGCAATAAAGCTTCGTGAATATATATCTCCATCTTGAAAGTTGTGTTCCACAAAGGTTTCGACCTCTTTGTCCAAAAATGCATATTACTCATTTACTCCTTTCATACCTTCATTGTGAAATTAAATAACAGACTCACAAGCACCTGGCACTGGTGGCAGACAAAAAGGCCTCAACATTCTGCAGCAGGCCAGAGGAGGAACGACGCTGCTACAGTATTTATTAGTTCCAGTGCTCAAGCCCAGGTTTCTAAGGTTTGACAATATTCTGTAAGTTAAAATCATTTCCACACATACAGAGTAGAATCCTGTTTTTGTAAGTATACACACACACACACACACACATTCATGGAACATTGTCTGGAAGGATATACATGAAAATGTTAAGAGTTGGGGGGGGTTGAATTTTAGGCAATTTTAATTTTTTTAACGTCTTCTGGTTTTTCTACAATAAACATGAATCAGTTGTAGAACCTCTAAAATGATAATGTTCATGAGGTTGGTTTTCCTCGTTCAGTAGCTGGCGAGGAACAGCATAGTGAAAAATCTTCCCTTTGCCAGGAGGCAGGCACTAGCGGGGAAGAGATGTGGATTTTTCTGAGTTTTCTAAGACCCTGTTAGCTTAGGGTCTCTGTGCTGCTTGAGTAAGGTGTAAGCGTCTTTTAATCCTTCAAAGTCACCTCTGCAAAAGAGCAGTGCCTGCCCCCACCTGTATCTTGGGTCCCCAGGCCACAAGGAGGCTGGCCAGCAGCCTCGGCCAACTCTAGGGCCCTTCACCATCTGTGTTTCAAACAGCACAGGCTGCTGTGTGTCAGGAAGGCCTGGGTGGCATCATGAGCAGGGCTGAGTACCTGTTGCCGCAGGGCTGTCAGCTGAGAAGCCAAGCCTCCAGCTCCTGGATGCAGAACTGCTCCTGCCGGGCCAGCACCTCGTTGTTGAAGGTCGGGCAAGGGGAGCTTCCCCCGCGGAACAAGTCTCCATCCAACCACAGCCCAAACCGGCCACTAGAGAGAAGAGGACAGTCTTGGTGCGGCTCACTCCTGTGTGCTGAAACCCCCAGGCTCTGCCACCAGCATCAGCTCTTGGCCATGCCAGGACGGCAGCCCAGTTTCACCTGTCTTATCGCCCCTTAAAGCAATTTATACTGAATTATTGGGGACTCAGCACATTGTTCCCCATGGGGTTAAGAGCTTTATTTATTTATTTGTTTATTTATTTATTTATTTATTTATTGAAACGGAGTCTTGCTTTGTCACCCAGGCTGGAGTGCAGTGGCACGACCCTGGCTCACCACAACCTCCACCTCCCGGGTTCAAGCAATTTTCCTACCTCAGCCTCCCTAGTAGCTGGTATTACAGGCCGCCCACCACTATGCCTGGCTAATTTTTGTATGTTTAGTAGAGATGGGGTTTTGCTATGTTGGCCAGGCTGGTCTTGAACTCCTGACCTCAAGCGATCTGCCTGCCTTGGCCTCCCAAAGTGCTGGGATTACAGGTGTGAGCCACTGCGCCTGGTCAAGATGGCAATTTTTTTTTTTTTTTTTTTTTTTTGATAGGAGTCTTGCTCTGTCGCCCAGCCTGGAGTGCAATGGCGCGATCTTGGCTCACTGCAAGCTCCACCTCCCGGGTTCACACCATTCTCCTGCCTCAGCCTCCCGAGTAGCTGGGACTACGGGTGCCCACCACCACGCCTGGCTGATTTTTTGTATTTTTAGTAGAGATGGGGTTTCACCATGTTAGCCAGGACGGTCTCGATCTCCTGACCTCGTGATCCGCCCACCTCGGCCTCCCAAAGTGCTGGGATTACAGGCACAAGCCACCACGCTCGGTCCAAGATAGCAATTCTTAATACAAAAATTAGCCGGACGTGGTGGTGGGCAACTGTTGTCCCAGCTACTCGAGACGCTGAGGCAGGAGAATCACTTGAACCCAGGAGTCGGAGGGTGTGGTGAGCTGAGATCACACCACTGCACTCCAGCCTGGGCGACAGAGCGAGACTCTGTCTCAAAAAAAACAAAATGGCAATTCTTTAACCAAAGCTAGTACATCTCAGGGTGCAAACTCTGAGAGCCCAAATGCTTCAGAGCGTCCATTCTAATCCCCTTATTTGACAGAAAACCTCGGCTGAAACCAGGAAGTGAATTCCTGCAGATCAGCAATGGCTGATGTGTTCTGTGCCAAGCTGCCCCTCAGTGGAGGCTTTTCAGGCAGTTGGGAGAGCAAAGAATTTGCCTGGTACTAATCAAGCAATGCTCTCATCCCCGCCCTCAGGATAAGACGCATGCCCCCTGAATGTGAAGGTCACACCAGGATGAGATCAACTTTTTTTTCCTACCTCTCTCTACCCCGTCCTCACCGAGGGAGGTTCCTGCAATGAGTTATGTCCCCTGCAATTCCTGGGCTGGTGGAAAAACGAGGCACACTCATCTCTTGACGCTAGTCTCATCCAACCATGTGGAATTCTTTTCCCAAAGTTGCATACATTCAGACTAAACTGTCACCAGCTGTAACACTTCAGTGGGGGCACTCATGCATCCTTTCTCCTTAATACTGGCTTAGCGTGAGGTTGAGGGGGTTGGCTGGGAGGCTGAGCAATGAGGGGAACGGCCTGAGAGTTCCCCACTAGCCTCGCCATTGCATCAAGGGCAGCCTAGCCCAGCAGTTCGGCAGAGGGAAAGGGACCAGAACACAGACCGCCCCAAGACTCGGGAAGACTGAGACACTCACCTGCCACTGCCCATCATCAGTGAATCCAAGTCTCCCTTCACAAAGAAAGAGTTGCTTCCAGTCCACTTAAAGACCTGGGTGATACATAGGGAAAGGCTCAGGTTACTAAGCGAGCGAGTCCCGCCCTTGCAGTTTGACCCCGAACCACTGGATGGCAGTGTTGTGGCGGGAACAGCATCCAGGCCCCAACCGAGCCGCAGGTGGGACTCCGGGCTCAGGGATCTTGGGGTTTATCTTCTCAGTCTCCTTGGAGTCACCACCGCATGCCCTCTAGTTTGAATTCCTACAGCCTAGAAGCCTCTTTGTTCTAGAATAGGACAACGACCCCTGAGGCTTCCTGCTTCCAAAGCTGGAGGGAGGAGGGGAGCAGTCCAGGCCAGGAGTGGGAACTGATACTGCCCTTCTAACTAACTCTCACCCGGACAACACCAGCCCGCCTGCTCTTCAGTGCTGCCTCACATCCAGCTCATCAACAAGCCTCGCAGCTCTAGACACAGCGGGCCTGCCGCCATTTCTATCCCGTCCTCTGCCTGGATCACAGCCTCCCAGCTGGTCCCTCTGCATCCACTGTCTGTACCTACAGCCATACCCACACTGCAATCTGCGTGATCTGTTCTACGTCCAAATCAGATGTTATCTCTCCTCTGCCTAAGTCCTCCAATGGCTTCCCATTGCAATGGGGATAAAATTCAACTCCTTAACAATGGCCAGAAGTGCAGCCTGGGACTGGCGCAGTGGCTCATGCCTGTAATCCCAGCAATTTTTTAACTAGCTAGGTGTGATGGTGTGCACTTGTAATCCCAGCTACTCAGTAGGCTGAGGCGGGAGGATCACTTGAGGCCAGGAGTTTCCTCGAGGTCAGGAGTTCTAGACCAACCAAGGCAACATAGTAAGACCCTCCCCTATCTCTAAAAAAAATTTTTTTTCTCTCTCTTTTGAGACAGAGTCTCGCTCTTTTGCCAGGCTGGAGTGCAGTGGCGCAATCTTGGCTCACTGCAACCTCCGCCTCCTGAGTTCAAACGATTCCCCTGCCTCAGCCTCCTGAGTGGCTGGGACTACAGGCACGCACCACCACGCCCGGCTAACTTTTTGTATTTTAGTAGAAACAGGTTTCACCATGTTGCCCAGGCTGGTCTCAATCTATTGACCTCGTGATCCGCCTGCCTTGGCCTCCCAAAGAGCTGGGATTACAGGCTCGAGCCACTGCGCCCGGCCCTAAAACAAATTTTTAAACCTAGCTGGTCACAGTGGTGTGCACCTATAGTCCCAGCTACTGGGGAGGCTAAGGTGGAAGGATCACTTGAGCCCAGGAGTGGAGGCTGCAGTGAGCTATGATCGCACCACTGCACTCTAGCGTGGATAACAGCGCAAGACCCCAACTCTAAAAAACAACAAAAAAACTGTCAAAACTTAAAAAGTGCAGCCAGCTCTAACCCCTGATTTTCTCTCTGGCCCCTTCTCCCCCTTATTGACTACACATTAGCCACACCAGTCTTTCCATCCCTGGAACACCCAAAGCCCATTCCTGACCTAGAATCCCTCTGCCCAGAATGCTCTTCCCCTAGATCCTCAGAGGGCCCACCTCTCATCCTTCAGCCCAAATATCATCTCAGAAATTTCCTGGACCACCCTATCTGAAGTAGCCCTTCCTCCCAGACCCTGTTTCATTCCTCTTTATTTATTTATATTAAGGACGTTAAGTTCCGTGTGGCCTGTCTTCTTCCTGGCTGTATTCCTGGAACATATATATTTATTGAATGCAAAAATTATTCAAGAGTCAAAATAGTTTTAAAGGGCTGCAAAACGATAGGATGTTATTGCCTTAATCAGTGGCCCAAAATGCTGTGAGCAACCAAAGGGTTTTTAGCCGGAAAACAGACTAATAAAAGATACGTCCTATGCTCAGGAGAGATGAGATCATATTAACAAGTGACCACAAGGGGACAGAATCATTCAAGTCCTCCTCTACTTTCTCGAAGGACATGACCTTTGACCTGAAGGAGTAAGATACACGTTGCTGTGGAAGGAATTGAGACCAAGTTCATGGTGCCGTTTGGAATAGCAATCAACGAACTACCGAATTCATGAGGAATACAAGTGCCAGAAGGCCAGAGATAGCCAAGAATTAACCAATTTTTTAGAAGATGAGATTCCATAACAATAGACTGGAAAGACAGGCTCCCCTGAAAAAGTTACTCATTTCATTCAACAATTTTTTTTTAAAGCACTTATGCACCAGGCACTATTTTCAGGCACTGGGTAGACTGCTGAATACAATAGACAAAAACCTCTGCCTCAACGGACTGACTTTCTAGTGGGAGAAGGCAGATAACAAAGTAAAAGAAGTTCTCTGGCCGGGCACGGTGGCTCACGCCTGTAATCCCAACACTCTGGGAGGCCAAGGCAGGTGGATCACCTGAGGTCAGGAGTTCAAGACCAGCCTCGCCAACGTGGTGAAACCCTGTCTCTACTAAAAATACAAAAATTAGCTGGGCGTGGTGGCATGCCTGTAATCCCAGCTACTCGGGAGGCTGAGGCAGGAGAATCGCTTGAACCTGGGAGGCAGAGGTTGCAGTGAGCTGAGATTGCCCCACTGCACTCCAGCCTGGGCAACAAGAGCAAAACTCCGTCTCAAAAAAAAAAAAAAAAAAAAGAATTTCTGTGTTAAATGATGGCAAACGCTAGGGGGAGAAGGACACTAAGGGCTTCCTAGGGCTGGGTGTTGTCATTTTATTTATTTATTTATTTATTTATTTATTTATTTTTAGAGACAGGGTCTTGCTCTGTCGTCCAGGTTGGAATGCAGTGGCATGAGCAATGACAGCTCACTGCAGCCTCAAATTCCTGGGCTCAAGCGATCCTCCTGCCCCAGCCTCAGGGGTAGCTGGGACTACAGGTGTGTGCCACCACACCCAGCTATTTTTTTGCTTTTTGTAGAGATGAGACGTCACTATGTTGTGAGGGCTGATCCTGAACTCCTGGCCTCAAGTGATCCTCCTGCCTTGGGAGTCCCACGAGTGCTGGGATTACAGACGTGAGCCACCACACTTGGCTGGGTGTTGCCATTTTAAATCAGGTAGTCAGGGAAGGCTTCACTGAGATGGTGACATCAGAACATAGAAGGAGGTGGGAATTGAACCATGCAGAGATCCAGTGGAGGGACATTCTAGGCAGAATAGCACGTGCAAAGGCCCTGAGGCAGGAGCAGGCTTGCATGTTTAAGGACCAGCTCAGAGGCCAGTGTGGTTGGAGCAGAGCGAGAGAAAGGAAAAGTAGCAAGAAATGCCATTCAGAGAGAGAGGCCAGAAGTTGTAGGGACTTGTAGATCATTGGACACACTTTGGCTCTTCTCCAAGTGAAAGAGGAAGCCAAGGAGTGACATGCTGTGAGTTCTAGCTTCCCCCCCACCATTTTTGTTTGTTTGTTTGTTTGTTTAAGACAGAGTCTCACTCTGTCACCCTGGCTAGAGTGCAGCAGCACGATCTCAACTCACTGCAACCTCCACCTCCCGGGTTCAAGAGATTCTCATGCCTCAGCCTCCTGAGTAGCTGGGATTACTGGCGCATACCACCATGTCTGGCTAATTTTTGTATTTTTAGTAGAGACGGGGTTTCACCGTGTTGGCCAGATGGGTCTCAAACTCCTGACCTCAAGTGATCTACCTGCCTCGGCCTCCCAAAGTGCTGGGATTACAGGCATGAGCCACTGAGCCCTGCCCTGGCTTCCCTTTTAAAAGGATCACTCCAGCTACTGTGCTGACTGAAGTGGAGGCAGTGAGAGACCTTTTAGGAGGTGATAGCAGGGACACACAAGTAATGATGGTGGCTTGAACCAAGATGGCAGTAAAGGACATGGCACTGGTGGATCCCGAATATAGACAGAGAGAAGGCAGAGCTGTCAGGATTTGCTGACAGCTCAGATGTGGGGTTGTGAAAGACAAGAGTTAAGGAAGACTTCAAGATTTTCTGTCTCAGCAGCGGGAGATGGAGATGCCATTCACTTTGATGGGGGAAGATAGCAGGAGGAGGAGGCTTTGTGCGGGAAAGCCAGGAGCTCCGTTTGGGACATGGTAAGCTGGAAATGCCATGTTTGGGGCCAGATGCAGCACTCATGTCTGTAATACCAGCACTTTGGGAGGTGGAGGCTGGCAGATCACTTGAGCTCAGGAGTTCAAAACCAGCCTGGGCAACATAGTAAAACCACATCTCTACAAAAAATACAAAAATCAGCCAGGCATGGTGGCATGTGCCTGGAGTCCCAGCTACTTGGGAGGCTGAGGCAGGAGGATCAATTGAGCCCAGGAGGTGGAGGTTGTGGTGAGCCGAGATGGCGCTACTGCCCTCCAGCCCGGGTGACAGAGTGAGACTCTGTCTCAGAAAAAAAAAAAAAGAAACGCCATGTTTGAGATGCAAGGAGAGATGATGGACAGTTGTTGGATATACGTGAGTTTGGAGTCCAGGGAAGAGACCCTCAGCATACAGGCAGCATGGAGAGCTGTGGGAATGGACGAGAACACAGAAGAAATGAGGGTCACTAGAGAAGAGATGAGAACCAACACCTGAGCTCTGATGTTGAAAGGCTGGGGAGATGAGGACGAACCAGCAAAAGATTCTACTAGGAATAGTCAATGTAGGAATAGTCTAATGTCAGTGCAATGGAAGGAAAATTCTAGACCTTTAGAATTCTGAGACTTAAGTTCAGGAAGGCAAGTGGTGATGAGTAGTACCAGCACTGGCTCACCATGCCTCCCTCACCCTTTCCTGGATCCTGGGAAGCTCGATGGAGCCCCTCCAGCTGATGGCAGCAATGCAATAGATATGGTATATTTTGCCTTTAGCAAAGCAGTCCATAGCTCCTTGTGAACTCCCTGTCATGAGACCAGATGACTGTGTGACTGGATGTGTCTGAAGGAATCTTAGTCTGTGCATTGGAGAGATCTCTAATAGCAGAATACCTGGAACGACTTCATCCACTGAACAATTTAAAAAAAAATTTTTTTTAAGAGACAGCATCTCACTCTGTTGCCCAGGCTGGTCTTGAACTCCTGAGCTCAAGCAATCCTCCCACCTCAGTCCCGCAAAATGCTGGGATTACAGTTGTGAGCCAGCCACTGCACCTGGCCGTGTTTTGTTTTTGTTTTTTCCTTTTTGTGGAAAATGGCATCTTGCTCTGTTGCCAGGCTGGTCTTGAACTCCTGGGCTCAAGCGATCCTCCTGCCTCTGCCTCCCTAAGTGCTGGGATTATAGGCATGAACCACAGGGCTTGGCCTGGCCATTTTTACTAGTAGTAAAAGTAGTATGCTCTGTGCCAAGCAGGTACTGCTCAATAGCTTTAGTGAATAAATAACCCAGAGGCAGGAAACCTTTGGATGGAAGGTGTTTGGGACTATTATTCTCACCCAGCTCCTGGGCAGCTCGAGCCACCTGACTATACCAGTCATCTTGTGCCTGTCACTCTCCCACTCATCATTAATTAGAAACCTGAGCTCTGACTCACCACCCACCACCCTTCACAGCTCTCTGGTAAACTTCACTGTCTACGTGGACTCGTCCAGGCCCTGCCCCAGAATGGGTTTCTGCCGCTGTCTTCCATGTTCACATCTGAGAATTTGTCCTCACCAGGGATGGCAGGTGTCTCCTCCACAGCCTATTTCAAATGTCCCTCTCTCTGTCCACTGTATCCTGTCTTCCAACACATTGTCCAACTGCTGTCACTGCTCCAAGCCTTTGATGTCAAGGAGACCTCTCATGCCGAGCCCACCTTTGCCTTGGTGTCCCCCAGTGCCCCCCGCTTCTCTCCCCTCCCCTCCTGGTCCAGTTTAGGTTCCGTTGTCCATGTTGTATTTTCACTCCCTTCAACTTCCTTTCCCTCTCTGCCGGTGTTAAGCCAGTTTGGCAAAACCCCCAACCCTGGCTGTCCACTCTCTGCTGTCCCCTCTGCAGGCCTGCGCCGAGCAGCCGATGCACTGAAGTGGCGGCGTCCTAACCTCACAACCCAAGCCGCCACTCACACGGCCCAGCGGCGCTTCTGCTGCTCCGGTGTTCTCCAGCAGGCTTCCCTCCCTTCCCACACCTGTGATGACCGCGATACCGGATCCTTCACCTTCCTCCAGCAATGACCTCACCCCATATTTCTTTTTTTTTTTTTTTGAGACAGGGTCTTCCTCTGTTGCCCAGGCTGGAATGCAGTGGTGCGATCATGGCTCACCACAGCCTCAACCTCCCGGGCTTAAACGATCCTCCCGTATCAGCCTCTCAAGTAGCTGGGACTACAGGTGTACTCTACCATGTCTGGCTAATTTTCGTATTTTTTGTAGAGATGGGGGTCTCACTATGTTGCCTAGGTAGGTCTTGAAATCCTGGACTCAAGCAATCCACCTTCGTTGGCCTCCCAAAGTAGGATTACAGGCATGAGCCACGGTGCCTGGCCCCCATACTTCCTGAGAAGCCATTGGCTGTGTCCTCCTTTGTCGTCCTGCCACCACGCCCTCAGGTCTACTTTGGACCATCTTGTCTTCCCAGCATGTGCCTGGCAAGCATGGTCCTCCCTCCTCTCAGCCAGTCAGCGGTTGCCAGAGACCCACCAAATACGTTTTAAATGCAGGACAGGCAGGTCAAGGGGGATGCTCTGCCCACCACTGCCCTGCTCATTCCCCTGTGGGAAGATGGTGGCACACCAGGCAGCCCATCGTGGAGGATGGAGCTGGGAGCCACTGGGACCCCGGGAGCTTTGTCTCGCCACACGCCCCACTCCCCCCATGGAAGGTTGGGAACATCACCTTCAGCTGTGGGGAGAAGGAGAAGAGGAATGTCTCGCCAGTACCATAGAAGCCTTTGCTGAGTCGGATAGCCGAGGAGGAGAAGGCTCCAAATATCTGGAAAGTGGAAGTTGTAGTCTGCAGCTGGAAGGGAGCTAGGGGTCCTCTGGCAACCCTCATTCTTCAGGTTTAGTAATACAGGCTCATCCTAGAGGACACCTGGGAAGCTGGGGCAGAGCTGGGGCATGGGGGCTCCACACCCAAGAGCAGGAATCCTTATGCATCCTTTCCCTTAATGCTCCCCAAGGAAGAACTCCTGCTGCCTTCCTCCTCTGGGCCGTCAGGGCCCTCCTTTTTCTTAAATATACTTATTCTGGGCCGAGCGTGATGGCTCATGCCTGTAATCCCAGCACTTTGGGGGAGGCTGGGGCAGGCTGATCACCTGAGGTCAGGAGTTCAAGACCAATCTGGCCAACTTAGTGAAATCCTGTCTCTACTAAACATACAAAAATTAGCCGGGCGTGGTGGCAAGTGCTTGTAATTCCAGCTACTTGGGAGGCTGAGTTAGGAGAATTGCTTGAACCTGGGAGGTGGAGGTTGCAGTGAGCCAAGATTGCACCACTACACTCCAATCTGGGTGACAGAGCGAGACTCCGTCTCAAAAAAAAAGTATATATATATATATATATATATATATATATGTATATATATATTCTACACAAGTAATCACAGAAAAAAGTAGAAGTAATAGACAAGCAAAAGAAAAAAAGTAAAGCCATCTCTTAATCCCCCTCCTTCTTCCCCAAGATAACCACTCTTAATATTTTGGTATGTTTCCTTCTGACATCAGTTTAATGCCAGTGTACATCTCTATTTTTTTTTTTTTCAGACAGGGTTTCACTCTGTCACCCAGGCTGGAGTGCAGTGGTGTGATCATGGCTCACTGCAGCCTCAGCCTTGCAGGCTCAAGTGATCCTCCTGCCTCAACTACCCTGCAACACCCCTGGCCCCAGTTGCTGGGACTATAGGCATACACCACCACACCTGGCTAATTTTTTTGTGGTTGTTGTTGGTTTTTGGTTTTGGTTTTGGGTTTTTTTAGAGACAGGGTCTGGCTATGTTGTCCAGGCTGGTCTTGATCTCCTGGACTCAAGCCTCCTGCCTCAGCCTCCCAAAGTGCTAGGATTACAGGTGTGAGCCACCGTGCCCAGCACCCCCATAGTTTCTTCTGCTTCTGAGGATGAAGATGCAGTTTTACAGTCAAATGATTATTTGCTTAATGTCTGACCCTTCCCCTATTAGACCATTAGCTCCAAGAGAGCTGGGACCTCTTCTGGGTTGATTCTGCTCTATCCCACCTCTCACCTGGCACACAGAAGGCGCCCCATGTAGATGTGTTGAATGCATAAATGGGGGAATGGCTCTGAGTGGGCAGGTCTCATTGCCATCATCAGTGTCCATTATAGGTGACTTAGTCTGTCACTCTGCCTGCTTGTCCCTGAGCTGCCCTGGGACAGGGCCCATGAGTACCTGGTGGGGTGCCCCCAGAGCCTCGGGTGGTGCCCCTGCCCAGCTCACCTGCCCGTCCTGGTCCCTGAGCACCAGCAGCACTGGCCCGCTGCAGCCCTCCATCCGCCGGTACAGGCTCTGCAGGCTGAAACCGTCCCTTGACGTGCAGAAGACCAGACTCCAGGGATGGCCGGTGACTCTTGGTGGGAAGTGAAAGCTGAGCTGGGGACAGGGTTGGAGGTGAATGGAGGAGTTCTCCTCGCGCCCTCCTGCCATATCCTGGGGGTGGGCTTGGACAGCTAGCATGCATCCAGCACAGTGCTTTACAGGCGATAGAGCAGTTTGCTGTTTCTAGGGACTTTCATGCCATCAGCCATAGCCCTCGGAGATAGGGGTTGTTATTCCCATCTTATAGATGAGGAAACTGAGGCCCAGGGAGGGTGGAACAACTAGCCCAAAGCTCGCATGGGTAGTGAATGGTAGAGACAGGATTTGAACCCAGGTCAGGACTCTCAGGACTCTTTCTGCTTGGTCACCCTTGCCCCCAGAGGCTAGAGAATAGGAAAGATGCTGAACCCTCCTCCTGATCCTCCGTCTCATCCGCCCACCCCTCTCCAGCTTTGGCCTCAGTTCCCAAGGGCTGGTTCTAGGTAGGAATTAGTTTCTTTCCTTTTTTTCTTTTGAGACAGAGTCTCACTCTGTCACCCAGGCTGGAGCAGAGTGACACAATCTCAGCTCACTGCAACCTCCGCCTGCTGGGTTCAAGCAAATCTTGTGCCTCAGCCTCCCGAGTAGCTGAGACTACAGGTGCACACCACCACACCCGGCTAATTTTTGTATTTTTAGTAGAGACAGGGTTTTGCCATGTTGGCCAGGCTCGTCTCCAGCTCCTGGCCTCAAGCGATCCCCCTGCCTTCGCCTCCCAAAGTGCTGGGATTACAGGCGTGAGCCACCGCGCCCGTCCTAGCCTCTTTCTTTACCTCCTTAACCTCCTGGCCCAGTGTAGAGGGAGGTGCTAGCAACACTGGATGATTTTACAAGAAGGGAAAGCAAAGCCCCGAGAGAAGAAGCAATTTGCCGGAGGTAACGCATGATGAGAACAGAGCAAGAGTGACTCTAGGTGCCCCTGGGCGTGGCTGGTGTAGGGCAGGAGGGTGAGACTCTTAGGTTTAGGGCTGAAATTCTTGTGCCATGGGCAATGCCCAGACCTGCCGAATCTCTGAGGCACTCAAAACCTGGCTGGCTTCTGTCAGCTGGGGCACCGTGGGATCCTCAGGAGCAGCAGCTGGGTCTGGAGCTGCCTCCTCCTCCTCTTCCTCTTCGTTACCCTCCTCCCCAGACAGGGTGTCCTCCACCTGGCTGGGCTGCAAAAACACAAAGTGGCCTGGTGTGTCCAGGGACAGGAGGTCCCAGCTTCTACCATCTCCTGAGCCCAAGAGCCTCCTCGGGCCACCTCATCACTCCCTGCCCATGTGCCTGTAACCCCCAGCCCAGCCCAGGGTAGTTGGGGGTTTCCACGACAGACAGGACGCTGCCCCTGCCGCCAGCCTGCTTCCTCCCTGGCCCCTGCCAGCTGAGGGCTGGAGCACAGTCCCCCCACCCCCGCCAGCACCCCACAAGGCTCAGATGGGGCCGTGGGCCGTGCGACTTGTCGGTCTGTTTGCCATGGTCCTGGGTGGGTGGCAGGGATCAAGTTCTAAGCTTGGGAGCAGAGGGGAAGGCAGGTGGTGGCATAGCCCTGGGAGCTTCAATTGTGTGTGTTTGTACATTAAATAATAACAACAAAAAACCCATCCTTGCCCAGGCCTGTGTTCAGTGTGCACTGTCTGTGATCTCTGTGTGTTTCTTCTTCTTTTTTCTTTTTCCTTTTTTTTTTTTTTTTGAGACAGGGTCTTGCTCTGTCACCCAGGCTGGAGTTCAGAGGTGCAATGTCAGCTCACTGCGACCTCTGGCTCCCAGGTTAAAGCAATTCTCTTGTCTCAGCCTCCCAAATAGCTGGGATGACAGGTGCCCACCACCATGCCTGGCTAATTTTTGTATTTTTAGTAGAGACACGGGTTCCTCCTGTTGGCCAGGCTGGTCTCGAACTCCTGACCTCAGATGATCCACCTGGCCTCCCAAAGTGCTGGGATTACAGGCGTGAGCCACCGCGCCTGGCCTTCTGTGTATTTCTTCTTATCAGCATTTTCCAAAGGAAGAAAATGAAGCCCAAAGGTTTCCCCATGAAGCCCGTGAAATGATGCATGCAGTCATATGTGGGATCATACATGTAGGTTCATGTAAAATGTGTTTGTCTGTGCGAATTGTGTGTTGGCTTGGAATAGAGTTGTGTAGGCACATCAATGTGTGGAGGTATTGAGTGTAAATTTGTGTTTATATATCAATGTGTTTGTGTGAGTTGTGATGGTGTAAATATCTACATCCATAAGGGGCATCATTATTCACTCATTCATTCATCCGAGCTTCCACTCTGTACCAGAGTGTGTGTGTGAGTGTGTGTGTTTGAATGTGTGTGTGTCTGTATGTGTGTTTGAGTGTGTGAGTGCATTTGAGTGTGTATGAGTGCATTTGAGTGTGTTTGAGTGTGTGAGTGTGTGTGTTTGCATGTGTATGCGTGTGAGTGTGTATATGTTATATGTATGTGTATGTGTGTGCCTCCACACAATGACCTTGCAGGCTTTTCCCAGGAAGAAGAGACCTCTCAAGGGCTGAGAGATGGACAGGACCCCCTCTCCTGCCCCGCTCTGTTCTCCAGGCTCAGGCCTGAGGCAGGTCTAGCTGTGTGTGGCTCTGAACAGAGCTCCATCCAGCACCCACTCCAGGGAGGAAGGGACAGAGACATCGGTCTGTCCCCCTTGAGAACCTTGGAGCAGGGGTGTTAAGACCCCATGTTCCTGAGTCAGTCCTTGCTCCAAACCACAGGCCTGCCAGGGAGGGACTTGAGAGGGGAACAAGTCACTGCCCGCATCCAACCCTAGCCCAGGCCCCACCCTGCCAGAGACCTCACCTCCTTTCACCTCCCAACCTGCACCACAGACGGAGTTGGAACCCTTACCAGCCGAGTGTAACGCCAGCGGAGGCCTCTCATTCTCCTGTCCCTGCTCAGCCGGCCGTGGGCAGTGAGTGAATCCTCAGCCCTGCCCAGGAAGGAAGCGCTGATAGGTGAGGCCTAGAGATGAGAGGGAGAGGCCTGGGGCACACCCAGCCAGCTCCATGCCCACGCCAGCTGCCCTTTGCTCCCTCTCACCTGTCACTCCAGGCCGAGCTGCTGCTGGGTGAGTCTGTGAGCAACTCGGCATTCAAGACCTCATTGCAGTTAGCATGTAACACGTATTAACCATACACCATAGATTCTGGTTGCAATTCCTTTCTACCTCCTTGTCCTTCTGGCAGCCTGGCCTTGGGACTGTGGGCCATTGGCCAGATGCCTAAGGCCCAGGCTGGAGGTCTGGGGCCTCTAGTTCCCCGTATGACCTTGGATAAGCCCATTTGCACTCCTGAGCCTCAGTTTCACCACACACAACATGTAACATGTTGAACCAGATAATCTCAGAAGACTTCGCGGGACTGACAGTCTGCCATTCACTTCCCTCTCCAAGCCGATGAGTGTGTTAGAACAGAAGCTAGAAGGGGGCATGCCTAGACTGAAAGAACAATCTGGCCCAGTGCAGTGGCTCATGCCGGTAAGCCCAGCACTTTGGGAGGCTGAGGGAGCCGTATCACTTGAGTCCAGGAATTTGAGACCAGCCTAGGCAACATGGTGAAACCCTGTCTCTACAAAAAATATAAAAATTAGCTGGGCATGGTGTCGTGCGCCTTAATCCCAGCTACTCGGAAGACTGAGGTGGGAGGATCACCTGAGCCTGAGAGGAGGAAGCTGCAGTGAGCCGAGATCATGCCACTGCACTCCAGCCTGGGCAAGAGTGAGGCCTTGTCTCAAAAAAAAAAAAAAAAAAAGCTATTTTTACTTTGCATCCTAAACACAGATGTATTTTAGGCTTTCATCATTGCTTTGCTTGTCATTTAACAGAAAGTTTCTTTATTAAGTCTTTGTTTCTTTTTCCATATTTAGTTTCAGATGGGGGTGGGGGGAACAGATGAATTTCTTTTTTTTTTTTTTTTTTTGAGTCAGAGTCTCACTCTGTCGCCCAGGCTGGACTGCAGTGGCATGATCTTGGCTCACTGCAAGCTCTGCCTCCCGAGTTCACGCCATTCCCCTGCCTCAGCCTCCCAAGTAGCTGGGACTACAGGCACCCACCACCACGCCTGGCTAATTTCTTGTATTTTTAGTAGAGACGGGGTTTCACTATGGAACATATGAATTTCTAAATTGAAACATAAATAAACTTTTGTTAATGTTCAGTAAAAAAAAAAAGAATAGATTTTAAAAGGTGTTTTGTTTTGTTTTGTTTTTTGAGATGGAGTTTCACTCTTATTGCCCAGGCTGGGGTGCAGTGGCGTGATCTGGGCTCACCGCAACCTCTGCCTCCCGGGTTCCAGTGATTCTTTTGCCTCAGCCTCCACCCAGCTAATTTTGTATTTTTGGTAGAGATGGAGTTTCTCTATGTTGGTCAGGCTGGTCTCGAACTCCTGACCGCAGGTGATCCGCCCGCCTCAGCCTCCCAAAGTGCTGGGATTACAGGCGTGAGCCACTGGGCCCGGCCCAAGCTTTTTTTTTTCTAATTAAAAAGTGATATTTAGATATTGTAGAAAATTTGAGAAACCGGAAAAGAATAAGAATATAAAAATATTCACAATTCCATCTCTCACAAATAAACTCTCAACCCCCAAAGGTATATTTGCAAAGGGCTCACATTATGTGTTCATACCATATTGACCACACAGTGTTTTTGTTGTTTTTGTTTTTGAGACAGAATCTTGCTCTGTTGCCTAGGCTGGAGTGCAGTGGTGTGATCTTGGCTCACTGCAACCTCTGCCTCCCAGGTTCAAGTGATTCTCCTGTCTCAGCCTCCCAAATAGCTGGGATCAGAGGTGCGTGCCAAAACACCCAGCTAATTTTTGTATTTTTAGTAGAGACGAGGTTTCTCCATGTTGGTCAGGCTGGTCTTGAACTCCTGACCTCAGGTGATCTGCCCTCCTCGGCCTCCCATAGTGCTGGGATTACAGTCATGAGTCACCGCGCCCGGCCGACCACACAGTTTTATAAAATACTTTTTCTACTAACAACAATCGAGAATTCTCCAAGATACCCTACGCTCTTGGAATGCATGATTCCTCGAGTGGCTGCGTATTATTTCATCACAGGACATTCATAACTTATTCCCCCTGCTGTTGGACATTTTGTTTACTTCTAATTTTCTCTAATTATTAGCAAAACTGCAATGAACGTTGTTCATAAATCTGACTGTATCCTTTATGATAAATTTCAAAAGTTGAATGCTGGATCAAAGGCCATATGCATAGTTCTTGATAAGTGTTTCCAACAAGGTTACCCAGGTGCTTAAAGTTGACCCATGTCCAAGTACTTTTAGGGAAGCTCAAGGTAATATCTTTCTGGTCATCAAACCTTATGACCCTCGGACTAGAGATAAGGAAACTGCCATTCAGAAAAGGGAAGGAACTCATCACAGTCACATGAGTGTAGGACGGCGGTTAAGAGGACAAGCTCTGGAGTCAGAGAGTTCAAATCCTGGTTTTGCCACTTTCTTTGCTGTGTGGCCTTGGGGAAATTACTTTACATCCCTGTGCTTCAGTCACCTCACCTGTAAATATTAATATCTACATCTACATCAGGGCTGTTGTAAGAGTAAATGAAGATAAAGCCTAGAGAGCTAGGGTGTTAAGCCAGGCATCCAACCTCCTGACCTCAGTTAGGTGAGATAACAGTACCTTATGTTGTTTGTGGGTGCTGGGTGAGTGGCAATACTTATTACAATCCCCCCACACTGACTCTTTGAGAGTCTAGGGCTCGAATCCCTGACAAGTGACCCCTCAGCCTCCACCTGGGTGCCTCTGGGACAGGCAGTCCCTTGGTCAGTTGCAGGGTGAGGAGCTCAAAGGGTGAAGGGAAATAAGGGAGCTGTGGAAGGATGTACTCACCCTGCCTTTAGCGTATCTCCCTGATCCCCAGAGAGGGGGCCACACGGGCACTGACCCTGCCCACCTGGTGGTCTGTCTGCGGCAGCTAGCTCCAATCCCTGGTCCCTGGGTAGGTGGCTGGCCCCTCTGACCCAGACTCCAGGCTCTCCTCCCTAGCTCTTATATCTGCCCAGAGGGCGGCAAGCCCTGGCCCTGTGCCCACTCTGGTTCCAGCTGGGAAGGCCCAGCAGTGATTATGATACATCAGAAACTCAAATCCCACAAGCACACACAAACAAGACCTTATCATCCCCCGGCACCCAGCTCTGCCCCCAACAGCCCAAAGAGGTGGGGATAGCAGGCACATTGGCTCTCCTGAAGCCTCTCACCACAGCTGCCAGATGCCAGGTCCTGGTGCTTGATGCCCACCACTGAAGACTATTCCCTTGAGGTTAAAATCTGCAATATGGCTGGGCACGGTGGCTCACACCTGTAATCCTAGGATTTGGGGAGTCTCAGGTGGGAGGATCGCCTGAGCCCAGGGGTTTGAGAACAGCCTGGACAACATGGCGCAACTCCATCTCTACAAAAAAATTTTAAAAATTAGCCAGGTGTGGTGGCACATGCCTGTAGTCCCAGCTACTTGGGAGGCTGAGATGTGAAGATCACCTGAGCCTGGGAAAGTCGAGGCTGCAATGAGCCAAAATCACATCACTGCACTCCAGCCTGGGCAACAGAGTGAGACCCTGTCTCAAAAATAAAAGAAAATAAAATCTCTGATCTACAAACACTACAGGAAAGGGTGAGGTTGTGGGGTTCTCCGTCAGTCACCCTGTGCTCCAGGGCCGGCAGGCTCGGCCCCTGCTGGTTTCCTCTCAGATGAGATGAGGACGTTTCTCACTGGACTGTGGTGACATTAGGCGAGGTCACACACAGGAAGCTATGTTTGGCAGGCAGTAGACGATCCATTGAAGAGGGGGCTACTTCTCTGTCCCCAGCTCACAGTAAGATCTCAATGACTGCTCTGTTGTTGACTCACAGAACTTCAAAGCTGGAAAGGGCTTCAGTAGCCTGCCCCTGGGATGGGAATCCCCTGGGGAATGTGCCCAGGTCACCGGCCTGTTAGGTGGGTGAGCCCACCGTTTCACAGGTAGCTTGTGCCATCTTTTCACAGCTGAAAGAGACCCTATTCTGCTGGTCTTGGTGGAGAGGACATGGGTCCCCAGATGCCCTGCTCGTGGCCGGGTGTCCTGGGGCAGTGTTCCCTCCGGGAAGTGTGGGATGCCAAAAGGACGTGTATTATGGGGAAAACAAGTAAGCAAAGGGCCCTGTTGCCACCTCAAACATGGCTGTTGCAATGTGTGTTTAAGCTGTAAATGGCTTGGGGCTCACATGCCTAGCACTTCTTGCCACCCCTCCTCCAAGCTCAACACCTGAACCACTGAGCACTTTGAGAAGCCAATGGGGTTTGCCTTACTGTCCCATTCTGTGTCCTCATGGTCAGGAAAACTCAGCGTGTGATCTGGCAGGAACATCAACTGCCACATAACCGGCTGCTAGAAAGCTTCCGTGATGGAGGCTGGGTACAGTGGCTCATGCCTGTAATCCCAGCACTTTGGGAGGCTGACGTGGGCAGATCACCTGAGGTCAGGAGTTCAAGACCAGTCTGGCCAACAAGGCGAAACCCTATTTCTACTAAAAATACAAAAAAAAAAAATTTTAGCTGAGTGTGGTGGCGCATGCCTGTAGTCCCAGCTCCTTGGGAGGCTGAGGCAGGAGAATCGCCTGAACCCAGGAGGTGGGGGTTGCAGTGAGCCGAGACTGCACCACTGCACTCCAGCCTGAGCGACAGAGCAAGACTCTGACTCAAAAAGAAAAAAAAAAGGCTAGGCGCAGTGGCTCATGCCTATAATCCTAGTACGTTGGGAGGCTGAGGCAGGTGTATTCCTTGAGGTCAGGAGTTCAAGACCAACCTGGCCAACATGGCGAAACCCCGTCTCTACTAAAAATACAAAAAAATTTAGCCGGTTGTAGCGGTACACACCTGTAGTCCCAGCTACTTGGGAGGCTGAGGCAGGATACTCGCTTGAACCCAGGAGGCAAAGGTTGCAGTGAGCTGAGATTGTGCCACTGCACACAAGCCTGGGCAACAGAGCAAGACTCTGTCTCAAAAAACCAAAAAAAAACAAGAACAAAAATCTTCTATGATGGAATTCCAGATACCAGAGGGCCTAGCAGATGTCTGGACTCTGCCTTGAAGTTTACCTTCTTTTTATATCTTTATTTATTTATTTATCTTACTTTATATTTGAGACAGGGTCTTGCTCTATTACTCAGCCTGGAGTACAGTAACATGATCATAGCTCAGTGCAGCCAGTCTCCTGGGCTCAATCCTCCTGCCTCAGCCTCCTGAGTACCTAGGACTACAGGCATGCGCCATCATGCCCTGCTAATTTCTTTTATTTATTTATTTTGTTTTTGTAGAGACGGGGTCTCGCTATATTGCCAAGGCTGGTCTTGAACTCCTGGTCTCAAGTGAGCCTCCCACCTCAGCCTCCAGTGTTGACATTACAGGTGTGAGCCACTGCACTCAGCCTATTTTAATTTTTTTTTTTTTTGGACGGAGTCTTCTTCTGTCACCCAGGCTGGAGTGCAGTGGCTTGATCTTGGCTCACAGCAACCACTGCCTCCTGGGTTCAAGCGATTCTTCTGCCTCAGCCTCCCAAATAGCTGGGACTACAGGCCTGTGACACTATGCCCAGCTAATTTGCATTTTTTTTTAGTAGAGACAGGGTTTTGCCACGTTGGCCAGGCTGGTCTCAAACTCGTGACCTCAAGTGATCCACCTGCCTTGGGCTCCCAAAGTGCTGGGATTACAGGCATGAGCCACTGCACCTGGTCCAGCATGGGAGTTTTGATCTGCTATTTCTGACCTGGGCCAGTTCACTCCTCCTTGGGCAACCTAGTGGTCCCTGCTCCGGGGGAGGTCACCATGCTGATGCTAAACTTAGTGCAGACACCAAATCAGCATAGCACACTCTAGCCCAGAACTCCAGGGTTCAAGCCATTGTCTTGCCTCAGCCTCTCGAGTAGCTGGGACTATAGGCACTGCCACTGCGACCAGCAATTTGCCTTCTCCATTCTTCTTGACCAGACCTCATGCTGCCTCTTTCAGAACTGCAATAGTCATCCAGGAAAAAATTTAAGTGTCTAATAAAAGGGGGAAAGGTGAAGTGATTCATGGAACATCATCCATTCAGTGGATTATTTCTGTGTTGTTGTTGTTGTTGTTGTTTTGACAGTTTTGCTCTTGTTGCCCAGGCTAGAGTGCGATGGCGTGATCTCGGCTCATCACAACCTCTGCCTCCCGGGTTCAAGCAATTCTCCTGCCTCAGCCTCCCAAGTAGCTGGGATTACAGGCATACGCACCACCACGCCTGGCTAATTTTGTATTTTTAGTAGAGGCAGGGTTTCTCCATGTTGGTCAGGCTGGTCTTGAACTCCCAATCTTGGGTGATCTGCCCGCCTCGGCCTACCAAAGTGCTGGGATTATAGGCATGGGCCACTGCGCATGGCCCAGTGGATTATTTCTTTCTTTCTTTTTTTTTTTTTGAGACAGAGTCTTGCTCTGTCTCCCAGGCTGGAGTGCAGTGGCGCGATCTCGGCTCCCCGCAAGCTCCGCCTCCCGGGTCCCTGCCATTCTCCTGCCTCAGCCTCCCTAGCAGCTGGGACTACAGGCACCCGCCACCACGCCTGGCTAATTTTTTTGTATTTTTAGTAGAAACGGGGTTTCACCGTGTTAGCCAGCATGGTCTCGACCTCCTGACCTTGTGATCCGCCCACCTCGGCCTCCCAAAATGCTGGGATTACAGGCGTGAGCCACCGCGCCCAGCCCAGTGGATTATTTCTAAGTATGAAGAGTGATGTTTGCAAAGAGCTTATAAATGTGTTATAAATGTGTGGGGATATGCTTCTGCTACCCTGTTAAGCGAAAAAAGCAGGATACAAAATTGCATAGGCAGTAAGATTTCAGCTATGCAAAAGAAACTTGAAATTAGCAAAGAGAAAATGACTAAAAGGGAATACACCCGGTGTTCACTGGGCTGACTGGCTCCCCTTTGAACTTCAGGTGAGTATAAGATGACCAGACACTCCCTGACATGTCCCAGAAGGTTTGATTTTCACTCTCTGAGATCTCTTCTTTCTCTTACTCTGAATGGCTGGCAACTGCATTCTTCATTGAGAAAACAGAAGTGGGCCAGGCACAGTGGCTCATAACTGTAATCCCAGCACTTTGGGAGGTCGAGGTGGGTGGATCACTTGAGGTCAGGAGTTTGAGACCAGCCTGCCCAACACGGTGAAATCCTGTCTCTACTAAAAATACAAAAGTTAGCCAGGCATGATGGCGGGCACCTGTAGTCCCAGCTACTTGTGAGGCTGAGGCAGGAGAATTGCTTGAACCCAAGAGGTGGAGGTTGCAGTGAACTGAGATGGCATCACTGCACTCTAGCCTGGGCGGCAGAGTGACACTCCATCTCAAAAAAAAAAAAAAAAATTAGCTAGGCGTGGTGGCACGCACCTGTAATCCCAGCTACTCGGGAGGCTGAGGCAGGAGAATCATTTGAGCTTGGGAGGTGGAGGTTGCAGTGAGCTGAGATCGTGCAACTGCACTCCAGCCTGGGCAACAGAGTGAGACTCTGTCTCAAAAAAAAGAAAGAAAAAAGAAAAAGCAGCAGCCGGGCATGGTGGCTCACACCTGTAATCCCAGCACTTTGGGAGGCCAAGGCAGGCAGATCTTGAGGTCAGGAGTTAGAGACCAGCCTGGTCAAAATAGTCAAACTCCGTCTCTACTAAAAATACAAAAAAAAATTAGCCAGGTGTGGTGGTGGGCGCCTGTAATCCCAACACTCAGGGGGCTGAGACAAGAGAATTGCTTGAACCTGGGAGGTGGAGGTTGCCGTGAGCCAAGATCACACCACAGCACTCCAGCCTGAGCAACACTGTCTCAAAAAAAAAAAAAAAAGGCAAGGCCCTAACTGTTCAGTGGCTCCTTGAATAACTCAGTTTAGGCCAGGCACAGTGGCTCACACCTGTAATCCCAACACTTTGGGAGGCCGAGGCGGGTAGATCACAAGGTCAGGAGATCGAGACCGTCCTGGCTAACACAGTGAAACCCCGTCTCTACTAAAAATACAAAAAAATTAGCCAGGTGTGGTGGCGGGCGCCTGTAGTCCCAGCTACTCTGGAGGCTGAGGCAGGAGAATGGCGTGGACCTGGGAGGTGGAGCTTGCAGTGAGCCAAGATCGCGCCACTGCACTCCAGCCTGGGCGACAGCTCTGTCTCAAAAAAAAAAAAAAAAAAAAAAAAAGAATAACTCAGTTTAAAGGCTGCCTCCTTGGCTGGGTGCAGTGGCTCACACCTGTAATCCCAGCTCTTTGGGAGGCCAAGGTGGGCAGATCACAAGGTCAGGATATCGAGACCATCCTGGCCAGCATGGTGAAACCCCCGTCTCTACTAAAAATACAAAAATTAGCTGGGCATGGTGGCGCATGCCTGTAATCCCAATTACTTGGGAGGCTGAGGCAGGAGAATCGCTTGAACCCAGGAGGCAGAGGTTGGAGTGAGCCAAGATTGCACCACTGCACTCCAGCCTGGCAACAAAGCTAGGCTCCATCTCAAACAAAAAACAAAAAACAAAAACAAAAACAAAAAAGGCTGCCTTCTCTGAGAGGCCTTCCTGACTCCCCTATTTAATGAGGTTTCCCGACCGATTCCTCTAATTTTCCCATAGCCAGTTGCTTGTTTTTTAATCTGTATAATGAAAAAACAAAACAAAACAACTTTAGTTTAAAAGGAAAAAACACACCTCCTCTTGGAAGCTTTCCAGGAGTGAGTCTCCATTCAGTTTTCATCACGTTGGTCAATTTAGCAGCTTGAATGGGAGAAATGAAACCGTTTTTCTACTTGGGTAATCAGCATCTTCACTTCCTATGTTATATAATTCTTACAAGGTAATGCTTCAGTCTCTTTTGAGTAGCGCTTTCTGCAGCACACACTGTGTGTCTGTGCTGGGCACTTCGCAGCCCAATAGGGTACCACAACAGGCCCTGGAATTGGGCAGCTCTGGGTTCAAGTCAATCCCAGCCCTGCCACATCCAAGCTGTGTGACCTTGGTCACACATTCCAGCTACCCAGTGTTATGTAACAAATGACCCCAAAACTTAGTGGCCGAAAACAACAATACTTATTTTGCAGTTTGGGCAGGGTTGGTGAGACAGCTCATTTCTGCTCCACTTGTCCACTGGGGCAGCTCCAAGTCTGGGGGCTGAATCATCTGCAGGCTCACTCTCTCACATGTCTGGTGGTTAGTGGGGACCAGAGCTGGAGTTGTTGGCTAGATCACCTTCATGCGGTCTCCCCATGAGGCCTGGGCTTCCTCCTATCATGGTGGGTGAGTGGCCAGAGAGACAGAGAGAGAGAAAGAGAGAGAGAAGCAAGCTGGGTGGAATCCATGTTGCTTTTTATGACCTAACCTTGGAAGTCACAGATGAACACTTCTGCCATACTCTGTTGGTTGAGACAGTCACAAGATCTGCTGAGATTCAAGGTGGGGGCACACAGTGCCCCCACACACGTGCCGCACACATGTGCCGCTCAATTGGAGGAGCATCAGTGTCACATTGTAAGAAGAGCAATTGGGATGAGATATACCCTTTGGAAAATATTAATCAGTCACAAGAAGTATCTTCACCTTTTGGAGATCCTTTACTGAAATGTGGAGCACAGAGCCCGGCACACAGGAAGAGGCCACGCATCACACAGCTGCAGGATGTGCCGGCGCAAGGACGGTCACCCCGTCTACAATGTAGCCAGTTCTGGACTCTCAACAAGTCTTATCTCCTTTGTGGTATCCCTGGTCTGAACTGACCCTGAGTCCACAGCCCCTACGTCAGCCCCACCTAGTCCCTCCCCACCAGAGCCCTGTTGTTCTCAAGGCTTCCCTGGGTCTACAATGTAGATTCTTGACTCCCCAAATCCAAAGCACCTCAGAGCAGGTGGGACCCACAGGCCCCTCCCTGGCCAGCCATGAGTGTTGGGCCCAGAGAGGATAGGTGGTAGAGCCAGGACTCAGATCCCTGCCCTAGAAGAGAGATGCAGGCCACTCTAATCTCAGGACCACTGATGTGACCAAGGGTGTGTCAGGAGTGGCTGAGCCAGCCTGGTCTGCTATGTCCCTGCATTCACACCACCCAACACCTCCAAACCTATGTTCTGCACAGGGGCAGAAACTGAAGCACAGAGAGAGGACACACTTTCCAAGAGCTTCACAGCATCTTTCTGTGCCAGACTAGATGCAGCCTACTAGAGCCAGGGGCATCTGAGCTGGATGGACCCTGTCATCTGTTACATTAGACCAGAGCAGGTGGGGACTCTGAGGCCCGGAATGTGGGAAGGCCTGCCCTGGGTCACTAGCCTGCGGCTCCCACATCCTTCTCCAGCACTCCTGCCCACATGCCATGCCACCCTGTTTGTGCTGAGTCTTTTGTGGTCCCCCCCAACACACACTGTGTGCTCCATGAGTTCAGGCACTGACATGCCCACCACTGCGTCCCTCAGTGTACCTGGCGCCTGTGCAAACAGGGTTTGTGGACAGTCAGTGGGCCGTGAGGGGAGCTGGTGTCTTGCTAGGAGGGGGTGGGGATGCCCCTGCGGAAGTGTTTGCCAAGAGCCTGCTGAGTGCCTGCTCCTCACTTGGCCGTATGGAGGGCACCTAGCGTTGGGGTGGAGGAGCACTCACTCACCTGGATCCAGATGAAGTCATGCCTCTGGAGAGAGGGGATGCCCCAGGAGTGTATTCACAGCGTGTGGGGGAGGTGGGACAGAGACAAAGAAGTGGACCTGGTGCCTGCTGTGTCACAGGCAGGTGCAGAGGTGAAGGAAGGGAATTGGGGGAGGAAGAAGAAGGAGAAAATGGGCAGGAGGAAGAAGAGGGGAAAGAGGAGGAAAAGGAAGACTTGGAAAAGGAGGGGGGAAAGGAAGGGGAAAGATGGGAGAAGAAGGAGGAAGAAAGAGCAGGGGATAAATGGGAGGGGGAGGAGAGAACAGGAGGAGAAAGAGGTTGTAAAGGGGCAAAAACAGCCCTGCCCTTCTGGTGGCAAGGGGTGTGGGGCACCCTAAGGACGAGGGTACATCTGTGGGGCAAAGCACTCAATCCAGCTCTGCCCTGCGGTGGCTCAGGGATGGGGGCGTAGCGGCCAGGCGGTGTGGGGGCTGGGGAAGGTGTGAGAGACATGGGAAAATCAACACGGCCAGGAGCCAAGGAGACGCCCAGACGCCCGGGAGGAAAGAAAACACGCCCATCAGAGCTCAAGTCCTCCTGCACTGCTCCTGGTGGGGACGTGTGGGGTCAGGGCAACCGTCCCAGCCCATGCCAGCCCCCACGGGGGCCAAAACCGCCTTCCAAAGCATCCGCTAGGCTGACATCTCGTAATAGGTCCCCTCCATTTTATTTTTGTTTTTATTTATTTGTTTATTTTTTTGAGATGGAGTCTAGCTCTGCCACCCAGACTGGAGTGCAGTGGCGCGACCTCGGCTCACTGCAACCTCCGCCTCCCGGGTTCAAGCGATTCTCCTGCCTCAGCCTCCCGAGTAGCTGGGATTACAGGCACGCGCTACCACGCCCGGCTAATTTGTGTATTTTTAGTAGAGACGGGGTTTCATCATGTTGGTCAGGCTGGTCTCGAACTCCTGACCTCGTGATCCACCCGCCTCGGCCTCCCAAAGTGCTGGGATTACAGGCATGAGCCACCGCGCCTAGCTACGGGTCGCTTCCATTTTAGCCGTACAGAGCCTGAAACCCGGGTCGGGGGCGCATGGGGAGAAATATCCGCCGGTCAAGGTGCGCGAGCCAGGCATGCACACAGGGCTTCACGGTCCCTATGCCAGGAGAGGGAAGCCGAGGCAGGGGGAGCCCGAGCGCGCCCGGGAGGTGTGAGCTTTGGGTCCCATCGGCGCCGCCTAGACCGTGAGCTTGGCGCGTGCACCCCAGGCTTCAGTTTACGCATCTGTGCGATGGGATCGCGGCTCCGGCGATGCCGGCTAAGGGGGCGGAGTTCGCGCACGCTCGGCACGGGGCGAGGGGCGAGGCGCTGGGCGTGCATGGATGCGGGTTCCTGCGAACTGAGGTCCGCCCGGCCTCGGCCCGGGAGTCCCGGCTCCCGCCGCTCTCGCAGGCCCTGCCCGGACGCCGGGCGCAGGGGCGCCTCCGCCGGGTGCCTTCCCCGAGCGGGCAGGGGAGGAGGCGGCGGAGCGGAGGAGGAGGGAGCCCGGGCCGCGGCTGCCCGCGCCAGCCTGACCCTCGAAGGGGTCGCTGTTGCCTCGCAGATCCCTCCCTCGCTCCCTGCCTGCGTCCCTCCCTGCCGCTCCCGCCGCGTCCGCCTTTTGTTCGCGGAACCGCGCGCCCCCGAGCCGAGGCGGCGGGGCGGGGAGCTGGCGGGGCTGCGCGGGGGGCGGGCTGCGCCGGGCGGAGCCGGGGCCCGGGCCGCAGCCGGACTCGGAGCCCGAGGGAGCGATCGGCGTGCGGGCGGCGGGGGCCCGGGCGCGCTCCGGGGGCGCGGCGAGGCCGAGGGGGCGGGCGCCGGGCGGAGCCGCAGCCGGAGCCGGGGCGCCTGGAGGCGGTCGGGCCGCACTCTCCGAGCCCAGAGCAGCGGAGAGACCGCGCGGCGGGGCTTGGGACGGGGACGCGGTGTCGGGGCCGAGGTGGGCCGAGAGCAGCCGCAGCCCCAGCGGCCGGAGCCGCGCCGGGTCCCTCCCCAGGGACGTCGAGGCCGGGCGGGCCTGGGCCATGCGCGCAGCTCGCTGAGGCCGAGGGAGGCCGCGATGGAGGCGCCGGCGGCCGAGCCCCCGGTCCGGGGCTGCGGTCCCCAGCCCGCGCCTGCACCCGCGCCTGCCCCGGAGAGGAAAAAGAGCCACCGCGCGCCGTCGCCGGCCCGGCCCAAAGACGTGGCCGGCTGGTCGCTGGCTAAGGGCCGCCGCGGCCCAGGCCCGGGCTCAGCAGTCGCCTGCAGCGCCGCGTTCTCCTCACGGCCGGACAAGAAGGGGCGCGCAGTGGCTCCCGGGGCGCGCGGTGCGGGTGTGCGGGTGGCCGGGGTCCGCACCGGGGTCCGTGCCAAGGGCCGTCCGCGCTCGGGTGCGGGGCCGCGACCGCCACCGCCGCCCCCCAGCCTCACGGATAGCAGCTCGGAGGTGTCGGACTGCGCGTCGGAGGAGGCGCGCCTGCTGGGCCTGGAGCTGGCGCTGAGCAGCGACGCCGAGTCCGCGGCCGGGGGCCCGGCGGGGGTCCGTACGGGGCAGCCGGCCCAGCCCGCGCCCTCCGCGCAGCAGCCCCCGCGGCCGCCCGCCTCCCCGGACGAGCCGTCGGTGGCCGCGTCGTCGGTGGGCAGCAGCCGCTTGCCGCTCAGCGCCTCGCTTGCCTTCTCCGACCTCACCGAGGAGATGCTGGACTGCGGGCCCAGCGGCTTGGTGCGGGAGCTGGAGGAGCTGCGCTCGGAGAACGACTATCTCAAGGTGGGGGCGCCCGGGTAGAAAGGGAGGTCGCAGGGGTCGCCGGCTGTCACAGTCCCGCGGGCCTGAGGCACCAGCCGGCCCTCCTTCCCACTGAACAATCCGGAGAAAGGGGCCCAAGCCCTCTGGGGACCACTCTGAGGTGGATCTGGGGCTCCCTCATTCCCCCCGCCCCCTCTCAACTTTATTTGGGAAGCGCGCTCCTGAAAAAGACCTTGGAACTGGCTACAGGGCCCTAACCTGGGAGCGGGGACTTGAGAAAGCTTTGGAGCGTTCTGGGAGGCGTTGCTGAGGTGGGGGTGGGTAGCCAGGGAAGGGATGGATCTCTGCCTTCAGCTGCCCAGAACCTCCACGCCCAGGCTCTCCTTCTTGGGACGGGATTGATAGACACCGCCGCCAGGGAAACCTGTGGCCATCCCCTGCCCAGGAAAGGCCTGAATGCCATCCTGAGTCGTTACCCAGGGCTTTCCCGGGCGCAGGCCTGTCTCTGCCTGCCTTTCTGGGCGGGTCCAGTTTGAAAGCATGACATCTGGGAACATCCCCTTGGCTGGAGTCCACTTCCGCCCAGCCTAACGGTCCCACAGCCTGGAGGATGATGTCGTGGGAGAACCGGTTCAGAGGCAGCTTCCTAAATCCCAGGACAGTGTCTTTTGCCCTCCCTGGGGCAGACCTTGTGCACACAACAGCCCCATTGGCCCCTCGTGGCCAGTGCCTTTCCATGTTCGCAGTGAGAGGAGGGCAACTGCCCACCTGGAACAGGACTTCCCTGTGGCCATGTGGGGACCCTAGGGCTTCCCCCGGACAGCAGGCTTTGCCTTTGCTTTTTCAGTGGACATGAGCACCTACTGGGTGCCAGCCGGGCTCCATCTGCACGCTTCCAGGTGCCATGGCAGCTTTAGGGACAGCCCAGCTTGCACGTGTTGACCTCTCCCTGGGAGGCTGGAAGCTTCCTGAGCTCTCCTGCCGCTGGCTGGGCACGGTTTTGGAGGAGGCTGAAATGTTGCCGACTCTTGTCAGTGGATGATGGCCTGGCACAACACCCAGAGTGCCCCTGGCTGTGGAGCTCACAGCATGCTGCTGGTTTATGTCTGCCCTCAGCACTTAGGTTTTAACTTTTCCTTGTGGCTCTTCTGACCAAATGGGCTTCTCCCTCATTAGAGTGTTGGTGTCTTGCTCAACTATGTCTCTGTCTCCCCATTTTCCCCGGGATCTGCTCTCCAGCCTGAGTTCTGTAAATGCTTGTAGTATGGAAGGACAAGGTCTGTCTGAATCAAGAGACACCTTTCCCCAAGCCAGGCCTCAGTCTCCTCATCCGTTAAATGGGAGGATGTCTTCCCAAGGGCCGGGTTCGGTGTTGGCAACTGGGAGTTCAGTCGGCTCTTTGAGTCTTCAGAAGCCGGTGGTAAGGAGAGGGCAAGTGGAAGGTGAGGAGGAGGAGGGAGGTGACGAGCCAGGACAAGGGTCTTTTGCTCCTGCCCTCTTGGTGCTCTGAGCTGCTTCCAGTGAGTGCTGCCTGAATTGGCCTTAACCGAAACTCTGAGTTCCTCACCCCTGCCTCCCGGTTCCTGCTACTCACTCTGGTGAAGGGGGATGGGTTGCAGAGCTTTGCTTCAGGGCTCCTAGGCACCCATCTCCATGGGCCCCTGTCCATCCCAGGAAGTCATCAGGCTCTGACCCAAAGTCTGTTTGAGGCACCCATGACTGTTTAAAGGGGAAAACAGTCCCAGGAGGCTGGGGGTTGAGCCCGGGATCTCACAGGGGCCGGGGTCCAGCTGGGGACATCCCACGTTTGGGCCAAGATGGAACCGTAATTTCCACCATTCATTCAGTGGCTCAGGCTTCGTGCTGCTATTGGATCTGGGGTCTGTCGCTTCCTGACGGCGTGATCTTTGGCAAGTTACTTAAAGGCCCTGGACCTTTGCTTTCTCATTTGTAAAAATGGGACAGTAACACGCTTTCCAACCTCAACGGTTAAATGAGCTGATTCCTGCAAACACCATTAGAGCACCTGGTATGTAGTAAACCTCTGATCACTGCTCTTGTCAGAGGCACGGGACATGTTTCCATGTGCACCCAGCCTGTTCTCTTGTGGATTCTGTGAGGGCAGAATAGATCCTCTTCATCACCCAAGGCAGGCTGGGCTCTTTCTCCTGGCCCCTCATTGGTTCATTCGGCAGCTGTTTATTTAGAACCTGCCGTGTGCTAGGGCAGATCTGGGATACAGCTGTGGACAAGGGAGGATGAGGTGTCTGTTTTCATAGAGCTTTTGGGGAGACCAGAATTAAACAATAGTCATACAAGAAATCACAACACAGATCATAATGAGGGTAAAGGGGACAGTTTGCCAGGAGCACACGAAGGTGGGGGCTGGGGTGCACAGGGAGGCTGAGGGCTGCAGGATGCCGTGGAGCCAACTGAGTGAGGGTCTGGAGTAAGAAGATTTCAGGCTAAGGGAAATTGGAATGCTCGTTGAGTTCAAGAACAGCGCTAAGGCCAGAGAGGGGAAGGAGTGTGGGTAAGAGAGGAGAGCAAGGCCAGCCCATGCCACTTCTCACTGTGTACATTTGGGTTAGTCCCTTAACTTCTCTGTATATCTGTTTATCCCAGCCGCCAGCCTCACAGAGGCAGGGTCAAAATCCAGAGACTAAATGTGGACCATAAATAGAGGGGTTATTACTGGAGGTGTTGTGTTGTTTATTCCACAGATGGGAAAACTGTGGCCAGAGTGGGTCCCAGAGCAGGGTCGCTAGGCTGCCAGGGCTTGGAGTAAGCATGTGTTAGACTCTTGATGTGTTTTCTGCCTTTCTGGACTACTTTGCCTCTAAGATGCAGAAACTGAGTACAAGGGAAAGGACTCCAAATCCCCAGTATGTCCCCTGCAGGAGCAGAGTTGAAGGAGGTCCCACCAGGTCTGGTGGGTGGCCCTGCTCAGGCTTACCTCCCCCTTGTAGGGGTCACTGGGAACTGTCAACTGCGAAGGACTGTGATCTCCAGTCTGGTATGGTCTGCTCTGGGGTCCAAGTGAGGAAAGCATAAATCGGGCAACTCTCTCCCAGTGAGAAGATAGAAGGAGCTTCTACAGAGAAGGTAGTGAGCTCACTGTCACTTTAATTATTCAGAGAGAGGCGGGATGACCTTGCATGCTTGGATAAAGATAGAGGGTTTGTGGAATGATTGCTTGAGAAGGGTTCAGAGGGAGATTGATGTGGTGGCTGCAGTTGAGCTGCCTGACCTTGGGTCCCTTCTAGCCAAGGAAGTCTGAAGGTTATTAACTACTGAGGTGCCAGGATTCTAAGATGCAGCTTTAGCTGCCGAGCAGACACGTCACCTGAGACCTTCAAAGACCCGGTGATCTGAGGTCTTCCAGCCTTTCATCACCACTAACCATTAAGCACGTACCATGTGGCCAGAACATGTAGGAACCCACTGGGTGTGGATGGAGGAATCTGAGAGTTGGAGTCTGAAGACCTGACTTTGAAACCTGACTCTCCCGTTTACTGTGTGGCCATGGGCAAGTTACCTGGCTTCTCTGAGCTGCTTTTTTTCTCATCTGTATAATAAAGGTGATGGGGCCTGGCGCAGTGACTCACGCCTGTAATCCCAGCACTTTGGGAGGCCAAGGCGGGCGGATCACCTAAGGTCAGGAGTTCGAAACCAGTCTGGCCAACGTGGCGAAACCCCATCTCTACTAAAAATACAAAAATTACCCAGGCGTGGTCGTGGGCGCCTGTAATCCCAGCTACTCAGGAGGCTGAGGCAGGAGAATCACTTGACCCTGGGAGGCAGAAGTTGCAGTGATCCGAGATGGCGCCACTGCACTCTAGCCTGGGCAACAGAGTGAAACTCTTGTCTCAAAAAAAAATAAGTAAAGGTGATGGAACCTGCCTGGACAACCTCATACGATGGTCATCAGGAATCAGGGAAGTGTGAATAGACAAGAAAACATTTTGCAAGCAGTGAACCCAAGTCGCCTGAGGAATTGTTATTATTCATAGCCAATAGGCAGACAGGATGTCTGTGTCTTCATTCTTGGAGGAACTGGGAGAATGCAGGAGGGTGGATTTCCTTAGTTTTAGAATGTTAATACATCAGTAGCTGCCCCAGGGAGAACGGAAAGGTGTGATCACCTTCCCTGCCGTGTGTGTGTGTGTGTGTGTGTGTGTGTGTGTGTGTGTGTGTGTGTGTGTGTGTGTGTGTTTTCCCTCCTTGGTGATTCTAGATGTGAGTGAAGTGCAGCCAGTGTGTGTGTGTGTGTGTGTGTGTGTGTTTTCCCTCCTTGGTGATTCTAGATGTGAGTGAAGTGCAGCCAGTGTGTGTGTGTGTGTGTGTGTGTGTGTGTGTGTGTGTGTTTTCCCTCCTTGGTGATTCTAGATGTGAGTGAAGTGCAGCCAGTCTAGATGTCAGCTCAGAAGGGCCTGGAGGAAGCACCTAATCCATCCCCACTTGCCATTTTACAGATCAGTAAATGGAGGCTCTAAATTACATAGCCAGGATTCCAACCCAGGTTTGTCTAACTCTGGGCCTGTTCTTTCTGCAGTGTGACCAGAGCAGTGAGCTTTTGGTTGTTAACTAGCGTGTCTAGGCTGAGACACATTTGGTGAGAGGAATCCTGTCATGGGCCAGGCTCTAGGCTAAGGCATGCTGGGGGCCCGGAGCCTGGGGGAGGTGGGGGTTAGTGGAGGATGTTTGTGTGTGCATGTGTGTGAGATTGTTCCTTCTGTAACATGGGGGACAAGCACGCCCGCCCAGGGCCGTGAGGACCCTTTTCAATGTGAGGACGCAGATGGAGTGCACAGTGAGTGTTAGTGTGTCCCAGTCATTGCCGATCCCTTATCCGTTCCTCCAGGCATTCATTCATTCATTCAACACATATTTCCCCAGTGGCTCCTGGGTACCAGGCCCTGTGCTGGGTGTCTGGACCCAGTGGCCACGTAGTAGGCTTCTGCATGTAGCTCTTCTCTTCTTGGCTCCCAGGAGCTACAGGGGGAGGACTCTAGTCTGTCACTGGGTGGAGGAGAGGAGGTCACCACAGTCAGCAAAGCTCTTGGCTGCTCCTTACCCTGAGTCCCAGCCGCAGCCTCCTTGGGGCTGAGCCTGTGTCCCTGGGCATACTCTGTCTTGCACATACAAATGCACATATACTGTTCACAGCTCAAGCTCAGAGACACACAGCCACTTGCACACATCTCACAGACCCATCCAGTGACTCGCTGGTGTTGGATGCTTTCAGAAGCACGCCTCCAGACAGATTAGAGAGGATACTCACTCAGAGAAGTGCACAAACCCATGCAGCCACACAACTCCCATTCTATCACACGCACACATCACCAAACAGACACAACGGAGGCTCAGACCCTGCTGCAACCCCCACGTCAGAAACACATTCTCATATACACATCTTACACCCCTAGACACACCCGGATATGTCCCAGAGACAGACTGACATCCTGCAGACACACTCAGACTTATCAGAAGTACACATGTAGGCGGAGACACAAACCCACACAGACGTTATACACACACACTAGCATCCACAGAAGTCTGCACATCTACCCTTGCCAGGCTGGCCCAGGCACAAGCTCACCACCCGGGTACCTCCCCTGCCTCTTCTACAAAGAGAGCAGCAGAGACTTGCACACCTACCCGAGGCTTACAGACACCCACCAAGGGGACTCCCACATGCACATCAGCAGGGACACAGCACAGTCTGGCATGCAAACATTAGGCATGTAGCATTTGCCCACAGGAGCCAGAGGCTCTCAAACCAGGGAACCTAGACACACGCACACACGTGCGCGCACGCACACACACACACACACACGCTGTGACATTTCATCCACACACAGAAACAGGAAATCCTGGTCTGTGTCTCCCTGGAGCTAATGTGTACAAACTACTACTGTTTTCAGTGGCTCACTAGACTTACTTCTACAAGGCTGCTGGGAACACTAAGGAGTGTGGCCAGGGCCTTGACTTTGTAACCTTCTGGAGCTGGGGGTCTTGGGGTCCTGGGTGGTGGGTGGATGGGGGTGGTAGGTCTTGAAGTCAGAAGAAGCTACACCGAAGTCCCCCAGGTCCCTGATGCCCAGCTCCTGGGCCCAGGGCCAGTGGGGCTGAGTGAAGTGGACCGATTGTCGAGCTGCCCACAGAAGAAACACTGCCCGGGGGCAACTCCCTTCTAATCTCCTTGGAATTTCCTGCTGGCCCTATCTCCCCCTTCTCCCCCTGTTCCCTTGCTGGGGGCTGCAGAGGGCCATGCCACTCCCATCTATAAAGGGTGCCCCATTCTGGCTGGGGAATGATGGAGGCAAGGGTAGAGGTGGCTAGAGGAGCTATGGGAGCTCAGAGGAGGGACTTGGCAGACTTCCTGGAGGAGGAGGTGTCCTTGGAGCTGGGGAGTTAGCCTCAAGTGGCTGTCTCTGTGCCCAGCTCTTAGAACAGTGCCTGCCATGTTGTAGGGGCTCAATAAATATGTGTACAATTAAGTGAAAGGCAGTAGGCAGGGCCTGGAGGTGGACCACAGGCTTGAAACGGAAAAGCTGGAGGGAGTGGTGGGAGCTGGCAGGGATGGGGAGAGTCTGGGAAGGGGCGTTGGGCTGGCTTGGGAAGGGCATTGAATGCCAAGCCAAGGGAGCACCTTGCTGGGAGTGGTCTTGTTGCAGCAAAGCTGCAGCCACCTCCTTTTATGTGTCTGCAGCCCTGGGCCTGAGGCCTGCCCTGCCGGAGAGGCCTGGGGAGGGAGGAGAGCCAGGCTGTGTGGTCTAGGGGCCAACTCCACCTCTGGAGTCAAGTCTGGAGCCAAACCTCACTGTGTCACCTCCTCCGTGTGCATGCTGTCCCTGTGCAAACCCCTCACCAAGACTCCGTCTTCCTCCTGTAAAATGGGGATGTGATCCTTTCTAGTGGGGCACTTGGGAGGCTGACAGCTCAGATGTTCTGTGCACCTAGCACCATCCTGGCACAGAGGAGGGGAGGAGGCCCCGTGTCTTGCATAGCCTCCGGGGCAGAGAGAGTCCCCTAGGAAAGGGGCGCAGCTAAGTTCAAGCAAGGGCCTGCCCAGCAGCCAAGGTTTTCACTGAGGTCATTCCCCTAGTCCCCACATGCATGACCTCATCCATGGTCACGTTCACTCCCCTTGGTGCCGGAAGGAACTTGGAGCTGGGGTGCTCCATGCCAGGCTGACCCTGGCATCACTGGAGGCCTCAGTCAGCACTGCATCTACCTGCTTTGCGGTAGTGAGGCACAGCAGGGGTCAGAGCAGGTGGAAGCAGCAGGCCAGCCCTTTGTTCTCCGAGGTCCAGGGTGGTTGGGAGAGAGCACTGTGATCTGGAGCCAAGCTGACTGGGCTGGAATCCCAGCTCTGCCTTTTCCTTTCTGAGCTTTCCCTTTCTGAGCCTCGGTCTCGTCATCTGTAGAATGGGGATGTGGATGTCCTTGCCCCGCACGTTGCCGTGAGGGTTCCGTAAGAGAAAGTGTGCAGGTGTGGGTCCCATTAGCCAGGTCTGGCTCCTGGGAAGGACCCGACAGCACTTGGCGCTTGCCTGTTATATCTGGCTCTGGTGTGACCCCCGTGACCCCAGGTTAAGCTGGGTGCTTGATGACAGGGGCTGTGCTTGGCTCTGGGTGTCCCTCTGTGGGTGTTGGCTTGGGGCATCAGTCTGAGTGTTATGCACAGAGCTGCACTGCATTTTGGGCACCCCCAAACGTATATCCCTGTCTGTGTCCCCCCTTCCCTCCCCCACGGCGTCGTGTCACTCTTCCCTGAATGGCCCAGGCTAGTGCCTCCAGCTTAGTAACTGGTGATACACATTTGCTAATGGAAGGACACCTTTGGCGGCCCCTCATTCTCAAATGGAGGTGAATCATCTCTCACTGCCTGAGCCACAAGGAAAAGCTCAGCCTCTATGAAAAAAATTCTGGGGTTCCCTAGCTAGGCTGGATCAGCTGAACATCTTTACTCTGGTTGGGGCCCAGGCCTGCTTTGGGTCTTCTGGGCTCGAGTCAGTTGCACCAGCCTCTCCCCTCCCCGCCTCTCCTTGACCCTACCCCATGGTGGAGCAGCCTGTGTGGTCCTGCCTCCCACAGCCTCACCCACCCCTGCCCCGCCCAAGCTCTGCGGGTGCTGGACACACCCCGGCCTCTGTCCCGTGCTCTTGCTCTTCCCATCCGGCCTTTGTGCTTGCAGTTCCCGGCTCCTTCCCTTGGTTTCTTCCTCCACCTTTGAGCGCTCAGCCCCAGCAGCAGCTCCCCAGGTCAGGCTCCTGTGTCAGACACCTTGGAGCTCCCTGGAGCTTCCTTTGGGGCATTTACCACGATGTTGATTAGATTATTAATGGGGTAATGATAGGTTTCATGCCATCACTGCCCCACCTTTCCCTGCATGAGGGCAGGGACCTTCCAGGGTAATTAGCTCCTTCCTTTTACAAAGGGAGAAACTAAGGCCCAGAGAGGTTAAGGGGCTTGTTAGAGGTCATGCAGCCTGTAAGTGGCAAGAGGCAAGACTGGGGTCTTGTGCTTCTCTCCAGGATGCCAGGCAGGGGGAATGGCAGGGGTGTGAAGTGCTGGGGTGTCCTGGAGCTTCAGGCTTTGTGGCCTTGGGCCACTCTCTTTGGAGCTTTGCCTTCTATCCCTAAAGACCTCAGACCCCTGCTCTGAGTTTTTGAGATTTCGCTGCAACCCAGAGGGTGTTTGGGGGATGTTTTAAACACATCCAGGTCCAGATGCTGCCTTCCTTCCTGTTCACATGGAAAGGATGGGAGGAAACTGTCAGGCGCTTCCTGACACGAATGCCCCAGAGGCCGTAGGGCCTGTGGATATCTCCCTGCTCTGCCAGGTAAGGCCTTGAATGGGAGAGTGACAACAGTGACAAGCCAGATGTGGCCTTGGTGGGCAGTGGTCTCTTACCAACAACAACCACCACACACACACACACACACACACACACACACACACACACACCCCTCCCTGATAGAGCATCTGTAGTGTCTCTTGTGCAGAACTGTACCAGACGGATCTGGGAGGCTCACTCCTGACTGGCTGCGTAGACCTTATCTTCCTGGGCCTCCGTTTGCTTGTCTGTGAAATGGGGATAAAATAATAATAGTGCCTGCCTCTAAGGATCATCACTGAGCAAGAGATAATGGCTTTTCTGTCTCAGTCCGGTGTCTGGAACGCATTAAACGCTTGTCAATGTTAGCTATTGTTATCGTCACCATTGTTCATTATAAGACTGTCTAGTCCAGCTTATAGGAGCTCCAACTGGACCTGAATCCTGGCTGTGCCACTTAGTGTGTGACCCTGGGCAACATACTTGACCTCTGTGAGGTTCCTCTCCCATCGGGGATTGCTCGGGCTGCAGTGAGAGAATGTGCACTCCCTGGCGGGGATCAGGGGTGCACAGGGAGCATCTCATTTCTTGGCATTGGAGAGGCGGGTCCAGGCCCCAGTCTTCCCTCATTATTCCCAACCAGAGGAGCAGGACGTGGTGAGTCTCCAGGGCCAGGCAGCCTCTGTGTTGTCTGGAGTGGGGACATCATGTGGCACGGTGATGCCAGGCTGCGTGTCCTGGCCTTCTTTCCCCGGGACCTTTTTTTTTTTTTTTTTGGAGACGAAGTCTCACTCTGTCGCCCAAGCTGGAGTGCAGTGGCGTGATCTTGGCTCACTGCAACCTCCGTCTCCTGGGTTCAAGTGATTCTCCTGCCTCAGCCTCCCGAGTAGCTGGGACTACAGGCATGTGCCATCATGCCTGGCTAATTTTTGTATTTTTAGTAGAGACGGGGTTTCATCATGTTGGCCAGGCTGGTCTCGAACTCCTGACCTCAGGTGATCCACCCGCCTCAGCCTCCCAAAGTGCTGGGATTACAGGTGTGAGCCACCATGCCCGGCCTCATCAGGACCTTTGATGCAACTTCCTGAAAACTGGACCCTAGCTTCTTCGCAAGGATGCTAAGCTAGATTGAGCTCTGGGGTGGGAGACAGGTGCCCAGAGTCCCCCCTCCCACTCAGTGCTATCCCCTCCAGGGACTGTGGGATTGTCCCCTGTCCTTCTCAAGGCCTTTCTGTCCCTGGGTATGAAGGGATTGAGTCTTTGGTTTCCCTCCCCTGCTGCTGTGCCCAGAGTGTTTGCATTTGGGCTGAGAAGTGGAGCTCTGCGGAGTTTTTTGCATATCCTTTTTTGGGGTCCAAGTGTGATGATCTCATCTGGAGCCTTGACAGACTCCTGGGGGACCGGCAGAAGGGACGGCAGATGGCTGCCCTGGCCTCTTGGGTGGGGCTGGCATGCCGCCCCTGTGGCCACTGCCGGCCCACTCCACAGAGCAGCCCTTCCGGGGCTGGGGTGAGTGGCCCGGGCCCGGGCAGGAGACGAGTGGCCCAGAGCCAGGGTGGCAGATGGGAGGCAGCCCAGGCCTCGGCCTGAGGGAGGGACCATGGTGGCCAGGGCAGTATGGGAGCAGGCGGGCCAGGCGGAGGCTCCCGTTCCTCTGTAGTGTGGTTGCTGCCTCGCAGAGTGAAGGTTCTGGGCCTCTCAGCTCAGCTCTGTCATTCTTCTGGGTTGGTCTGCCCGTCGGAGGGCTTGTTGGGCCCCTGGAACCTGGGGAGGAGGTGGTACATTTGGGTAAGGTTTGGAATCTGGCAGGGCTGTGGCCTGGGTGTTGCTGGGCTGGGACTTGAGCCCCACCACTGGGGTCTGAAGCACCCATGGGCATTAGCTTCACAGAATCAAGGAATTAGATTCAAACACAGGAGCGCTGACTAGAAGTAGTTTTCTGTAGGGGAGTAGAACAGGGGGATTCTCCTCCCCTCTGAGGGCCTGTGTATTCATTCAGCACCTCTTTATTGAGCTGTTCTGTGTGTCCCAGGCACTGTGCTGGGCTCTGTCCTCCTGACATCACATCCTGGTGGTAGAGACTGACATTCTGCAGGCAAACAGACAAATAAAACGCTGAGTATCACAAATAAGCCTATGATATATGCCAAGAAAGAAACAAGGGATTAAGATGGACGTAATGGGCCTGGAGGAGCATGGAAGGCTTCTCAGAGGAGGTGGCATTTCAGTGGAGACTTGAGGCAGAAGGCAAGCCAGCAGGGCAGAGATGGGGGGCAGGGAAATCCAGGCAGAGGAAACTGCAAGGCCAAAGGCTTTGAGGTGGGACAGGTGAGGTGGCTGCTGGTTGCCTACGACCCAAGTGGCTGCTGTGTTGCCAGTGAGAGGAGGCGTCGAGGGAGATGAAGATGGAGAAGTGGACGGGGCTTAGGCCAGGCAGGGCCTGTATGCTGTACGATGGGATTTGGGTTTTCTTTTGTATGTGATGAAAAGTCACTGGAGGTTTTGTTTTGCTTTGCTTTTTGCTTTTTGGGGTTTTAGGTCAGGTGTACTGGGTATATATATACAATATACTGTACAATATACTGTACAACTATATACAATATACTGTATAATATATTGTACAAATATATACAATATACTGTACAATATATTATACAAATACATACAATAAAATGAATTTTGGCAAATGCATCCAGTTCTGTAGCCACCACCACAACCAAGATATAGAACAGTTCCTTCACACCCCAAATTTCACCCTGTGAGGTCAGTTCCTCTCTCGATTTCAGACCCTGACAACCACCGGGACTGTTTTCTGTCCCTAGAGCCTTGCCGTTTCCAGAGTGTCAAAAACAGACTCATACAGTGTGTAGCCTACTCAGTCTGGCTTCCTTCCCTAAGCTTCCTGCATGTGAGCTTCCTCCATGTTGCAGGTGTCAGCAGTTCTTTCCTTTTCATCGCTGAGTAGTATTCTATTGCGTGGACGTACCACAGTTTATCATTCACCAGCTGAGGGACATTTGGGTGATTCCCAGGTTTTGGTGATCATTGGAGAATTTTAAACAGGAGAAAATTTTAAACAGTTTTAACCACATTTTAAACATGGTTTTAGAAAAAATCACTCACTGTACTGAATGGAGAACAAATTAGTTGGGAGCAGAGTGACCATCATAAGGATTAAATCCAATAATTTGGTGATGGATCTGGCCCACCATAGGCACTCACTAATTGTTCAAACAAAAGGGCTGTGCCCTGGGACAGTCAGGGAGGCTTTTGGTGGAGGTGGCTTTTTTTTTTCTTTTTTTTTTGGTCAAACACAGTCTCATTCTGTCATCCCGGCTGGAGTATAGTGGTGCCATCTTGGCTCACTGCAACCTCCACCTCCTGGGTTCAAGCAATTCTCCGCCTTAGCCTCCTGAGCAGCTGGGATTACAGGCGTGCACCACCACGCCCGGCTAATTTTTTGTATTTTTATAGAGACGGTTTCGCCATGTTGACCAGGCTGGTCTTGAAGTCCTGACCTCAAGTAATCCGTCCGTCTCGGCCTCCCAAAGTGCTGGGATTACAGGTGTGAGCCACTGCGCTCTGCTGGAGGTGGCTTTTGAGGTGGGAAACAGGTGTGGAGTAGGAGTCCCAGGCAGTACAGAGTCCCATGGGAGTGGGTGGGCTCAGATTCCAGCTCCCCGCCCCTGAGCCAGCCTTGGCATATGTAGAGTTGCTAGAATATGGTCTGTAGGGGTCATATCAGAGTTCCCCAGGGACACTAGGGGCTGACTCTTGGGTGGGAGGTAGCTGAGGGACTTCCGCTCTGGAAGTCTCTTCCTTGGTGGCTGGCAAGAGGCAACCTGCTCCTGCCTTTGGGAGCCTCATGTCCCCTTGGTTCTCTCCGTGTCCTCCCAGCTGGGAGCTGTTGCTGGGTTCAGACCACATGCTGCCACTTGTGTTTCTGCAGAGGGTCCTGGTGTTTGGTCACTTTCATCTCCAGCCCCACAGCTCACCAGCTGCTGCAGGCCAATTCCGTCATAGCCATGCATCTGGAGCCACGTGCAAAGGTTCCAGTGGGCCCCAAATCTAAACTTCCCCCCGCTGTCCTCAGTGTACAAACGTAAATCATTTTATATCTGCGTGGGTTTCTGATAGAAAGTAATCTTTCTTAGAACACTTAAAGTGTGATTTACCAGCCCAGGCTGGTAAATCACTAAAGCAAGACCCCCTCTCTACAAAAAATACAACATTCAGCCAGGCATGGTGGTGTGTGCCAGTAGTCCCAGCTACTCAGGAGGCTGAAGTGGGAGGATGACTTTAGTCCAAGAGGTCAAGGCTACAGTGAGCTGTGATCAAGCCACTGTGCTCCAGCCTGGGTGACACAGAGGGACCCTGTCTTAAAGAATAAAATAAGTAAAAAGTGTGATTTGAAAGTGGAGCTCTGCTTCTCCCGCCTGTATTTCATTTCAACATTTAAAGTTATATCTTATTTTGGCTGGGTGCGGTGGCTCACACCTGTAATCCCAGCACTTTGGGAGGCCGAGGCGGGTGGATTACCTGTCAGGAGTTCAAGACCAGACTGTCTAACGAGGCGAAACCCCGTCTCTACTAAAAATACAAAAATTAGCCAAGCGTGGTGCTGCATGCCTGTAATCCCAGCTACTCGGGAGGCTGAGGTGGGAGAATCGTTTGAACCCCAGAGGCAGAGGTTGCAGTGAGCTGAGATTGCACCATTGCACTCCAGCCTGGGTAACAAGAGTGAAACTCCGTCACAAAAAAAAAAAAAAAAAAGGAAACCAACTATATTGAAACACAGTTATTAAAGTATTTTTAAATTACAACATAGTAATATGTGTGCTTATTAACTCATAAATTCTGGTGACAGATCTAACTAGCATAATTTCAAACTACTGATGAGTGTAAATAATATTTTGACATTTTTGCAGCAACTGTTATATGATATGAAAATACCTGTGATTTTTTTTTGGTGGCAAAGTCACAGATATTACTCATATAATGATGATTTGTTCATAGGCCCAGAATAGAAGGAAATGCTACATTTTACTTAGAGGTCAGTGAAAAGGAAGATGTGATTTTCCAAGTTCATGGACTCCCTGAGTTCTGGTTCCAAGGAAAGATCTTGAAGTTGGTGGTTGGACTTTGAGTCCTGCTTGGAGGTCTCACCCCCTCCCCCTGCCTGTTTGCGTGTGCTTGGGCACCACCCACCTTCCCTGTGCTTCTCTGAAGTTCTTCATCTGTAGAACATGGATGATGGTTCCTGTCTTTCCTTACTGGGAGTGGGGGGTTCAGTGAGGATCTGTGAGATGATTCAGATGGAATGTCTTTGTAAACTGTGAAGCCCTCTGCTGCTGTGCAAGATCTTGCTATTATTAGCAGTAGTGTGAGCTCATGTTTGGCTGTCCGGCCCAGCCGGGACCAAGAGGCTCTTCCTGGACAATTCTCCCAGGATTCTTGGGAATCAGTCCATCGAGGGGAGCAGGTTTGCCTTTGAGAGGCTGCTTCCTGCAGGCTGAGCTCATGGTTTGGCAGGGGGTGGACAGAGATGCACCTTGTGGGCAGGGAGTGGGTGGGTGAGCAGGAGGTTCCCTACGTAGACAGACCCTGCCTACCCTCCTTGGGTGGCATAGGGATCTGCGACCAGTTCTGATCTGCCCAGGCTCTCCCTCTCTCATTTTTATTTAGAGACAGGGGTCTCACTCTGTCACCTAGCCTGGAGTGCAGTGGTGCACTCATGGCTCACAGCAGCCTGGAACTCCTGGGCTCAAGTGAACCTCCTGCCTCAGCCTCCTGAGTAGCTGGGGACTACAGGCACATGCCCAGCTAAGTTTTTAAAATTTTTTATTTTTTTGTAGAGACGGAGACTCACTGTGTTGCCAAGGCTGGTCTTGAACTCCTGTCTTCCTAACTCTTTGCAGCTGGCTGGGAGTTGTGGACTGGGCAGGACAGAAGCTATACTCTTTTTTTTTTTTTTTTTTTTGAGTCAGACTGTCTCTGTGTCACTCAGGCTGGAGTGTAGTGGTGCAATCCTTGCTTATTGCAGCCTCAACCTCCCAAGCTCAAGTGATCCTCCTGTTGCAGCCTCCTGAGTATCTGAGGCTACAGGTGTACAGCACCATGCCTGGCTAATTTTTAATTTTTTTGTAGAGATGGGGTCTCGCTATGTTGTCCAGGCTGGTCTCAAACTCCTGAGCTCAAGGGATCTTCCCTCTTTGGCCTCTGCAAAGTGTTGCGATTACAGGCGTGAGCCACCGCGCCTGGCCCCATACTCATTCTTTAATTCCTACATCTACCCATAGACAGTGACAGGTACCTGCTCTGTGCCACGGTCTGCCCTGGGTGATGCTGAGGACTAGACACAAACCAGCCCCTGCCCTTCTCCCTAGCTCTTGGGGAAGATTGACATGAAAACAGACAAATACAACCTAAAATTACCAGCACAACGGACCATAGATTTCAGAGTGTGGGGTTTGAATCAGAGTCTGGGAAGGAAATGTTCTGGAAGGATGAGATAGTCAGGAGTCAGCCTGGCAAAGGCCGTTCTAGCAGAGGGAATAGCTGAACAAATTGGAAGAGCACAGTTATGACGCACTGACCCAGGGCCACGTGGCTTGTTTGGAATCCAGCCCCGCAGGTCCCTTGCTCAAGCAGCTCTGCGAAGCTTCTGAGCCTCGTCTCCTCATCTGCAAAACAGGAACGTTTTCAGCACCTACCTCACAGGGTCGGTAAGAGGATTAAACTGTCAACTGATAATGCACGTACTGCCTGTGCGGGGGCCTGGTAATTAGTGAGCCTCCTAATAGGTGGTAGCCGTGTTTTGTTTGTTGAAACAGTCTGTCTCTGTCGCCCAGGCTGGAGTGCATTGTTGCAATCTCAGCTCACTGCAACCTCTGCCTCTGGGTTTCAAGCGATTCTCCTGCCTCAGCCTCCCGAGTAGCTGGGATTACAGGCACACGCCACCAAGCCTGGCTAATTTTTTTGTATTTTTTTGTAGAGATGGGGTTTCACCATGTTGGTCAGGCAAGTCTCAAACTCCTGACCTCAGGTAATCCATCCGCCTCGGCCTCCCAAAGTGCTGGGATTACAGGCGTGAGCCGCCGTGCCTGGCCAATGGTAGCCATTTCTAAAGTCACAGCCTATTTGGACGCTGGAGGGCTGGGGTAAGGCGGGAGTAGGGAGGAGACCAGGGGCTGGCTCAGGACCCGGTAAGGGGACTTGGACCTACTGCAGAAGCTGGTGAGAACCGGTGGAAGAGATAGAAAGCCGTCTACCTTCTTCAGATTTTCTCCAAAAACAGCTATTAACTGTAATCAGAGCAAAAAAGCATTCTCTAGAAAGGGAAGCACTGCCTATCCTGGCAGCAGTGTGGGTGCCCTGGTCCCCCATCCTCCCCCATGCTCCTATTCCCCGTTTCTAGTCCAGCTAAAAAATCTGGGTTAGCTTCAAGAGTAGCCTTTAAGGTGAAGAGGTCAACTTGAAGGAGGTGGCCAGGCCGTGGTGGGGCTGAGGGTCAGGGGCCCCAAGGCTCTGAGGTGGGCACTACCAGGCACTGTGCCCTTTTGTTGTCTGGCAGAGGATGAGGCTTGGGGTTTCCCCAGTGGTGTTGAGGGGATTTTTTTTTTTTTTTTGAGACACAGTCTCGCTCTGTTGCCCAGGCCGGAGTGCAGTGGTGCGATCTTGGCTCACTACAACCTCTGCCTCCCAAATTCAAGCAATTCTCTTGCCTCAGCCTCCCAAACAGCTGGGATTACAGTCGTGAGCCACCACAGCTGGCTAATTTTTATATTTTTAGTAGAGACAAGGTTTCACCATGTCTACAACTTTGTTCCATAGCCACGAGGCCTACTGAGTCCAGTGGAGCTGGGCCTCTCCCTCCCCACTTCCACACAGTTAGGGGGTCTGGGAGCTGGGAGAGGCTCTTCAGAACCACTGAGCTGTCTGTGAAGGAGCTGGGAAGCCTGTGCTCCTCACCCCCACCTCCCAGGGCCCCCCACCCCCAGCTCCTTCAGTTGGATCTGTCACTGGAGAGCTCTCCTGGGATGGAGGCCCAGACTGCATGACCACAGAGCCCCAGAACATTCTTAGGCTCCCTGAGGACTGTGAACCTCTGGAACAGAACAAAGGCCTGCCCTCTGGGTCCCCTCCCCAAGCCCCAGCAGCACCTCTCCTAGCCCCACCTCGGGCCCGGAAAGCCCAGCGCCCCTGCCTAAGTCCTGCATTCGCCAGCCTCTCCCGCCCACGTCCCTGCAGACCCAGCCTGGGGCCACAAGCCTGCCTTTGTCAGCTCACCCTCTCACGTGGGGCCGTGCCAGCAGGGGCTAACGGGCATTCTGCCTGCAGCTGGGACTAGCCCCCTGAGAGGCCTAGGCCCCCCTGGAGAGATGGAACTGGCGTGAATGCAACATCTTGGGCTGTCACAAATTGACTGTGGTGAAGGGCAGGCCTTGGGGAGACAGCTGCTCATGTGAGAACTATCATTCATTCATTCACTTATTCAAAGGATGCTTGCTGAGATCCTGCTCTGTGTCAGGCCCTGGCATGGGGACTTGTGCTCAGAGACCTGACTCTTGCCCTTTTAGGGGGGGAAATAACTAGAAGGAAACGCCCTTCATCAGAATCCCTTGGGGGGCTCACCCTAGGAGTTTCTGATTCAGCAAGTCTGGGTTGGGACATGAGAATTTCTCACAAATTCACCAGTGATGCTGATGTTACTGGTCCAGGAACTGCACTTTGAGAGCCACTGTAATTCAGGTATTGTAATTATGCATGGATTATGTTTTCTTTTTCTTTTCTTCTTCTTCTTCTTCTTTTTTTTTTTTTTTTGAGACAGAATCTTGCTCTGTCACCCAGGGTGGAGTGCAGTGGTGTGATCTCAGCTCACTGCAATGTCCATCTCCTGGGTTCAAGCAATTCTCCTGCCTTAGTAGCTGGTATTACAGGCACCTGCCACCATGCCTGGCTAATTTTATATTTTTAGTAAAGACAGGGTTTCACCAAGTTGCCCAGGCTGGTCTCGAACTCCTGACCTCAAATGGTCCGCCCGCCTCGGTCTCCCCATAGTGCTGGGATTACAGGCGTGAGCCACTGCACCTGGCCTGTTTTCTCTATTTTCAAAACTGTCTCTATGATCATGTTTTACTTTTAGAGACAGGTTCTTGCTCTGTTACCCAGGCTGGAGTGCAGTGGTGCAATCATAGTTCAACAGAACCCCAACCTCCTGGGCTCAAACAATCCTCCCACCCCAGCCTCCCAAGTAGCTGGGGCCACAGGTGCACTACCAGACCAGGTAATCCATCCACCTCAGCCTCCCAAAGTGCTGGGATTACAGGCATGAGCCACCGCACCTGGCCAATGATAGCCATTTTTAAAGTCACGGCCTATTTGGATGTAATACATTATTATTATTGTTGTTATTATTATTATTATTATTATTTTTTTTTTGTAGAGATGAGGTCTTACTGTGTTGCCCAGGCTGGTCTTCAACTCCTGGGCTCAAGTGATCCTCCTGCCTCAGCCTCTCAGAGTGCTGGGGTTACAGGGGTGAGCCACTGTGCCCTGCCAGTGCTTTATTTTATTTTATTTTATTTTATTTTTTTCTGAGACAGAGTCTCGCTCTGTTACCCAGGCTGGAGTGCAGTGGCATGATCTCAGCTCACTGCAACCTCCGCCTCCTGGGTTCAAGCAATTCTCCTGCCTCAGCCTCCTGAATAGCTGGGATTACAGGCGTGCACCACCACGCCCGGCTAATTCTTATATTTTTAGTAGAGATGGGGTTTCACCATGTTGGCCAGGCTGGTCTCAAACTCCTGACATCGTGATCTGCCGGCCTTGGCCTCCCAAAGTGCTGGGATTACAGGCGTGAGCCATCGTGCCCGACCTGGCCTGTTTTATAAATAAGAAAATCAGTCATTTAAAAGTTAAAAAAAATGATTTCCAAAAATGACTCTAGTGCTCTGGGTGTGATCTTGTGTAAGAGATGTTACCTCCCATGATCTAAATGTCATGCATTTGTTAATGTAGCCCAGCATCATAGGGTTGTGTGCATTTCCCCTTGGTTCAACCTGAGCTTGGGGTCCACTTAGACCCTCCTATTCTTTCCATCACCATATCCTGTCATTTTAACTTTCTAGAGATAATAAGTGAGGTGCTGGTAACCGGCATGGCTAGGATTTGAACACAGATCCATCTGGAGGCTGGCCTAGCCTACCGGCTTGCACTTCCTGAGTGATCTTTCCTTCATGCTTCCTTCACCGGCTGCCTGAAACAGCGCGTGGATCCTTCACTTCCTCATTTTTTTAACTGGTGTGATCATTTACTGTTCCACTTCCTCCTCTCCACTCTGGTTCTGTCCACGTGGTATGCTGGTGGGGTGGTGAGTCTATGAGGGTGGAGGTGGGGGTGGGGGGCTGGCAAAGTGACTGTTCTCTGCAGCCCCAGGAGTCAAACCGATGGGCAGGAAAACCTCTCGAGCTTGTGAGAACTGGCCTGGAGGGCAGGGCTCCCTAACCCTGACTCTGAGTTAAATCCATCCAGCCTCAGGGGGCGCTGGCAACCCCAGTCGTACCCCCTTCCTCACAGGGAGCCATCCTACCAGGCTGACCATTGGAAGAGCAGAGCAGTCCTCCCCATCTGGGCAGGCAGGAGTGAAGAGAGAGAACCCCATGTTTGTTCCTTTCACAGGCACAAAATCAGATCCCCCTTCCTCCCAGCCCCAGCGAGGGTGTGGTGAGGGGTGCTCGGACAGAAGCCAGAGGTGTCCCTCTGACGGGAGCAGAGTGGACACTCCCTCCTCCCAGTGGCAGCATGAGGAGGGAGGAATACGAGACCCCACTTCCCAGTCCCTTCCTTTCCGTTTTCTTTGGGGAAAGACGGGTAGGGAGAGCTGAGGAATCCGGCTCTCCAGATCTGCCCTCTCCAGGGCCCACAGAGGCCTTCTTGCCCCTTGGACCCCCCACCCCTGCTTCCATCACTGCCATCCTCGGTGCTTCCCCTGGCTCCTCAGGGATGCCTTTAGCAGGTCATTCATCCCTGGTGACTCTGTTTCTCTTTTTTTTTATTTTGTGAGACAGAGGCTCGCTCTGCTGCCCAGGCTGGAGTGCAGTGGTATGATCTTGGGTCACTGCAACCTCTGCCTCCCAGGTTCAAATGATTCTCCTGCTTCAGCCTCCCGAGTAGCTGGGATTACAGGTGCCCACCACCATGCCTGGCTAATTTTTGTATTTTTAGTAGAGACGGGATTTCACCATGTTGGCCAGGCTGGTCTTGAACTCCTGGCCTCAGGCGATCTGACCGCCTTGGCCTCCCAAAGCGCTGGGATTACAGGCGTGAGCCACCGCACCTGGCCAGTTTCCCTTCTTAGTATACAATCTTATTTAAATCATTCGGTCACATTAAGAGTAGGTATTATCATTCCCATTTGTGACTAGGTTTTCACATTTGTATGAGACATAATAATTATGCATTTCTTCTGCGTAATTCTACTTCCCTCCCCCTTACACTTAGTATCTAATGATTGTTGCACATTCGTATGTCTTTTTTGTTGTTTTTGACCTGACTAAACATGCATGCATCCATTCAGTTAATATTTGTTGGGAGGCTACCACCTGCTAGGCCAAATGGGGTTGCCTCCAGGCACTCATGGTTTGGCTGGGAGACAAACTATTAAACATAGAATTGCAAATTTGCTAATAATGATTACAAAGGAGAAGTGAGGAACAGCTGGAAGCTGATGACAGCGGTAGCAGAAGCTGCCTTCAGGAAGTGAGGTCATACTCTTACCCTCTCTGCTTAAAACCCAAACCCAGGCCAGGCATGGTGGCTTATGCCTGTAATCCCAGCACTTTGGGATGCTGAGCTAGGCAGATTGCTTGAGCTCAGTTCATGAGCAACCTGGGCAACATGGCAAAACCCTGTATACACACACACACACACACACACACACACACACACACACACACACCCCACCCCCCACCCCCGATGTGGGGTTGTGTGTCTTTGGTCCCAACTACTTGGGAGGCTAAGGTGGGAGGGTGGCTTGAGCCTGGGAGGCAGAGGTTGCAGCGAGCTGAGATTTTGCCACCGCACTCCAGCCTGGGTGACAGAGTGAGACCCCATCTCAAAACAAAAGCAAGCAAACAAATCCCAAACCCAAATTCTATTTGGCCCTTCACAGTACCATGTGGTTGACTCCTGTCAGTTTCCTCAGCCTCAAATTAACCCAGTAGCTGCCCTGGCCTCCTTGCTGTACCTTGACACACTGAGCTCTTTCCTGCCTCTGAGCCTTGGCACACACTGTTCCCTCTGCCTGGAATAACCTCTCCCCCTAGCTTTCTCGGCTGTTCCTTCTTGTCTCAGCTCAAATGTCTCTTTTGTAGAGATGGCCTCCCTGATCATGTCCCCTAACATAGCACCCCCCCTCACCCTATCATATAACTCATGTTGTTTGGTTTCATTTTGGCTTTGTCTTTATAGCACTTAACAGTATCTGAGGTTTGTTTTTGTTTTTTTTTCTTGGAGATAGGGTCTCACTCTGTCACCCAATGGTGCAATCTCGGCTCACTGCATCCTCTGCCTCCTAGGTTCAAGTGATTCTCATGCCTCGGCCTCCCGAGTAGCTGGGATTACAGGCGTGAACCACCACGCTGGGCTCATTTTTTTTTTTTTTTTTTTTTTTTTTTTGTATTTTTAGTAGAGACAGGGTTTCACCATGTTGGCCAGGCTGGTCTCAAACTCCTGACCTCAAATGATCCACCCACCTCGGCCTCCCAAAGTGCCGGGATTAGAGGTGCGAGCCACTGCGCCCAGCCAGGTGTCTTTTGTTATTATTATTTTCTGGTTTACTGTGTATCTTCCTGGTGAAGCTTGGGGCTCCATACAGAGTATATAGAAGGGGCTGGACCCACCCCATTGTCCCTCCCTGCCCCTGCGCTTAGCACAGGGCCTACCTAGGACGTACATAGTTGATGCTCATCCATGTTTCTTTTTTTTTGAGACGGAGTCTCGCTCTGTCGCCCAGGCTGGGGTGCAGTGGTGCGATCTCGGCTCACTGCAAGCTCCGCCTCCTGGGTTCACGCCATTCTCCTGCCTCAGCCTCCCGAGTAGCTGGGACTACAGGCACCCGCCACCATGCCCAGCTAATTTTTTGTATTTTTAATAGAGACGGATTTTCACCATGTTAGCCAGGATGGTCTTGATCCAACCTCGTGATCCGCCCATCTCAGCCTCCCAAAGTTCTGGGATTACAGGCATGAGCCACCGTGCCCAACCTCATCCATGTTTCTTAAATGGCCTCTCCTGCTTCCCCAGTGTGTTCCTGTTGCTTCTGTAACAAATCACTACAAATTTAGTGGCTTAAAAGAACACCAGGCCAAGGGCACGGTGGCTCATGCCTGTAATCCCAGCAATTTGGGAGGCCGAGGCAGGCTGATTACGAGGTCAGGAGATGGAGACCATCCTGGCTAACACGGTGAAACCCCGTCTCTACTAAAAATAAAAAAAAAAAATTAGCCAGGCGTGGTGGCGGGTGCCTGTAGTCCCAGCTACTCAGGAGGCTGAGGCGGGAGAATGGCGTGAACCCAGGAGGGGGAGTTTGCAGTGAGCCGAGATAGCGCCACTGCACTCCAGCCTGGGCGACAGAGCGAGACTCCGTCTCAAAAAAAAAAAAAAAACACCAGGCTGGGCAGGGTGGCTCATACCTGTTCCCAGCACTTTGGGAGGCCAAGGCGGGCAGATCGCTTGAGGTCAGGAGTTCAAGACCAACCTGGCCAACATGGTGAAACCCCGTCTCCACTAAAAATATAAAAAATCAGCTGGGTGTGGTGGTGGGCACCTGTAATCCCAACTACTTGGGAGGCTAAGGCAGGGAGAATCGCTTGAAGTAGGGAGGAGGAGGTTGCAGTGAGCTGAGATTGTGCCACTACACTCCAGCCTGGGCAACAGAGTGAGACTCCGTCTCAAAAACAACAAAAAAATGAACACCAGATTATTATCTTCTGATCCTGGAGGTCAAAGGTCTAGAAATCAAGGTTTGGGCAGGGCTGCATTCCTCGGGAAGGCTCCAGGGGAGAAACCTTTTCCTTGCCTTGAGAGGCACCCCCTTCCTCCGTCATCACAGCCCCTTCCTCCAACATCAAAGCATCTCACTCCAGCCTCTGCTTCTGTTTCCCTGTCTTGGGATCCTTAATTTACTCATATTTGCAAAGTCTCTTTTGCCATGTAAGGCAACATTCACAGATCCTGGGAATGTGAACATGGACGTCTTTGGAGGTCTGTCATTCAGCCTGCCACATCCAGGTCCCCCACGGTGCTTCATTCAGTCCTAGGTGTGGCCAGTACTCCGGCCTCCTAGCTGCTACTGTGGGCCCAGTGACCTGACTCTTCCTTCCCTCCGCAGGACGAGATTGAGGAGCTGCGGGCCGAGATGCTGGAGATGCGGGACGTCTATATGGAGGAGGACGTGTATCAGCTGCAGGAGCTGCGACAGCAGCTGGACCAGGCCAGCAAGACCTGCCGCATCCTGCAGTACCGGCTGCGCAAAGCCGAGCGCCGCAGTCTCCGTGCCGCCCAGACCGGCCAGGTGGACGGCGAGCTTATCCGTGGTCTGGAGCAGGATGTCAAGGTCAGCCTGGGCTCGGGTGCCCTTGTTGCTGGGATGGGACCACAAGTCTAAGTGGGGCCCAGGTTGGCCTTGCATCTCATTTCCGTGTGTCCATGGCCAAGTTCTACCACCTCTCTGGGCCTCAGTTTCCTCATCTAAGTAGGAATTCCTGGTGAACCCACAGGGCTTCTATCAAGGGTATCCCAAAATGATATCATAATATGAATCCTTCCTACTAGCAGCAGCTACTGTTTTTTTTTTTTCCTTTGAGACAGAGTTTCTCTCTTGTTGCCCAGGCTGGAATGCAATGGCGCGATCTCAGCTCACTGCAACTTCTGCCTCCCGGGATCAAGCGATTTCTCTTGCCTCAGCCTCCCAAGTAGCTGGGATTACAGGCACCTGCCACCACACCCGGCTAATTTTTGTATTTTTAGTAGAGACAGGGTTTCACCATGTTGGCCAGCCTGGTTTCGAACTCCTGACCTCAGGTGATCTGCCCACCTTGGCCTCCCAAAGTGCTGGGGTTACAGGCATGAGCCACTGCGCCTGGCTGAGAAGCTACTGTTTATTGAGTATCAACCACCACCTGGTGCTAGCCTCTAATTGTCCCCGCACAGTTCCATGGGGGTTTCTTTTTCTTCTTGTTTTTTTAGAGACAAGGTCTTGCTCTGTTGCCTAGGTATCAGGCAGTGATGTGATCATAGCTCACTGTAGCCTCCACCTCCTGGGCTACCCCCACCTCAGCTTCCTGAGTAGCTGGGACTACAGGCACACACCACCACACCTGGCTAATTTTTCTATATGTTGTAGAGATGGGGTCTCATTATGTTGCCCAGGCTGGTCTCAAACTTCTGGGCTCAAGTGATCCTCCTGCCTTGGCCTCCCAAAGTGCTGGGATTACAAGGATGAGCCACGGTGTCAGGCAGAGGTTCCTTAATTATGCTAATGAAAAGTAGTGAAGGCCTCGAGACCATCCTGGCTAATACAGTGAAACCCTGTCTCTACTGAAAACACAAAAAATTAGCCAGGTGTGGTGGCAGGCATGTGTAGTCCCAGCTACTCGGGAGGCTGAGGCAGGAGAATGGCGTGAACCCACGAGGCGGAGCTTGCAGTGAGCCAAGATCGTGTCACCACTGCACTCCAGCCTGGGCGACAGAGCGAGACTCCGTCTCAAAAAAAAAAAAACAAAGAGAAGTAGTGAAGGCCTAGAGTTGGTCAAGGCTGGTTTAAATCTTGGCTCCAATATACCTGAACTTTATTATTTTGAGCAAAGTCATCAATTTCAGTGTCCTCATCTGTAAAATGGGTTTGCAGCAATCTCTATCTCACAGGGTTATATGAGGATTAAATGAAATAATGCGGGCTGGGCACAGTGGCTCATGCCTGTAATCCCAGCACTTTGGGAGGCCGAGGCGGGCAGATCACCTGAGGTCAGGAGTTCGAGACCAGCCTGGCCAACATGGTGAAACCCCATCTCTACTAAAAATACACAAATTAGCCGAGTGTGGTGGTTCCCGCCTGTAATCCCAGCTACTCAGGGGCTGAGACAGGAGAATCGCTTGAACCCGGGAGGCGGAGGTTGCAGTGAGCTGAGATCGCGCCACTGCACTCCAGCCAGGGTGACAGAGTGAGACTCCGTCTCAAAAATAATAATAATAATAATAATAATAATAATAATAATAATAATAATGTGGGTAAAATGCCAGCATAAGGACTCAAAAATGTTAGCTATCATTATTTCCATTTTCTTGATGAAGAATCTGAGGTTCAGAGAAAAGCAATACCTGCCGAAGGTCAAGGGGCGCTCAGTGTGTTGGTGGCAGAGCCCAGGCTCATGAGCCTCCCAAGCCTCCAGCTTGGCCTCACTGCTCTCTGCTTCAGGAAGCAGGGGAAGGGTGGGTGGGAGGTTGGCAGGTGGGATGTCCCCCTGCCTGTCTTCGGAAGCTCTGGTCTGGTGGTGAGAACTCCAGGGCCCCCAGGCCCGGCCCTCTGCCCTCAGAACTCAGCCCAGTGTGATCTGGTGACACGAGGAGCTGGGATGGGGCCCTAGGGAGGCTTCCTGCAGGGGTGACTTCTGAGTGAAGGCCCAAGGGAGAAGTGGGCCTGAGCCAGGAAGGGGGAAAGAGGAAGGTGGCAGAAGATGGCTCCTGTGAGGACCCAGGGGAGCGGCAGGATGCGAGTCAGCCACACACTTACCTGGGGAGAAGTCCCTTCTGTTGGAAGACACTGGCAAACTCAAGCCCTATAGCCTTTCCAGTGGAATATAAAAGAAAAACCTTTGTTAAGGGACCAGGGAGAGCCATGGTTTCAAAGGCCAGCAGAACCAGGGGAGGTAAACAGGAGTGCCTGTTCCAGGAAGCTGCTGGCGCCCCCTGTGGTCTTGTTGGTGCACAATGGGATTGTAGTGCTGTCCTACACATGAGGCAACCAATGGTTGTGTCTCCGCCAGAGGTGGAGGCTCATGCCTGTAATCCCAGAATCCCAGCGCTTTGGGAGGCTGAAGTGGGAGGATCGCTAGAGGCCAATAGTTGGAAATCAGGCTGGGCAACATAGCAAGACCCTATCTCTACAAAAAAATAAAAAAAATTAGCAGAGGCTGGGGGTGGTGGCTCACACCTGTAATCCTAGCACTTTGGCAGGCCGAGGCGGATGGATCACCTGAGGTCAGGAGTTCGAGACCAGCCTGGCCAACATGGTGAAACCCCGGCTCTACTAAAAATACAAAATGAGCCGGGTGTGGTGGTACACGCCTGTACTCCCAGCTACTCAGGAGGCTGAGGCAGATGAATCGCTTGAACCTGGGAGGCCGAGGTTGCAGTGAGCTCACACCATTGCAGTCCAGCCTGGGTGACAGAGTGAAACTCTGTCTCAAAAAAAAAAAAAAAAAAAAAAAAAATTAGCTGGGCGTGGTGGCAAGTGCCTATAGTCCCAGCTATATGGGAGGCCAAGGCCAGAGGATTGCTTGAGTCCAGGAGTTAAAGGTTTCAGTGAGCTATGATTGCAGCACTGCACTCCAGCCTGGGCGACAGAGCGACAAGGTCTCTCTCTAAAAGAAAAAAAAGAATGAGTTAGTTTCCAAGTTCAAAGCGTACCTCTACTTGACAGGGCAGCTCCCGGGCATATTCAGATTCCAATCACTGGGTTGGGAGGGGTGGGGGGTGGTGGGGGAAGGCAGTAGGGAGGAGATGGGGAGGGGGAGGGAATAGCTGGAGAAGCTCAGAGGAATCTGCGTTTGGGCATATAGTGGAGGATTTCTGGGAGGGACACAAAAAAATGTCAGACTTCAGAAAGATGAGGAAGAGGCGGAGGAGAGGCTGGGACCTGGAGCTAGCTGCCGGCTGCGGCGCCTCCGTGGGTGGAGCTAGAGCAGCGGCGGCGGCGGCGGGGAGGCGGGTGTGGGGAGCGGGTGTGTGGCTCTCCGGAGTCTGGGCGGAGAGGAGGGGCCGTTTCTGTTGGGGTTTGAATTAGCCAATCAGCATCCCTCTTGCCCTTCCCTCCCTCCTCTCCCCACGCTGCAGCTGGAGCGCTGAGCTCATCTGCGGGCCTGGGGCCTGAGCTGGATGGACACCTCTGGCCACCACCCTGAGCCCCATGTGCTGGGGTCGTTCTGGGGGGTTTTGGGAAGTTATCAGAATGCTGCTTTCCCTGGCATCGTCTTGGAGGGCTTGATGGACCCGAGTGGGGAGGGGGCGGGCGCTGCCTAGGAGGGTACCTCTGGGACTTCCCCAACTTGCTCTGCCAGCTCCGTGGTCCATGCCCTGACTTGCCCCTACCGCTTGGTGCCTCATTTTCCCCTTCTGTTAAATGTGGCTTTTGACCAGCTGAATCCTCAGGGCTTTTGAGCTCCTGTGGTTTTATGGAGCAGAGGGGTATTGGTGGGGTGGGGTGGGGGGTCATGAATAAAACCACAGGCCTCAGTGCCCCCCCCCAACCCCCAGCTCTCCCTCTCTGCTGGTCCTCACCGTTGACAGGACCTACAGAACCTCGGTGGGGCCTTTGCCCAGCATGAGGAGGGCAAGGTCACGGGGCGGAGAGCTGCTGTGCCACGTTTGCTGTGTGGCCTTGGGTAAGTTCCTTCACATCTCTGAGCTTGTTTCCTCATGGAAAATGGAGATAAAATGAGTCCCTCCCTCTAGAGGTTTTTGTGAGGATAAAATGAAATAATTCAAGTGAAGAGAGTATTAAATACTAGGTCTGGAAATAAACATGTATTGGTTGTGGTTTTCTTTTTCTTTTTTTTTTTAAGGCAGGGTCTCACTCTGTCACCCAGGCTGGAGTGCAGTGGTGTGATCTCAGCAACCTCTGCCTCCTGGGTTCCAGCAATTCTCCTACCTCAGCCTCCCAAGTAGCTGGGATTACAGGCATGCGCCACCATGTCCAGCTAATTTTCGTATTTTTAGTAGAGATGGGGTTTCTCTGTGTTGGCCAGGCTGGTCTCTAACTCCTGACCTCAGGTGATCTACCCACGTCGGCCTCCCAAAGTGCTGGGATTACAGGTGTGAGCCACCATGCCTGGTCTGGTTGTGGTTTTCTTATTGCTGAGAAGAACTCACACAGCAAGTATAAGTTCTTCTGAGCAATACATCAGTAGGACTACTAGTAGTAGTAGGCTAGTAGGACTGGTTGGTAGTAGTAGTAGACTAGTAGTCTGGGGGCGAGGGTAGGCCAGGATCTCAGCCTCCCAGGGTGGATAAAAATCACCAGGAGGGCTTGTTCACAACATACATTCCCAGGACCCGTGAGGAGCTGAGACCGGATACAAGGAGGTCAGGTCCAGGGAATCTGGGATCTAAACTCTGGTCTAAAGTGACTCCTGTGGGAAGCCAAGGACACACCAGGAGCACGCCCCCTTCCTCAGATACAGATGTTGCTGGAGAAAATGTTCTGGCTTTGGGTTTCATTCCTAGGTGACCTGTGCAGGTTACCTCCCTTCTTTGAGCCTCACTTTCCTCATCTGTAGAGTGGGGGTGACATTCCTACCCTCCTGGGGTTTGTAGGAGGATTCAGCCACACGGAGTCCAGAATGCTGCCTGGCCAGGGGATGCTCTTCCTTTTTTCTTTTTTTTTTTTTTTTTGAGATGAAGTCTTGCTCTGTCACCCAGGCTGGAGTACAGTAGCGTGATCGCTGCTCACTGCAACTTCCACCTCCCGGGTTCAAGCAATTCTCCTGCCTCAGCCTTCCGAGTAGCTGGGATTACAGGCATGCCACCATACCCAGCTAATTTTTGTATTTTTTTAGTAGAGACGGGGTTTCACCGTGTTGACCGGTCTGGTCTCGAACTCCTGACCTCAAGTGATCTGCCGGCCTCGGCCTCCCAAAGGGCCAGAATTACAGGCATGAGCCACCATGCCCGGCCTTGTTTCTTTGTTTCTTTCTTTCTTTCTTGAAACATAGTCTCTCTTTGTCACCCAGGCTGCAGTACGGTGGCTGATCACAGCTCACTGCAGCCTTGACCTCCTGGGCTCTCAAGGGATCCTCCTGTCTCAGCTTCCTGAGTAGCTGATACTGCAGGCACACACCATCATGCCCTGCTAATTTTAAAAAGTTTTTATAGAGATGGGGGTCTCCCTATTTTGCTCAGGCTGGTCTTGAACTCCTGGCCTCAAGCAGTCTTCCTACCTCGACCTCCCAAAGTATTGGAATTACAGGCGTCAGCCACCATGCCCGGCCAGGAGCTGCTCTTTCGTGAGAGCTCCCATCCCTCTCCCTGAGGATCAGGATGACAGAGGCCCAGGAGCCGAGGGGCCTGATGCCTGGGGAGCAGGGGCTGGAGGCTGCTAGTTGCACTTGGCAGGAGCCAGGCCCTAGCGCTGTAAACAGTGACCTCATGGCTGAGTGCATTTGTTTATGGTTTAGGGATTTGCCCTGGTTTTCGGAAGCCGCAGCTGCCGCGCCTCCCTTAGTATCTCAGCCCCCCTACCTTGAGGGTAGCTGGGAGGATCAAATGGGATAGACACGTGGGGCCCTTCAAATGCCTGACACAGTAAGCCCACTGTTGGGGTTTATTATTAATACTTGTATTGTTGATGTTAATGTAATGTGTTTTCACGCATTGGGCCTATACGGCAAAATCAGCCTGAGAGTGAGACTTTAGAGTTGACCCACTCGATTTCAAACCTTAGTTCTATAGCCTTCCTAGCTGTGTGACCTTGGGAAGTGACCTTTCCTTTCTGAGCCTCAGAATGGGGATAATAATCAAAGTGCTTCCCAACGGGATGAAAAGCACGTGGTGAGCACCCGGGGGATGTTCCAGCTGATTCTGTAAATCACTTGTGAGGGCCGAGGGGGCCCAGGACCACTGAGGCTCACTGAGGAGCAGGGACAAGCCCAGGCCACAGGGCTCCTGCCTCCCAGTCTGGCTGCCTGGAGTTGTGATTTTTTTTTTTCTTTTTCTGAGACAAAGTATTGCTCTGTCACCCAGGCTGGAGTGCAGTGGTGCAATCTCAGCTCACTGCAACCTCCGTCTCCTGGGTTCAAGCAATTCTCCTGCCTCAGCTTCTCAAGAAGCTGGGATTATAGGCATGTGCCACCACGCCTGGCTAATTTTTGTATTTTTAGTAGAGACAGCAAAGACGGGGTTTTACCATGTTGGCCAGGCTGGTCCTGAACTCCTGACCTCAAGTGATCTGCCCGTCTCAGCCTCCCAAAGTGTTGGGATTATAGGCGTGAGTCATCGTGCCTGGCCTGTGCTTTCTTTTGATACAGCAGCCATCAGGGAAAGGGAGTAAATAGGAAAGGGATTCCATGGAGAATGGGGCAGAAGGGAACTGGGGAATCATGGAGAGGATGGGAGGGGATGAAATCCATAGAGTTGTTCATGAACCCCAGAGGATCCAGAAATCCACATGGATTGTGACTTCTTGATGGGGACTGGTAGCCTCCCCAGGTGGAGGACATGGTGGAGATGGGGCATCCCCGCAGGTGGAGAGGAGCTGGCCCAGATGGGAGCTCATTTGAGAGAGGAGCCCTCACCCCAGCCAGGGGTGCAGCCCTTCCTGGATAGTGGGTGGGGTTGGCATTTGAGGGCAGCCTCTTCAGCCCTGCGAGGGCAGGTACCACTCCCCATGTATATTCAGTCATTCACTCATTCATCTCCCTCCCTTTTCACTTGTTGGACCCTTGGATTTATTTGTTCATCCAACAAGCATTTATTAGGCACTTAGTGTGTGCCTGACGCTGCGCTGCTGCTGGGACACATAGATATGAATGAGGCCAAGTATGTCTGCGGCCTTGATCTCTGTACCCCACCACTCCTGCCTCCAGTGCCTAAGCAGGATGAGTGAGTGAGTGAGTTAGTGAGTGAGTATGAGTGAGTTAATGAATGGAATGTTGATCAGGACAGGGGCTTACTGGGTGACCTAACAGCCCCAAACTGGGGACCATGTTTAAATAACTTAACCTGGGTCACATAGCCAGTAAATGCTGGAACTGGGCTTGAATCTAGTTTTCCTATCTGCAAAGCCCTTGTTCTGATACTGAGGGGTTGTTCTCCCCACTTCGTGGATGAGGAAGGTCTGGTACCCAGAGAGGCTGTGGGAGGAGCCTCATGGGCCCGCTCCTGGCTGTCCTACGAGATCCTCGGGCAGAAACAGGCAGTGGCAGTGCAGGGAGGGAGAGGCCATGCCTGGTTTCCTTTCTGGTCGTTGTTTTTCCTGGCCTGCCTCATACATTGCCAAGGGGTCCGTGCCGAGCTGGGCTTCGGCCCAGGCAGAGGTCAGAGCCAGGGAGGGCCCTCTTCCCTTCTGGCAAGGAGGAGGCACAACAGTCATTTCCGAGACCAGCAGGCATGGGTTGCTGGGCTCTCTGCCCCACATGGAGTTCCTGCTGGCGAAACCTGGGCACCCCTGGGAAACCCTGGGCTATACTGGCCCCTCAGCCAAACCCCTGGGGCTCCCAGCCCAGCTCAACCCACACTGGCTTTGCGTGACCCTGAGTGAGTCACTTCTGCTCTGAGCTCCAGTTTCCTTGTAAAATGGGGACAGGATTGGGGTGAAGATGGGTGAGTTTGGCATGCAGTAGGTATTCACCAAACAGTAGTTCCCAATGTACATAGAGATGGAGTCTGGTTGCAATTTCCCAGCCCAGAAGGGCCTTCCTTCCTCATCCCTGCAGGCCTCCTTTCCTGGCTTCCCTCAACCAGCCAGCAGGGGACAGAACAGAGGGTGTCTACCAGGAATGGGGTGCTGTTGCTACAGAGTCCTGGACCAGGATCAGAGATTGCAGCTCCTCTAGCTTCTTTCTGTAGGGATGACTTGGACATCTGCCCACCCTTTGTCATTTTGGGCCTGTTCTACATCCCAGACAACTAGATATAGGTCTCAGGGTCACACTGTGACCTCCAGCGATCATGCCCTTCTCTGGGCTTCAGTTCCTTGGAGCAGCAGCTACCAGTCACCCAGAACTCACTGTGTGCAGGCCCCAGGCCAAGGCTTTTGTGTAATAGCTGGTTCAGTTATCCTGTCGGGCCTGTAAGGTTGACCCTGTTATCACTGCGTTCATTTTATAGTTGAGGAGACTGAGGTACAGAGAGGAAAATTGCCTTGCCCAGGACTACATGCTGGTCACTGGCAGAGATGGGATTCAGTGGTCTAGGGCCCATCTTCTCTGGGTTTCCACTGCAGCTCAATCCCCTCTCTGTTTTGTTTTGCTTTGCTTTGTTTTGTTTTTAGGAGACAGGGTCTCGCTCTGTTGCCTAGGCTGGAGTGCAGTGGCACAATCATAGCTCACTGCAACCTCGAACTCCAGGGCCCAGGTGATTCTTCCATGTTGGCCTCCTGAGTAGTTGGGCCTGTAGGTGTGTGCCACCATGCCAAGCTAACTTTTTTGGGTTTTTTGTAGAGGTGGGGTCTTGCTATGTTCCCCAGGCACATCTCGAATTCCTGGGCTCAAGCGATCCCCCTGCCTCGGCCTCTCAAAGTGTGGGATTCCAGGTGTGAGCTACCGTGTCCAGCCCCTCAAAGTGTTGGGATTACAGGTGTGAGCTACTGTACCCAGTTCCTCAGTCTCCTCCCTTTAAGATGAGCTTCTGGCCCTCCCACAGGCTTTTGTGAGGACTGGGCAAGTGGTGGCTGGGAGAGGCTTTGGAAGTGTGAAGAGCCCAGGTAGGCAGGCACAGTGGCTCATGCCTGTAATCTCAGCTACTCGGGAAGCTGAGGCAGGAGGATCCCTTGAGGCCACAAGTTCAAGACTCTCCTGGACCACATAGTGAGACCCCGTTTCTTTTTATTTATTTATTTATAGACAAAGTTTTGCTCTTATTGCCCAGGCTGGAGTGCAGTGGCATGATTTTGGCTCACCGCAGCCTCTGCCTCCCTGGTTCAAGCAATTCTCCTGCTTCAGCCTCCCAAAGTGCTGGGATTACAGGCACCTGCCACCACGCCTGGCTAATTTTTTGTATTTTTAGTAGAGATGGGGTTTCACCATGTTGGCCAGTCTGGTCTCGAACTCTTGACCTGAGGTGATCCACCTGTCTCGACCTCCCAAAGTGCTGGGATTACAGGTGTGAGCCACTGCGCCCGGCTGAGACCCCGTGTCTACATAAAAATGCAAAAATTAGCCAGTTGTGGTTATGCATACCTGTAGTCCCAGCTACTCAGGAGGCTGAGGTGAGAGGATTGCTTGAGCCCTGGAGTTCAAGCCTGCAGTGAGACATGATTGCACCACTGCACTCCAGCCTGGGAGACATAGTGAGACCCTGTCTCAAAAAAAAAAAAAAAAAAAAAAGCCTCAGGTAAATGAAAAGGCATTCCTGAGAACAGGGTCTTCCCAGCTTTCTGGGGCTGTGCTGTGATACAGATGCTGAGAGCTTGCGGTACCTAGGTTTGGGTTTTGGTTCTACTGCTTCCTTCATGAGTTTCTTGGTCTCTTTGTGCCTCAGTTTGCTCATCTGCAGCGTGGCAGTGATGCGATAGGAACCTGCCTGTCTCTAGGGTTGCCCTGCTGTGAAAGTCGGGTGGTCAGTGGGACTTGCAGTGGGGGCTCTCCTCAGCCTGCTCACATCCTTCTCTCTCCCACCCCTGCACAGGTCTCTAAGGACATCTCCATGCGGCTGCATAAGGAGCTCGAGGTGGTGGAGAAGAAACGGGCGCGGCTGGAGGAGGAGAACGAAGAGCTTCGTCAGCGGCTCATCGAGACTGAGCTGGCTAAGCAGGTGCTGCAGACGGAGCTGGAGCGACCGAGAGAGGTGAGGACCTCATGCATCCAGCAGGGCCAGCCTAGGGCAGGTGGGCACATGCAAGCCCCCCCAAGCCAGTGTCTCTGTGAGCCCCCGCTTGTGGGAAATGGGCAGCTTATGCCTCCCTGGCAAGGTTGTTTATTCATTCATTCCTCCAACATGCATTTCCTGAGCACCTACTGTGTAAATTGTGTGCTGGACACTAAGGTTACAATGGTGAACAAAACACACCCAGTTCCTGTCCTCAGGGAGCTCACGGGGTAATGAGAGAGAGAGTCATTCATCAAAGAACCACAGCCGCTGTGGGAGGATTAACTGAGAAAACATGCAACAATGTCAGGCATGGGGCTCAGCCCTCTGTGCCTCAGTTTCCTTACCTATACAATGGGGCAGTGGTGCCCTGAGTCATTGTGAGGACCAACAGGAATAACGCATGTGGAGTGGCTGCAAGAGACTGCGAGATCCTGCCATTTGGTGTGAAGTCAGTGCAGGGGCTGGGTCTCAGGCCAGTGTCTCTGGGGTACTGGTGCTTCCCGAATGTGACCCTGAGACACATTCCTGTCTGTGTTTGTTCATGCCAGTTCCTCCCCTGGCAGACCTTCTCCTCCTGTTGTGTGTTGGGTATACAGTGTGTTATGCGCCCTGCTTGACAGTTTATCTCAAACATTTTCATGCTAACAAGGTTGCGATCATGCCCATTTTGTGGATGAGCAAACAGCCCCTGAGAGAGAGGGAGGGACAACCTCAAGGCCATGCAGGGCTCAGGGGGTTCTGCAGAATGCCGGCTAGAAACCATCAGCCTAGGTGTCCCTTAAAGGCTGGAATCCCCCCATTCCAGGGTTCTGTGTTCCAAATGGCCTGGGGTGGCTTCTGGCCCTAGAGGCAGAGCCAGGCCTTAGCTCTCTGCCTGCTGATGAGATATGAGGATCGTGCATTCTTCTAGGGCACACTCCTCGCTGCAGGCGCTGCCTGCCTTCCTCCCCCGAGGGCGAGCCTGCCAGTGTCCTTGGACTGAGACACCACAGCCCAAGGCCAGAACATTCCTCCAGCCATCCTTCCCACTGGGTGTGTTGGTGTGATGTGCCAATGCCCTCTCAGTGTGCAGGGAGAGGAGGCGTTTGCTGCTAAGGGTGGCTAGCCCCCTCCCTTCATTCAGCTGCCCACCCCCATGGCCTGGCCCATAACACGGAGCACCATCTTCACACCGTCTTGCTGCTGCAACCCTTGATAGTGAAAAGGGGAGACAATTTCTGAAAGCATCTTAAGGTCACGGTACAAGTAATGAAACTGAGGCTCAGGAGGAACAGCTTGCCTGAGTTCACCCAGCCTCTCCTTAGCAGAGATGTGGCTGGAACCCTGAAGCCACTTCCCCTCTCTAAGTCTCAGTTTCTTTATCTGTGACATCAGGATAAGCAAGCAAACAAACAAGCAAAGCCTGCACGGTGGCTCACACCTATAATCCCAGCACTTTGGGAGGCCAAGGTGGGCAGATCTCTTGAGCCTAGGAGTTCGAGACCAGCCTGGGCAACATAGTGAAACTCTGTCTCTATAAAGAATGCAAAAATTATCCAGGTGTGGTGGTGCCTGCCTGTAGTCCCAGCTACTTAGGAAGTGGAGGCTGCAGTGAGGTGAGATCGCACCACTGCACTCCAGCCTGGGAGACAGAGTGAGACCCTATCTCCAAAAAAAAAAAAAAAAAAAAAAAGGGGGGTCCAGGCACAGTGGCTCACGCCTGTAATCCCAGCACTTTGGGAGGCTGAGGTGGGTGGATCACCTGAGGTTAGGAGTTCAAGACCAGCCTGGCCAACATGGCGAAACCCCATGTCTACTAAAAATACAAAAAAAAATTAGCTGGGTGTGGTGGCGGGCACCTGTAATCCCAGGTACTTGGGAGGCTGAGGCAGGAGCATCTCTTGAACCTGGGAGGTGGAGGTTGCAGTGAGCCGAGATTGCGCCACTGCATTCATTCCAGCCTGGGCGACAAAAGTGAAACTCCATCTCAAATAAATAAATAAATAAATAAATAAATAAATAAATAAAGCAGGATGATAACTGTACGCAGCCTATGAGGTTGTTTAGGATCATTAATAAGATTATGTAGCCATAGAATACTATGAAGAAATTAAAAAGAATAAGATAGTATGGCAGTTCCTCAAAAATTAAACATAGAACAATCATATGATCCAGCAATCTCACTTCTAGGTATATCCCAAAAGAATTGAAAGCAGAGACTCAAAGAGATATTTACACACCCGTGTTCATAGCAGCATAACTCACAATAGCCAGAGGGTAGAAGCAACCCAAATGTTCATCAACAGAGGAATGGATAAACAAAGTGTAGTACACATGTATAATGGAAAACTATTCAACCTTAAGAAGGAATGAGGCTGGGTGTGGTGGCTCATGCTTGTAACCCCAGCATTCTGGGAGGCAGAGGTGGGCAGATTGGTTGGGGCTAGGAGTTCAAGACCAGCCTGAGCAACATGGCAAAACCCCGTCTCTACAAAAAATACGAAATTTAGCCAGGCATCTTTGTGCATGCCTGTAGTCCCAGCTACTAGGGAGGTTGAGGTGGGAGGATCACTTGAGCCCAAGAGGTTGAGGCTGCAGTGAGCTATGATGGTGCCACTGGACTCTAGCCTGGGCTATAGAGTGAGACCCTGCATCGAGAGGGAGAGGGAGAAGGAGAGGGAGGGGGGAGGGGGAGGGGGGAGGGGGAGGGAGAGGGGGAGGGGGAGGGAGAGGGGGAGGGGGAGGGGGAGGGGGGAAACAGAAAAGAAAAGACCAGCACTTTGGGAAGCCAAGGCAGGCGGATCATGAGGTCAGGAGATCAAGACCATCCTGGCTAACACGGTGAAACCCCGTCTCTACTAAAAATACAAAAAAAAATTAGCCAGGAGTGATGGCGGGCACCTGTAGTCCCAGCTACTCAGGAGGCTGAGGCAGGAGAATGGCATGAACCCCGGAGGTGAAGCTTGCAGTGAGCTGAGATTGTGCCACTGCACTCCAGCCTGGGCGACAGAACGGGACTCCGTCTCAAAGAAAAAAAAAAAAGAAAAGAAAGTATTTGGAATTTATTTGTGAAATTTTTAAAAGAGGTAAAGCTTGTAAAGAGCCCTTTGTGGTGCCTGGTACAGAGTAGGTGCTCAAGAAACACTGGTTCACATCCTTTTGCAGCTGGTGTCAGTGAGGCTGGTCTAGCTCTCCTCGCGTGCCCTGTGGTGTCTCAGGCTTGTGCACAGGAGGCGGGAGCCTGTGTTTATTATTTGCTGTTTATCCTCTCCCTCCTCCGTCTCTTTCCTGACATGGTTTCTATGGAGACGAGGGTCCCTGAGCAATTCTTCTGCCAGAGCCTCAGTCCCATCATCAAGATCTGCCGTTGCCATCCTGACAGGCTGCCGAGGTGGTGCTGTCACCCGGCTGGGAACAGGAGCCCCTGGCCTGAGCTGATGTGGTTGCCATGGAGACAGCTCTCCGCTAGAGAGAAGGGAGGTGGCAGACCCTGGCCGAGGGCTGCGGTGGCACTGTTGCCCAGCTACCCTCTCTTCCAGTGTCACACCCCTCCTTGTGTTTTAGGCAGAAAGCCAATACGAGTGTTGACGTGATTTATTATGGTATAGCTGCTGTGTTTGAGCCCTCACTCTGTGCCAGGCACCACAGAAGCCTTGACCACACCAGCACATTGTTTAACCCTCCAACAGCCTTCCCACGGACATGGTGTGGTTGTCTTATTTTATAGGTGCCACTGTTTGTTGGCAATTTTAAAATCATGATTTAATTCCCATATCATACAACTCACCATTTAAAAGTGTACAGTTTGGGCTGGGCACAGTGGCTCACACCTGTAATCCCAGCACTTTGGGAGGCCAAGGCGGGTGGATCACCTGAGGTCAGGAGTTCGAGACCAGCCTGACCAACATGGTGAAACCCCACTTCTACTACAAATACAAAAATTAGCCAAGTGTGGTGGTGGGCGCCTGTAATCCCAGCTACCTGGGAGGTTGAAATAGGAGGAGAATTGCTTGAACCCGGGAGCTGGAGGTTGCAGTGAGCCGACATCCCATCATTGCACTCCAGCCTAGGCAACAAAGCGAGACTCTGTCTCAAAAAAAAAAAAAAGTGTACAATTCAGACCAGACACAGCACTTTGGGAGGCCGAGGCAGCAGGATTGCTTGAGCCCAGGAGTTTGAGACCAGCCTGGGCAATATATTGAGACCCTTGTCTCTACAAAAATTTAAAAAATTAGCTGGACCTGATGACACAAGCCTGTGGTTCCAGCTACCCAAGAGGTTGAGGTGGGAGAATTGCTTGAGCCTGGGAAACGGAGGTTGCAGTGAGCCAAGATCACGCCAGTGTACTCCAGCCTGGGTGACAGAGCGAGACCCTGTCTGAAAAAAAAAATTAAAATAAAAACAACAAAAAATAAAAGTGTATAATTTAGTGATTTTTAGTATATTCATGATGTTTTGTAGCGTCACCATTATCTAATTCCAGAACATTTCCATGGCCCCAAAAAGTAACCTCATGCCTATGAACAGTCACTCCCCACTCCCCCTTTCCCTCTTGCCCCCAGCAACCACTCATCCGCTTTCTGTCTCTGGATTTGCCTGTTCTGGATGCTTCATCCAAATGGAGTCTTTGGTGACTGGCCTCTTTTACTTAGCATCAGGTTTTCAAGGTTTATCCATCCATGTTGAAGAATGTAGCAGGACCTCATTCCTCTTTATGGCTGAGTAATCATCCATTGTGTGGGTATATGACCACATTAGATTTGTCCATTTATCTGGGTTGTTTTGGCTACTATGAATAATGCTGCTGGGAACATTCATGTGCACGTTTCTGAGATTCTGTGTTAGTTCTCTTGTGTAGATCCCAGGGAGTAGAACTGCAGGATGTAGACGTGACTGGGGAAAGACAAAGATGGGATTCAAACCCAGGACTCCACATCTCTCAAACCCGCACTGACTCTTCTGGTGTTGCCCCTATGCTCCTTGCCCCACCCTTGCTCTCCTAGGACCCTGTTGTGTCTTCAGAAACCTGGAAGAGGCTGCCCACTCCTGTGACTGCTTCCTTCCCTGGCACAGCCTTCTCATCCGGAATTCCTACCTGGTGGGCTAGGAAGGGGCTGATAGTTCAAAGCCCGGTTCTGCCTTTTTTCCAGACTTGGCACTTACTTGCAAGTGACTGTAACCTTGCGGAAATGATATAACTGCTCTAGCGCTTAGTTTATTTATTTTATTATTATTTTTGGGGGAGACAAGAGTCTTGCTGTGTCACTCAGGCTAGAGTGTAGTGGCACGATCATGGTTCATTGCAGCCTCAAACTTCCGGGCTCAAGAGATCCTCCTGCCTCAGCATCCCAAGTTGTTGGGACTATAGGCGCACGCCACCACACCTGGCTAATTTCGTATTTTTGAAAGAGATGGGGTCTCTCACTATGTTGCCCAGGCTGGTCTCAAACTCCTGGGCTCAAGCTATCTGCCCTTCTCAGCTTCCCAAAGTGCTGGGATTACAGGCATGAGCCATCGTACCCAGCCTAGTTTGTTTATAAAATTGGAATATTATCCCTACTTCTCAGAGGTGTTTGTGAAAATTAAACAAGACAAGCAAGTAAAGTGCTTAACACAGACTAAGGACTTATTATTTTCATTAGTGTCACAACCACCGTGAGGGCTGCGGGTCTGGAGAAGCATTTGTCTTAGTTAAATAAATACATTTCTGCTTCCTCTGGCAAGGAGCTCTGTGTCTAGAGCTGCCAGTTGCCCGGGAAAGGAGCAGCTACGTTGCCAATCTTCACGTGCAGTTGGCTCCATCTGTCCTTGTGACATTTGATTTGGGGCCAATGTTTAAAACACTCTTTGTTTTCTCCCCCAAGTGATCTCTCCCTAATCAAGAGCCACATGGCCTCTCTCTGTGGCCATTTCAGCCACTCAGGAGGAAGAATGAATGCCTAAATCTTTGAGGTACACCCCCAACCCCAAGTTCCTTCTAGAATCTACAGTAGGCCGGGCACAGTGGCTCACGCCTGTAATCCCAACACTTTGGGAGGTCAAGGCGGGTGGATCACTTGGGTTCAGGAGTTCGAGACCAGCCTGGGCAACATGGCGAAATCCCATTTCTACAAAAAATACAAAAAATTAGCCAGATATGGTGGTGCACACCTGTAGTCTCGGCTACTCAGGAGGCTGAGGCATGAGAATTGCTTGAACCTGGGAGGCGGAGGTTGCAGTGAGCCGAGATCATGCCACTGCACTCCAGCCTGGGCGACAGAGTGAGACCCTGTCTCAAAAAAAAAAAAAAAAGAATCTAGAGTAAATTTTGTACCTGAAGCACAGTCTGTGCTTTCAGTGAGACCTTTCCAAACATCTCCTCCAGATTTGGTGAAAATCTGCCCTGCTGTTTTGGCAGAAGATTCATTTTGTTCCTTGGAAGGTTGGCCTTTGTTTCTTGGCCAAAGTGGGGCAGGAAGGTGTTTGAGTGCAGAGGCCCCTCCAGAGCTGTGCTCAGGCAGCTCTCTCCTGGGCTGAAGGAAAGACAAGGGAGGACATAGCTCAGGCTTCTCCTAGAAGCCTGTAGACAGGGAGATGCTTAGAGGTACCACACTGGCTGCTCAAAGATGGCCTTGTGAGTTGCTGGCGAGTGGGGAAGCCCCTGTTGCATGCCAGGCCACAGAGTTTGTCCTCAGGGCTGGGCATGTCCCCAGGCCTTGCGGCTGCATTCCTGCTGGGGCCTAGGCACCGCCCTGCCTTGTCCTGCCCTCCCAAGGCCCAGAGCCAGAACATCTGCCTCTTGGGCAGAGACTGGCTTCATCCCTGGGGGCTCCACAAAGGGGCTCTGACAGGCCCTGGCTTTCTTGCGGGGTGCAGCCCCCCAGCCACCTGGCCAGCTGCTGCCGTGCAGAGGGGAGGAAGGTCTTTGTGCACTCTGAGCCCGCCTTGTTTTCCCTCCAGAATGGCAGGGCTGTGTGGGAGCCCACATGGCTTAGATAAGGTGGGGGAAGTGTCAGGTCCTACCAGAAAAGGGTGGAACTCGTCTCCTCTGCCCCCAACCCTGCTTTCTGGTGAGATTCAAGCCACTCAGCTCATTCACACCTTTTCTCTGCCTGCTGGAAAGGTGTTTGGTGACTTCTTGGGGAAAGTATATTTTAAAAACCTTTTATAATGACTTTTCCCTTCCCCCCAGCAGGTAGTAGTATGTGCTTAGCAGAAAAAGATTAGAAGATTCGAATAAGCCATAGGGAATTTCTGTGTGGATGGGGAGGTGCATATACTTCCAATAAGTTTTTCTATGTATACATATATGTGTATTTAAATGTAAACGTGAATATGCTTTTTTTCTTTTTTGGAGACAAGGTCTGGCTCTGTTGCCCAGGCTGGAGTGCAGGGACGTGATCTTGGCTCAATGTAACCTCCACCTTGCGGGCTCAAGCAATTCTCCCACCTCAGCCTCCCAAGTAGCTAGGACTACAGACACATGCCACAACACCCGGCTAAGAATATGCATTTTGTCTGTTTTGTTTTTGTTCTTGTTTTTGAGACAGAGTTTCTCTCTTGTTGCCCAGGCTACAGTGCAGTGGTGTGATCTCGGCTCACTGCAACCTCTGCCTCCTGGGTTCAAGTGATCCTCCTGCCTCAGCCTCCCGAGTAGCTGGGATTACAGGCATGCACCACCATGCCCGGCTAATTTTTTTTTTTGTATTTTTAGTAGAGACGGGGTTTCTCCATGTTGGTTAGGCTGGTCTTGAACTCCCGACCTCAGGTGATCCACCCACCTCGGCCTCCCAAAGTGCTGGGATTATAGGCGTGAGCCACTGCATCCAGCCAGAATATGTATTTTTTAATCTAAAAAAGTAATATAAACTCAGTGAAGCAAAAATATCATTAGAAAAGCACACAGATGCATGCCTAGCATACCTCCAAGGACAAGCTGCAGTGCTCTGGTTACGTTGGTTGCCTTGGGGCGGGATAACTGGGTGACTGGGTTCACTGTATTCTTCTATGTCCTTTTTGAATGTTGAACCATGCAACTTTGTTATCTATTCAAAAATAATAGAAATAATAAAACCCATAAATTAAAGAAGAAAGCCTTCCCTAACTGCCTCCTTCAATTCTACTCCTCAGCCTGACCCAGCATCAGCAGTTTGCTTTGTATCTTTCCAGGTCTTTCTCTAGTCTCATACAATGCAGGTTTCTATATATTTTTAAACTCTTTTTTTTTTTTGAGACAGAGTCTTACTCTTTTGCCCAGGCTGGAGTGCAGTGGTGTGATCTCGGCTCACTGCAACCACTGCCTCATGGGTTCAACCGATTCTCCTGCCCCAGTCTCCCTAGTAGCTGGGATTACAGGTGCCTGCCACCACACCTGGCTAATTTTTGTATTTTTAGTAGAGACAGGGTTTCACTATGTTGGCCAGGCTGGTCTCAAACTCCTGGCCTCAGGTGATCCAACTGCCTCAGCCTCCCCAAAAGCTGGAATTACAGGCATGAGCCACCACACCCAGCCATTTCTTTCTTCTTTCTGTGGCTGAGTAAATATTCTGTTGTGTGGATAGACCACATTTTTTTAATCCATTCTAAAGTTGGTGGACATATTTGGGTTATAGGCTTTGTTTTGCTGGTCACTTCTTTCCCTTAACAGAGTGTCTGAGAGACTTTACCATGTCAGTGAATCTCATGATCCCTTAGTACTTTGAATGGCTTTAGGTGATCTCATTCATTCACATGTGATGCCTGACCCCTTGGTACCTATGCAGACCCCTGGCTCTCCTCTCTGTCACTTCACTTCCTTCCTCCAGGGAGTCTGCAGTCATTGGTGGGGCTCTGGTCACCTAATCCATGGCCCAGTGTTATAAATGAGAAAATGGAATTTCAGGGAGAGGAAAGGGTTCACCCAGGGATCATAAACTCAGCGTTGCAAGGGCCCCAGAGTTCAACTCCCAGCTGAGGCCACAGCCCTTCCCACTCAGCTTGTAATAGGTGGGCCTAGATCCTTCCATAGCCTGATGGTCTGAGCCCACAGCACCCCCTTGCATGCTATACGGGGGTCTGCTTCTGTGTGCCCCGTCCAGGGCCCCACTGGCTGCCCTTGTCTGCTGCCTCCTGGCTCTTGTGGAAGGACTCGTTTTCTGACCCATAGCCCTGTTTCCTCCTCTTCCCTTCCAGCTTTTGAAAGCTCCCAGGTCAGCACTTCTCAAATACTGGCTCCTGGCTCTTGGCACCCAGCGTCTGAAATATCAGCCTCTGCCTCCCTGCCTCATTTGCATTTCAAAAGGTCTCTTTAGGATTTGATTGAGCTCTAAGATATTCTGTACTTAGGAGTCCATCTGGAGCTCTCCTTGCCTGGCACAGAGGATCCGACCTGCACTTCAGAATCACCTGAAAGCATTTGAAAAATACTGATGTCTCAGACCTACCTCAGACCACCAGTATTTTTTCTTTTTTTTTTTTTTTTTGAGTAATTCTGATGTGTACCAGGTTGAGAACCACTGTGCTGGCTACACTCTGGCCCTCATCAGAGAAGACACATTTTCTCCTACCAACTCTTTGGAATTTGGTCAAGAGCTATGTCAAGAACTGGTCCCAGGTCAGCTGTGGGTGTACTGTGAGACCTTGGACAAGTCCCTGCCCCTCTGTCTTGGTTTCAGAAAAATGGGACTCAGATTAGATCAGTGGCTGTCACTTTCAGGGATGGGGTGTGAGAGGTGGGGGATGGAGCAAGCATGTATCCAAATCACCTGGGGCCATTTTCAAAAATATACCAGCCCACCTTGAAAAGTCAAAACAACCTAAGCAAGGTTTTATACATACACCACCACCAGGAATCACCCCTCCTCTCTTGGGAGGAAGCGCTCAAAAGAATCGTGCATCTAATTGAATGACTTCTTTAAACATTGAGAAATTTCAGTAATTGTTATTGTAACATTTCCTCCAATTCCCTCTGTAGGGCTTGTGCCATTTGGCATTCTTGCCAGCAATTTATGAACCTTTTTGTTTCTCTATAGCTTCACCAATAGAATATGTCGTCAGATATTTGGATTTTTGCCAATCTGATAGGTGAGAAACGGTATCTCAGTGTAATTTTAATTTGCATTTATCTAACAGGAGTGGGGTTGAATATCATCATGTGCCTTGATGTCTTCATGTGCCATGATCCATTTGCCTTTCTTTTCCTGTGAACTGTTTTTCATATCTCTAGCCTATTTTCCTACAGGTCTGCTGGCCTTTTAATGCTCTGTTTGTGAAACTCTTTCCATATTTAGGATATCAACCCTTTGTTGGTGTTGTACATTGCAGATATTTTTTCAGAGTTTGTCATTTATGTTTTTACTTTTCTTAAGGTGTTTTTATTTCCATGCAGAATTTGCTTGTATAATCAAATGTATCTATTTTTTCCCCTATTGCTTCTGGATTTTAAACATCTTATTTTTTTGAGGTGGAGTCTTGCTATGTTGCCTAGGCTAGTCTCAAACTCCTCAATGCAAGCAATCCTCTCACCTCAGCCTCCCAAAGTACTGGGATTACAGGCATGAGCCACTATGCCAGACCAGCTTCTGGATTTTTGAATCACTGTTTGCCATCAGTCTCTTATGACCATTTCTAAGCCTCATGTGTAATTACGATTTGTTATATTCATTTTATTGTTGTTGTTTGTTCTTTGAGACAGGGTCTTGCTATGTTGGCCAGGCTGGTCTCAAACTCTTGGCCTCAGGCAATCCTCCTGTCTTGGCCTCCCAAAGTGTTGGGATTACAGGCATGAACTACCACATCCAGCCTCCATATTCATTTTATCCATTAGTATTCATTCTGAATTACAGTTCCCACTAGATGTCAGTTTCATGAAGACAGGATTTTCTCTGAGATGGAGATTTGCATGCAGAGGTTTATGGAAGAGTCTCCTTGGGAACAACACCACAGGGAGTGAGGCAGAGCTGGAAGCTGAATTACACCAGTGATCTCAGGCGATCCCATGGGGAGCTCTGGAGCTAGGATGGCCCTCCCTGTAGAGCTGAGGCAAGGGGTCATGGACCCATCCCTGGATGTGGGCTCCATCCACGGATAGCACCTGCCCTTGGACAAGGTGGTTCTCCTCAACCAATGGCTGTCGCTGGGAGAGGTACTCAGCTTTGAGGTCTCAGCTCTGGGAATGAGTGTCTCAGTTCCGAAGGGGAATCTGGGCAAAGCACCACAACATCCTCCCTGGTTCACTGCTGTGTTCTCTACACCTACCTACCTGGCGCTTGATAGGTGCTCAGGAAATCCTTTGATGAAAGACAAATGAGAACAGAAACACAGCTTTCCAAGTCTTCGCCGAGGCCAACTGGGTCACACATGGGAGCAGGCTGGAGGGGAGGAGCCCTGAGCAGGTGTTTTTAGAATCATCTTCTCCAATGCTTCTGGCCTATCTCCCATTGCTGCTCACTGGGTGATCTGGAGGGCTCCTCTTACTCAACAGTCAGTGCCATCAGGGTGGGGTGGCCTGGGGACTGGGGCCCTCCCTGGACCCTGGGCACTGTGACAGCTCTCTGCATGTGCATCATTCTGTGAGCTTTCAGTCCTGACTTTTTTTTTTTTTTTTAATTAAATCTCACTTCAGCATTCCTTGAAGAAAAGAGGAACCCGCTCCCTGGGGAAGGCCGATAAGAAGACTTTGGTGCAGGTAATTCCCAGCAGCCCCCGTAGGAAGGTTTTATTCTGAAGACCTGAGCCTGACTCTAAGTGGCCTGGGGATCCCAGATTCTGCCCTGTCCTCCCCTTGCTCATTTTCCTTTTTTTCTTTTCTTTTTTTTTTTTTTTTTTGAGACGGAGTCACACTCTCTTGCCCAGGCTGCAGTGCAGTGGCACAATCTCAGCTCACTGCAACCTCTACCTCCCAGGTTCAAGCAATTTTCATGCCTCAGCCTCCCGAGTAGCTGGGACTACAGGCGTGCACCACCACACCTGGCTAATTTTTGTATTTTTAGTAGAGACAGGGTTTCACCGTGTTGACCAGGCTGGTCTTGAACTCCTGGCCTCAAGCAATCCACCTGCCTCGGCCTCCCAAAGTTCTGGGATTACAGGTGTGAGCCACTGCGCCCGGCCCCCTTGCTCATTTTCTTAGTTTCACTGCCCACTTTATTTCCCAAAACCACATCCTGAGCCCATGGTTCTTAGATGCTTAGATGCTCGCTCCCCACCCCAGCCAGGAACTTAGCAAGCAGCACTACAGTCAAATCCAAAGGTCTAGAGTTGGAGACCCAGGCTTGAATCTTGGCTCTGCCACTTGACTGCCATGTGATTGGAGCGAGTCATTTTGAGTTTCTGGGCTCCATTTCCTATCTATCCCTGTCTTGGGGGTTCATTGGAAGAATTGGATGAAGTACTATATGCAGCAAAGGCCACATACCGTTAGCTCCTAGTGGTATGGGATTGTCAGAGTGCCAGGCCCTTTTCATCCTTAGCTCATTTAATCCCGTCTGTGGCTCTGGGAGGGAGGTAATGTTACCGCCCCATTTTACTGATGAAACTGTAGTGGCAGCAGTTGCTCATCAGTATGTCACCTGTTCCTGTACTCCCAGGCTATGTGTGGCGCCCCATCCTTGCTGTCATTTCAACATCTACCCCTCTGCGTCTCCCCCGGACCCTTAGCTCCTTGAGGGTCTGGCTGTGTCTGATTCATCCCTGTGTTCCCAGCACATAGTGCTCCCCAAAATGCCATGGCTGGTACTGAGACTCCCAGCACTAACCTTCCTGGGTTGTGTCTGTCTCTGTGGTCCCAGGAGGACAGTGCAGACCTGAAGTGCCAGTTGCACTTTGCAAAGGAGGAGTCAGCCCTCATGTGCAAGAAGCTCACTAAGCTTGCCAAGGAGAATGACAGCATGAAGGAGGAGCTGCTGAAGTACCGCTCGCTCTATGGGGACCTGGACAGCGCGCTGTCAGCCGAGGAGCTGGCCGATGCCCCCCACTCGCGGGAGACCGAGCTGAAGGTGCACCTGAAGCTGGTGGAGGAGGAAGCCAACCTGCTGAGCCGCCGCATCGTGGAGCTGGAGGTGGAGAACCGAGGCCTGCGGGCTGAGATGGACGACATGAAGGATCATGGAGGTGGCTGTGGGGGTCCTGAGGCACGCCTGGCCTTCTCCGCGCTGGGTGGCGGAGAGTGCGGGGAGAGCTTGGCAGAGCTGCGGCGACACCTGCAGTTTGTCGAAGAGGAGGCCGAGCTGCTGCGGCGCTCCTCTGCCGAGCTCGAGGACCAGAACAAGCTGCTGCTGAACGAGCTGGCCAAGTTCCGCTCGGAGCACGAGCTGGACGTGGCGCTGTCGGAGGACAGTTGTTCTGTGCTCAGCGAACCTTCACAGGAGGAGCTGGCGGCCGCCAAGCTGCAGATCGGCGAGCTCAGCGGCAAGGTCAAGAAGCTGCAGTACGAGAACCGCGTGCTCCTCTCCAACCTCCAGCGCTGTGACCTCGCCTCCTGCCAGAGTACGCGGCCCATGCTGGAGACGGACGCCGAGGCCGGGGACTCTGCCCAGTGTGTGCCTGCTCCCCTGGGCGAGACACACGAGTCCCATGCGGTCCGACTCTGCAGAGCCAGGGAGGCCGAGGTGCTGCCTGGGCTGAGAGAGCAGGCCGCCCTGGTCAGTAAGGCCATCGATGTCCTGGTGGCTGATGCCAATGGCTTCACGGCTGGCCTCCGGCTGTGTCTGGACAACGAGTGTGCTGACTTCCGGCTGCATGAGGCCCCCGACAACAGCGAGGGCCCCAGGGACACCAAGCTCATCCATGCCATCCTGGTGCGCCTGAGCGTGCTGCAGCAGGAGCTGAATGCCTTCACGCGGAAGGCAGATGCAGTCCTCGGGTGCTCTGTCAAGGAACAGCAGGAGTCCTTCTCATCACTGCCCCCCTTGGGCTCCCAGGGGCTCTCTAAGGAGATTCTTCTGGCAAAAGACCTTGGCTCAGACTTTCAGGTAAGGTGCCTCATGCACAGATCCTATTATTTATTTTTTTCCTTTGTTTTGTTTTGTTTTTCTTGAGATAGGGTCTCTCCCCGCTGGCCAGGCTGAAGTGCAGTGGTGCAATCTCAGTTCACTGCAGCCTCGATATCCTGGGCTCTAGCCATTCTCCCCCCCTCACTCTCCTGAGTACCTGGGACTACAAGTGAGCACCACCACACCCAGCTAATTTTTATTTATTTTTTATTTTTTTTGAGACGGAGTCTCGCTCTGTCACCCAGGCTGGAATGCAGTGGCGCAATCTCGGCTCACTGTAACCTCCAACTCCCAGGTTCAAGCGATTCTCCTCTCTTAGCCTCCCAAGTAGCCAGGATTACAGGCGCCCTCCATCATGCCTGGCTAATTTTTGTATTTTTAGTAGAGATGGGGTTTCACCATGTTGGCCAGGCTGGTCTCGAACTCCTGACTTCAAGTGATCCGACCGCCTTTGTCTCCCAAAGTTCTGGGATTACAGGTGTGAGCCACTGTGCCTGGCCATAATTTTTAAATTTTTTTGTAGAGATGGAATCTTGCCATATTGCCCAGGCTGGTCTTGAACTCCTGAGCTTAAGTGATCCACCAGCCTCAGCCTCCCAAAGTGCTAGGACTATAGGTGTGAGCCACTGTGTGTGGCCTAATAGTCACATTTTAAATGTTCAGTATTTGTGTGTGTCTAGTAGAGTGGATCTAGAATATTTCATCCTTGCAGCTTGTCCTTCTAAATCCTTCTCTACACATCTATCATATATTTGTTTTTCCACCCAGATTGCTTTATATCTATTGTTACTACACAACTTATATTTTTAACGCAATGTATCAGTTTGTTAATTTATGATGCCTTGTCTGTTGTTCACACAGTTTTTGTGCTCACTGCTGAAGATGTCATGATTAGCAAAAACAGATATGATTCCCCCTCTCATGGTCCTTATCATCTAGTGGGGCAGAGTCACCCAAAATATCATGTCAGTGAATGTGCAATTAGACACTGAGAGAGGAATCTGAAGGAAGCGTACATGGTTTTATGAACAAGGAACTTGACCTAGACCCTATGCTGAGGGAAGGCCTCTGATCTGACCAGAGGTCAGAGGGATGGATGGCTGGGGGAACACAGTGTTTTCAGCAGAGCAAATAGCCTGTGCAAAGACACAGCTCAGATCAGAGGCGGAAGGAGCGTGGTGTGTCCAGGACACTGAGTGAAGAGACAATGTGAAGCTGGACTGCACTGAGCATGCGGGAGGTTTGATCTTCATCCTCAGAGCAATGGCAGGGAATTTTTCATTTCCAGGGAAAGAGAGCGATTTAGCACTTTCTTTTTTTCTTTTATCTTTTTTTTTTTTTTTTTTTTTTTTGAGACAGAGTCTTACTCTGTCGCCCAGGCTGGAGTGCGGTGGCACGATCTCAGCTCACTGCAACCTCCGCCTCCTGTCTCCGCCTTCCGGGTAGCTGAAATTACAATTCTCCTGTCTCCGTCTCCTGGGTAGCTGGAATTAGAGGCATGCCCCACCACACCTGGCTAATTTTTGTATTTTTAATAGAGATGGGGTTTCACGATGTTGGCCAGGCTGGTCTTGAACTCCTGACCTCAGGTGATCCACCTGCCTCGGCCTCCCAAAGTGTTGGGATTGCAGGTGTGAGCCATCGTGCCCTTCTGAGATTTAGCACTTTCTTTTTAACAACTATACAGTGGATATGTGCCATAATTTCTTTAACTCAAGACCTGTTGATCCGGTTTCATCTTGCTTTTTTAAGCAAGCACATTGCCTTTTTTTTTTTTTTTTTTTTTTTTTTAAAGAAACAGTCTTGCTCTGTTGCCCACGCTGGAGGGCAATGGTATGATCACAGCTCGCTGTAGCCTCAAATTGTAGATGGAATTACAGGCACATGCCACTGTGCCCATAGACTGCTCTATGTTATCTCCCTTTTGGTTCTTCTTGAAAGAGGGATGAACAGAGGTCACACATGTGATAGGACAGTTTGGGCTGACTCAAAAGGTTTGTGCACAAGGCACACATTCAGAAAATCACTTCGCACTTACCTACTCATTCATCCTTTCAGCAAACATTCATTAAACGGCAGCAGTGCCCCCAGCTGGGGCTGGGTCTGGGTTGCAGAGGTGAATCTACCAGGGTCCCAGCCCTCAGGTGGGTGGTTCAAGCCTCTTAGGGAGCGCAGAGGCCTGGGGTGGGTGTTTCTGGCACCCCTCGGGCCCCTCCCCATGGTGATCTTTGGTTTGTTCTGCCTGTGCCTCTGGGTGCAGCCACCTGACTTCAGGGACCTGCCGGAATGGGAGCCCAGGATCCGAGAGGCTTTCCGCACTGGTGACTTGGACTCTAAGCCCGACCCCAGCCGGAGCTTCAGGCCTTACCGAGCTGAAGACAATGATTCCTATGCCTCTGAGGTGGGTCTAGGCCTGAGCAAGCATGGGATTGGGTAGGAGGAGAGTGACTGAGCCCTGTCAAAAGCAGAGTGGTCCATATATCACTTAGCTGGTGAGGATATGGGTTTGGGGCATTCCATTTGGTTCCAGGCTTCTTGGCAGCCAAGGCCAGAAGGGAAATAAGGAAGTTTGGGACATTCTCATGGCCTGATCCAAGGAAACTTATAAACTCATCTGCATAAATTATTTTTTCTTCTGTACTAAATTCCACTGGGAATTTAACAATTTATGTAATTTAATGGAACTACTCATGTATGTAGCAGGAAGGCAGCAGTCTCTATAGCCAGGCAGTTTGGGTTTCAATTGTGGATCCACTCTATTCTGGCTGTGAGATCTTGGATAAGTCATTTTACCTCTCTGATTCTCAGTTTTCTCACATGTAAAATGAAGGTGCCTCACAGGGTTGTTGAAAGGATTAAATACATGAAAAGCCATAGCTTAAGGCATGGTCCACATTGGGTGAGGATGAGGAGGAGGAGGAGGATGATTATGATGATAATGACACATCTCTGGGACTCAGGGGACCTGAGTTCAAGTCTCAGTTCTACCAGTGTTCCTGTGTGACCTTGGACAGATTTCTACCTTCTGGCCACAGCTTCCCCATCTGTAACGGGAGGGTTAGAGTGAATGGTAGTTATTGAATTGCTAGGATTCTTTGATCCTCAGGGAATTCTGGGTAGTTCTGAGCCCCTTCTAAGCCTGCTGAGCTTCTCCTTGCTCTTCATAATGAGCCTGAAGCAGGAAAAGGCTCCTACGGACTGGGTGGAGTATCCCTGAAACCCTGAACCTTGCAGAGTCCTATGTATTTTCCAGCCTGAGCACCTTTCTGAGCATCTCTTGGAAGACAACTCTGTAGTCCCAGGAAGGTCAGCCCATGACTATGTGGGAAGGAGAAGCTCACTTGAAGCTGATGGATCAGACTCTCTAAGTGAGCTTCCTGGAAGCCATGGCAAAAAGAGAAAAAACTGAGATAACTTAGTTGTCATTTTCTAAGAAAAGGAAATAGGCCTATTCTTTTTTTTGTTTTTTTTTTTTTAGACTGAGTCTCGCTCTGTTGCCCAGTCTGGAGTGCAGTAGTGCGATCTTGGCTCACTGTAACCTCCATTTCCTGAGTTCAAGCGAATCTCGAGCCTCAGCCCTCCCAGTTAGGTGGGACTATAGGCGTGCGCCACCATGCCCAGCTAATTTTCGTATTTTTAGTAGAGACAGGGTTTTGTCATGTCACCTAGGCTGGCCTCAAACTCTGGGGCTCAAGTGATCTTCCCGTCTCAGCCTTCCAAAGTGCTGGTATTACAGGCGTGAGCCACTGTGCCCTGCCAGGAAATAGGCCTATTCTATAGGCTTACCTGTAGAAAAAATGATTTCCTGCACACATTCAATTATTTGTTTCATTCAGCCACTCTTTATTGAGTAGTGACAATTGCCCAGTGCTGTTGACCACTGAGTTCAGGGAGGAAACCAGGGACAGCAGACAGTATGTAGCCCTGCAAAAATTTTTAATGCAAAACAGATATAGAAGATATACCTCAAGTCACTGTGCCTTCCACTGCCAAATCATCATATTATTGACCATATAATGAATGTTTACTTTCTCACAGAGGGACATTTGCCATGCCTAGGAAGGTTTTATGTAGGAGTTCTGGGGCCAGGCACGGTGACTCACACCTGTAATTTCAGCACTTTGGGAGGCCCAGGTGGGCAGATTGCTTAAGCCTAGGAGTTCGAGATGAGCCTGGGCAACATGGCAAAATCCTGTCTCTATCAAAAATATACAAAAATTAGCCAGGCGTGGTGGCGGGTGCCTGTAATCCCAGTTAATTGAGAGGCTGAGGCAGGATAATCGCTTGAACCTGGGAGGCAGAGGTTGCAGTGAGCCAAGATCACGCTCAAAGCTGGCGAAACTCCGTTGAAAGAGAGAGAGAGAGAGAGAGAGAGAGAGAGAGAGAGGGAGAGAGAGAAGGAGGGGAGGGTGGGTGAAGGTTGGAGGTCAGAAGGTCTTCACATAGTTCCCACTGGTTACATTTATTGTGTGTGTCCATGTCCTTTGTATGTTTTTTTATGGAGGCCTATAGCGTTTTTGGTTTTGTTTTTCTACTTTCTGTTGTAGTATAACATAATAACATACATACAATAAAGGACACTGTCCTTAAGGGTACCACTGAATGGATTGTTACATATGTATAGATCCATTAAGCATCTTTTAAGTCCCATCATTTAGTATCTAAGTTGTTTCTAAAATATTGCAATTATAAACAATGAAACAATGAACATCTTTGTGAATCAAACTTAGTTTTCCCAGTACCTTATTAAGATAAATTTCAGAGAGAAAAGAACAAGTTCCAATGGTAACAAAAGCCAGATTTGATATGTACTGTTTCATTTAATCATCATGACGACCCTCAGAGGTGGGGACAGTCATTCTGCCTGATTTGTATTTGGACAGCTTGGGTCCAACATCCCATCGTTCCCCTACCACTGTCATCCTTAGATCACAATTTCTATCCACTTCTTCCTCTCTCTCCCTCCTCATTATCTGTGTCCCCTGTCTGTACCACAGATCAAGGAGCTGCAGCTGGTGCTGGCTGAGGCCCACGACAGCCTCCGGGGCTTGCAAGAGCAGCTCTCCCAGGAGCGGCAGCTACGAAAGGAGGAGGCCGACAATTTCAACCAGAAAATGGTCCAGGTGCGTGGTGCCCAGCGCTTTCCAGGCAGCTATTCCTACAGCCTCTCTGAGCTGGAAGCAGAGGCCTTGAGGATCTATGGGCCCTCTGAAGTCAAGAAAGTCAGGGGAGGCTGGGTGTGGTGGCTCACGCCTGTAATCCCAGCACTTTGGGAGGCCAAGGCAGGCAGATCACTTGAGGCCAGGAGTTTGAGACCAGCCTGGCCAACATGGAAACCCCGCCTCTACTAAAAATACAAAAATTAGCCAGGCGTGCACTAGCACGCCTGTAATCCCAGCTACTCAGGAGGCTGAGGCAAGAGAACCGCTTGAACCCAGGAGGCGGAGGTTACAGTGAGCCGAGATCATCCCACTGTATTCTAGCCTGGGTGACAGAGTGATATCTAAAAAAAAAAAAAAAAAAAAAGAATGAAAGAATGTCAAGGGAAACCTGAGTCTTCAGCCCCTGTGCCCTGCTGGGATGTTATTGTCCTTGCCATTGTGCATTAGTTGTGTAACAGGGCTGTCATTGGCGGCCTGTGGGACCTGGGGCCAGTCCTGTTTTCTCTCAGGACCTCAGTTTCCCATTTATGAAATGGTGCCCTCATCAGGCCTGGCTTCTAATCAAGATAATAGTTCTGGAATAACATTTGTTAAGCCCTTACTGTATGGTGGGCCTGTCCAATGCACTTTCTACCCATTATGTCTTTTAATCCTTGTGCCCTCCCTTATCACCATTTTGCAGATGGGGAAACTGATGCCCAGAGAGCTGGAGTGCTCTGCCCAGGGTTGCACATCCAGAGTGTGGCAGGGCTGGGCCTCTAATCCAGGTCCCTCTGTTAGGCATGACACTGCATTGCTTCCTAGGGTGTTGCCTAGTCATCAGCTGTCCTCAACCCTGGCACGCCCTTTGCTCTCCATGCGTCACCCCTCCCTGCTATCATCGCTCACCCTCGCAGGTTCCTCATTGAACATGAGCATTCGTGTGAGACATTTGGTGCCCAGGAGGTGCTCAGTATATGATGTCATGGTTTTTTAGAGCCAGGGTCAAATCCCAGCTCCTTCAATGATGTGTCACTGTTTTTGCAGGAGCAGAGGGCAGTGCTCATCTGAATAGATTGCGCCACGTGTGGTGGGATCCCCGGCAGGGATCACTCACAGGCACCACCCAGACTTTCCTCCCTGCCCCTGTCCAGGGGCCCAGAAAGGGGTGGGGGAGAGGACAGGGCCCTGGGGTTGCTCAAGCTCTTGTCCCCCGGCAGCTGAAGGAGGACCAGCAGAGGGCGCTCCTGAGGCGGGAGTTTGAGCTGCAGAGTCTGAGCCTCCAGCGGAGGCTGGAGCAGAAATTCTGGAGCCAGGAGAAGAACATGCTGGTGCAGGAGTCCCAGCAATTCAAGCACAACTTCCTGCTGCTCTTCATGAAGCTCAGGTGGTTCCTCAAGCGCTGGCGGCAGGGCAAGGTTTTGCCCAGCGAAGGGGATGACTTCCTCGAGGTAAGATTGGGCCAGGGACTGGGACTGGGAGTGTGGGCTGGGGAGAGAGGGACAGGGAAGGGACGCCCAGCTGGTATTGACACAACTCCTAGGCTCACATACCTGCCATCAGCATGCAGGCTTCCTTCCTGCATTCGTTGCTTTTTTTTTTTTTTTTCCGAGATGGAGTCTCACTCCAGCCCAGGCTAGAGTGCAGTGGTGCAATCTCAGCCTGCTGCAATCTCCATCTCCCGGGTTCAAGCAATTCTCCTGCCTCAGCCTCCCGAGTAGCTGGGATTACAGGCACATGCCACCATGCCCAGCTAATTTTTGTATTTTAAGTAAAGACAGGGTTTCTTGGCCGGGTGCGGTGGCTCACACCTGTAATCCCAGCACTTTGGGAGGCCGAGGCGGGTGGATCACGAGGTCAGGAGATCGAGACCATCCTGGCTAACATGGTGAAACCCCGTCTCTACTAAAAATACAAAAAATTAGCCAGGTGTGGTGGCGGGTGCCTGTAGTCCCAGCTACTCGGGAGGCTGAGGCGGGAGAATGGCGTGAACCCAGGAGGCGGAGCTTGCAGTGAGCCTAGATTGTGCCACTGCACTCCAGAGTGGGAGAGAGAGCAAGACTCCTTCTCAAAAAAAAAAAAAAAAAAAAAAAAAAAAGACAGGGTTTCTCCATGTTGGCCAGGCTGATCTCTCAAACTCCTGACCTCAAGTAATCCACCTGCCTTGGCCTCCCAAAGTGCTGGGATTACAGGCATGAGCCACCATGCCTGGCCAAAAGATATGTTTACTTAACAAGAGGGAGTAGGCTGGCTTAAAAACATTGGTGATAGTACAGGTGGTATTAGGATGTGGCAGGAAACGTGGGGGCGGAGCTCTGGGAATGTAAGAAGCTTAGAAAGGACCCACCTGACCCATTCATGCCCCAGTCTATGCAGGACCCTTTGCTGCTCAAAGCCCTTGCGTCCTGTCATCAGCACAGCAGCACACATCAACACATCAGGGAAGAGAAGGGGACTTACAAGGATGTCAGACCTTGGTCACACTCATCTTAGTTGACATTGTTCACTTTGGCCGTGTCCTTTTGGGTTCAGGTACCTCGAGTCTAGCCCAGGCTTGGCCCTCCTCTAGTCCAGGCTGCTCTCTGTAGTCCCCTGTCCAGATCCAGTAGGGAGCATTGGCATGCCTCAAGTTGCCACTTACGCCATCAGGGGTACTCCAGAGGAGCCCAGATGCCCCAGGAGCCAGGCAAGACAGTTAGACCTGAGTGTGTAGCAAGACCCTGCATCACCCTATCTCAGTGGGGCTCATCATTCTCGCAGGCCACCAGCTCCTCCCCAGGGCCTCATGGGAGAGTCACTACCGCCATTCCATAGGCCCACACCCTGCTGCCCTGGCCCTGCAGTGCCTGACACAGGGCCGCCCCTGGGAGCATTCGCCTCGGTCCTCCTGTCCGAAGCTGTCTCTTCTGTGACGTTTGGAAACATAGGAGCCCTCTCACCTGTTTGGAAGTCTCACAGGCCTCTGGATGAAGCCCAGTTTAAGGGAATGACCTGCAGGCCACACAGTCTATATTTTAAGTCAGTTTGTCTCAGACGAACCCTCCACATTTGGTGAAAACCTTTCTAGCCATTTCCATATCCTAGAGTAAAAGAGAGAGAAACTTACTTTAGGGAAAAAAAATTAGGGCATAAACATAGAAAATTGGCTAGGTGCAGTGGCTCACACCTGTAATCTCAGCACTTTGGGAGGTTAAGGTGGGCAGATCACTTGAGATCAGGAGTTCGAGACCAGTCTGGTCAACGTGATGAAACCCTGTCTCTACTAAAAATACAAAAATTAGCTGGGAACGGTGGTGCACACTGGTAGTCCCAGCTACTCAGGAGCCTGAAGCAAGAGAATCTCTTGAACCTGCAAGGCAGAGGTTGCAGTGAGCTAAGAGCATGCCATTGCACTCTAGCCTGGATGACACAGTGAGACTCCATCTCAAAAAAAAAATAAAGAGACACAGAAAATTACATAACATATATAATTAAGAAATATATACATTTACCAAAATAAGCATAATTAATAAGATATAAACATAATCATGCTGGGCATGGTGGCTCGCGCCTGTAATCCCAGCATTTTGGGAGGCTGAGGCAGGAGGATTGCTTGAGCACAGAAGGTGACTCGCTCCCTTTTGTCTTATTTCCATCCTGAACTAGGTCCCTGATCTCCTTGGCTGGCCCTGGACTCTTGCCCAGAATCTATCAGCAAGCAGTCCAACCCCCCAGCAAGGTCCCTTCTGTCCACCCAAACCTTTGGTCACCCTTATGTAGCATTGTGGGAGTGCGTGTGGCCTTTTCATTTCAACCACAGTGCCTGCCTTGACCCAGCCTGTCAACATGGTTATTTCAGAGTGACTCTCAGGGATGCTTCCTGGTCTTTGGGGCAGAATAGATGTCGTGGGAGGCTAGGAGGGCCTGACTATCCAGCCGTGCTCCTCGACCTACATGGTGCCCAAGGTTGGAATTAAAATTTGGGAAAACTTCCCACCTGCTGTTAAGCATGGTTTTTAAAAAACAGGTGAACAGCATGAAGGAGCTGTACTTGCTGATGGAGGAAGAGGAGATAAACGCTCAGCATTCTGATAACAAGGCCTGCACGGGGGACAGCTGGACCCAGAACACGGTGTGTTTCCAGCCCCTTCCCGGTCCTGTTGTGTCCATTCATTCCTTTGTCTGCTCAGTAATCAATTCCTACTGCTTTCTCTGACCCCATTCCTGGACATTGAAGTTGCAAGTTATTGCCTGGTCATCCCAGGGCAGTAACAGAGTCCAGATGATGGACTGTGGGGTCATAGGCAAGACAGCAAGTAATTCTCTTTGCAGTATAGGGGACAATATCACGGTGAAGGGGTCATGGATGATGGGTTTTGAAGGATGTATAGGAGTTTACCTAATAGAGAATAGGGGAAAGACTATTCTGGACCAAGAGAACTCTGTGTGCCAAGGTGTGGCAAGGTGTTCTGGTATTGAGTATGGCTTGGGAGGTACATGGTAAGGGTAAGGATATCAGGCTAGAGTCATCTGAAGAGGGGCCTTGTGGTCTAGGGTCAGGAACCTTCAAATCAAGCCATAAGTCAGAGAGAACAGTGGGGTCAGGATCCCAGGGTCACACACGGTGAGCTGGGGTAGGGATGGGAAATGAGGGCATGGGCCCAGGAGAGAAGATTTGGGACAGAATCAGGCAAACTGAGGGAGTCTCCATGAATTAGACCCCACATCTGGCCTGCAGCGGGTCAGAGAGGCAGATCCTGAGTGAGGAGAAGGACCCACGGCACAGACGCTGCAGAGCCTTGAAGAAGCCAGATGATTCAGCTCAGAGTTAGGCTGAATAATTATTACTGTAACTGCAGGGTTTTTTCTTGGTGTCAGATTTGGGCCTCATGTCAGCCTAGGAGGTAGCCAGGGCTGGGCCTGTCATTCCCATTTTATGGGTGAGATGACCTAGGGAGGTTGTGGGACTTGCCTGAGGCCTCGTGAAGTCCCAAGCTGGACTCCTAGGTGAGTTCTCTGAACCCAGGTTCCCCTCCCTACCCCACAGAGGCTCTTGACTCAGGTTTTGCCTCCTGTCTGCAGCCCAATGAGTACATCAAGACACTGGCCGACATGAAGGTGACGCTGAAGGAGCTGTGCTGGCTGCTCCGGGATGAACGCCGTGGTCTGACGGAGCTTCAGCAACAGTTTGCCAAGGCCAAGGCTACCTGGGAGACAGAGCGGGCAGAGCTCAAGGGCCATACCTCCCAGGTGAGCCCCCCACCTGTCAGACGCCTCTCCCCTTACTCTCAGCCAAGCCTTTAGCTGTCAGATCTGGGAGTAGAATACCAAGGCCATGCTCCTAGAGGAATAAGAATGCCGTTGCTTCACCTGTGGCCCAGAGAGGGCAAGAGACTTGCCTAAAGTCACACAGCAAGGGTATCAGAAACGGTGGGGAATGGGAGTCACAGAGGAAGGGAAGGAAGGTGGGGGATTGCGCCCTGGGCTCACAGGTGAGGCTGGTGCACATCCCCACTGCCTGCTGTCCTCATTTGCTCCTTCATTTCCTCATAAGCACTCCCTCAGCCCCAACTGCCTGGCTCTATTTTGCTCCCTCCACGCAAAATGGGGGCCTCCCCTCCCAACTCCCCAGCGTGCCCCCAAAGGAGCCTTAACCAGGAGCCCTGGGGGTTTGGTGTCTGCTGTGTGCCTGAGGGTGACTTGCTGCCTCCTTTGGCCTGAAAAGTGAGAGGGTGGGCTTCTTCCCACTCAGAGAGAATGCTCTGACCCTGCAGCTTGGGCTCCAGCTTCTTCCATCCAGCCTGCCCCTGCTGCAAGCTGCCTTCCCAGGCGTCAGCAGCCTCTGGGAGGCAGGCACTCCGATGGTCTCTGCTGGACAGATGACAAAACTGGCACAGAGGAGTTAAATTTATCTCCCAAGGTCACCCGGCTAATAAGTGTCAGACTGGCCCTTGCTCCCCCAAACCTCTAACCCCTGGCTCCCTGTGACCCCAATTCCACCTCCTTTTTTTTTTTTTTTTTTTTTTTTGAGACGGCATCTCACTGTGTCACTCAGGCTGGAGTGCAGTGGTGCAATCTTGGATCACTGCAACCTCCGCCTCCCGGGTTCAAGAGATTCTCCTGCCTCAGCCTGCAAAGCAACTGGAATTATAGATGGCACACCACCATGCCCAGCTAATTTTTGTATTTTTAGTAGAGATGGGGCTGCACCATGTTGGCCAGGCTAGTCTTGAACTTCTGATCTCAAGTGATCTGCCGGCCTCAGCCTCCCAAAGCGCTGGGAGTACTGGCGTGAGCCACCACTCCCGGCCCCAATTCCACCTTCTTCCCACTGCTCACAGTCTCCTGGCTACTTCCTGGGGCCACTACTCTCCCCTCCTAACCCTCTTCCAGATCTCACAGCTCCCTCCATCTGCATATTCCACGGTGTCCCCTGCACCTGCTGCCCCCAAAGACCTGGGCATTTCAGGTGCTCCTCCCACCAAGAACCTGACCAGCTCATGGGGGTTAATGGGGGGCATTGAGTCTAAAGGTTGCACATTCCCTTTCCTGCCACTCTGAGGTTTGAGGCCAAGAAAACCATCTTGCTGGAATGACCACTAGTAATCTTTCTGAGTTTTTATGAGGATACTGACATCATGCCTGAAAAGCCCACAGAAGAGCATGGCTTATAGAAAGAGCTCTTCAAACCCTTATTGTGTGGAGGGGTTAGGGGTTAGTTCTGAGTGGGGAGGACTAAGCTGGGTTAGTCCCTAGTGAGGGGTCTTCTGAGGGGACCTCTCCCCTTTTCCCCGCTGGCACCCAGGAGGGAAGGAGAGAGAAGGGCCAAGAGGAGTGGCCTCCTGCTGCCAGCTGCTTAGTCTGCTTCTTTCCGCAGATGGAGCTGAAGACAGGGAAGGGGGCCGGGGAGCGGGCAGGGCCCGACTGGAAGGCAGCCCTACAGCGGGAGCGTGAGGAGCAGCAGCACCTCCTAGCTGAGTCCTACAGCGCTGTCATGGAGCTGACTCGGCAGCTGCAGATCAGTGAGCGCAACTGGAGCCAGGAAAAGCTGCAGCTGGTGGAGCGGCTGCAGGGTGAGAAGCAGCAGGTGGAGCAGCAGGTGAAGGAGCTGCAGAACCGCCTAAGCCAGGTGAGGCCCACCCCTGCCAAGCCGCTTCCACCCGCAAGGGAGAGTTGCTACAGAAATGATTCAGAAGCAGGAACTCCTTCAGGTATAGCTGGATCTAGGTGCTCATCCAGTGAGGTCTGGCACACCATCTCCTTCAGGTATAGCTGGATCCAGGCACTTAGAGAATGCAGTGGGAACTAGATTTTTCTTTCTGCTTCAGCCTGTCAGGCCTGCTTTCCTCTGTGTTAGCTTTACTCTTAAACAAGCTATTCCCAAATATGGCCACTGTTAGTTTCATGCTCATATCTTACAGCTTAGCAAGTACAGTGGATTGGCCAGATATGAGTCATGTGCCCACCCCTGGAGCCTACCCAAACCCAGGAACCAAGAGGGAGGAACTAAGAGTGGTTCCCATGGGAAAATTGGGAGGCCTCCAATCAAAAGAAGGAGGAAAGGAAAAGCAATCATTGACCCTCACTCCCCATTATAGTTCACTTCATGCAGCCAGGCACCACCTACCATAGGCTGCTCTGCTCCACTCTTGATTTTGACTTTTCCCTTTCTTTCACTTTTATTTTTATTTACTTATCTATTTATTTGAGACAGAGTCTCACTCTGTCACCCAGGCTAGAGAGCACTCTCGGCTCACTGCAGCCTCCGCCTCCCAGGTTCAAGTGATTCATGTGCTTCAGCCTCCTCAGTAGCTGGGATTACAGGCGTGTGCTACCACAGCCGGCTAATTTTTATATTTTTAGTAGAGATAGGGTTTCACCATGTTGGCCAGGCTGGTCTCAAACTCCTGGCCTCAAGTGATCCTCCCGCCTCAGCCTCCCAAAGTGCTGGGATTACAGGAGTGAGCCACCATGCCCGGCCTTACTTTTATTTTATTTATTTTTATTTATTTATTTTTTCTTTGAGACAGTCTTACTCTGTCGCCCAGGCTGGAGTACAGTGGTGTGATCTCAGCTCACTGCAACCTCCACCTCCCGGGTTCAAGTGATTCTCCTGCCTCAGCCTCCCGAGTAGCTGGGATTACAGGCACGTGCCACCACACCCGGCTAATTTTTTATTTTTAGTAGAGATGGGGTTCACCATGTTGGCCAGGCTGGTCTCGAACTCCTGACCTCAGGTGATCCGCCCGCCTCGGTCTTCCAAAGTGCTGGGATTACAGGCATGAACCACCGCGCCTGGCCTTACTTTTAATTTTAATTACGTAAATCAGGACTTCATCTTTATATAATGTTCACATATTACAAAGGTACATTTCAGCCTACTCCCTCCCTTTCTTGTCATTTTTTTTTAATGAAAAAAAGTTGTTTTTTTTTTTTATGAGAGATGAGGTCTTACTGTATGGCCCAGGCTGGACTTGAGCTCCTGGTCTCAAGCCATCCTCCTACCTCAGCCTCCCGAGTCGCTGGGCCTTTCTTTCTATTTAAATTTATATTTACAGGGTTTTGTTTTGTTTGTTTTTTAATCATCAATCAAATTTTAATGTCCATTTATTTATACTTTGTGTCTTTCCTGGAGAGCTGTTCACAAGAGTATGGAGGCCTTCCTTATTCAGTGTGACTGGTGCCTGGTGTTCCTAGTGTGGAGATACTATGATTTGTTATCTACAGTGATTAAATCTAGATTGTTTCCAGTTTTTCACTATTGAAAGTTGTGACCTGAAGCTGGTTGTGGCAATGTGTGCCTGTAGTCCCAGCTACATGAGAGGCTAAGGTGGGAGGATTGCTTGAGCTCAGGAAATCAAGGCTGCAGTGAGCCATGATCATGCCACTGCACTCCAGCCTGGGCAACAGAGTGAGACTTCGTATCTAAAAAAAGAAAAAAAAAGTTCAAGTTGTGCCTCAGTGAACATCTCCACACATATATTTCTGCACACGCATGAATATTTCAGTAGGATAGATTCCTAGAGGTGAAATTGCTAAATCCAAGGGCATATGCATTTATAGTTGATGGTAACTGCCAGGCCGCCTTCTAGAAAGGCTTTGCCCATGTACCCTCCTGCCAGCTGCACAGTGAGAAGGACAAGAAGGCCCTTTTTGCTTTATCTTTGCCAGTTCCTGTGATTACCAATCTTTGAAATGTCTGCCCAAGTTAGGGTGTGAAATGCTATCTCATTGCTTTACTTTGCATTTCTCTGACTTCTACTGAAGGTGAGCATTTTTCATGAGTTTATGGATCTTAGGTATTTCCTCTTCCTAATGTTCTCTTCAGTACTTCAACAGCCTTGCAAGGTCACGTTCATGAAACCCCTTTTTCAGATGAGGAGACTGAGGCAAAGTGATTTGCCCAAGGTCATAAAGTGAGTAAGGGAGAGGACCAGAATCTGGCAGAACTCCCAGATCTGGAAAGTTCCTGGTCCTGGGCCATGCCCACTTTCCTGCAGGTAAAGAGCTCCTTTGAGGTTCACACTTGCTAGGAGGCTGTGCTTGGGGAGTGCAGGATGGCAGGCTGACTAACAAATCCCAGAACCATCCAGGTACCATGTGGAAAGCAGGTCAGATGCATGCATCTGTTTGCACCATCAAACCAAATTCCTGTCTATAAAAGAATAATTCCTTCTTATTATATTAACAACAAAATGTTTCTAAAATGATTCTGAAATTATGAAACAAGCTTCATGTCATCCCTGGGGAACATGTCAGCCCACAGGCGTGTCTTGTCAGCTCATCAGGGCACGGGTTCCATGTTCTGCTGTTGTTCTCACATCAGAGACTTGCCGGCCCTCTAGCTCCAGCCTCTTGTGTCTCTGACATTCTTCTGCCTCCTGCACTTTAAACCAAATCCCCCAAAGCAGCATTCTTCTTTACACTGGACTGACGATTAAGCCAGACTGGTGAAAGCAACAGAGTGGCTGGTGGGAAAGAGCTTCTGACCAGGAGTCCCCAGTCCTTACCTGGCTCCACCAGGTACAACCCCAGTCAAGTCACCTCTGATCTCTGGGCCTCATCTGTAAAATAAGGATGACCATTCTTGACCTTCTCATCTTGCAAGGCAGCTATGGAAATAAAGTGAGATAGCCAGAAGATTCAAAGTGCTTCTTAAGCCCACCCCTGTCTGGGGCTTGGTTTGATTCTATGGTCTTCATCTCTCATTGCTGTTTGCTGATGTTAGTGTTATTTCCCTCCTTCCCTTCCCTCCCTTCCTCCCTCCCTTCTTCTTTCTTCGTTTCTTTCTTTTCTTATTTTGAGACAAGGTCTTGCTCTGTCACCTAGGCTGGAGTGCAGTGGCACCATCTCAGCTCACTGCAACCTCCGCCTCCCAGGCTCAAGTGATCCTCCCACCTCAACCTCTCGTGCAGCTGGGAGCACACTCTACCATGCCTGGCTAACTTTTATTTATTTATTTATTTATTTATTTATTTATTTATTTATTTTTGAGATGGAGTTTCACTCTTGTTGCCCAGACTAGAGTGCAATGGCGCGATCTTGGCTCACCGCAACCTCTGCCTCCCGCGTTCAAACGATTCTCCTGCCTCAGCCTCCTGAGCAGCTGGGATTACAGGCTTATACCACCACGCCTGTCTAATTTTTTGTATTTTTAGTAGAGACAGGGTTTCTCCATGTTGGTCAGGCTGGTCTCGAACTCCCAACCTCAGGTGATCCACCTGCCTTGGCCTCCCAAAGTGCTGGGATTACAGGTGTGAGCCACCGTGCCCGGCAACTTTTGTATTTTTTTGTAGAGATGGGGTTTCGCCGTGTTGCCCAGGCTGATCTTAAACTGCTAGGCTCAAGTGATCCTCCCACCTCAGCCTCCCAAAGTGCTGGGATTATAGTTGTGAGCTGCCACACCTGGCCTAGTGTTATTTTCATTGTTGCCCTTATTACTGTTTGTCTCATGTTGAGTTTCTTAGAAGCAAAGCCCTAGACATGAATTCAAGTACAAGTAAGGTGACCAACCCATGCTGGCTTGCCTGGGACTGAGCGCGTTCCTGGGACTTTGACTTTTAAAACTAGAATAGTCCTAGCCGTAGCCTACTAGTTTTTTTTAGAACTGAGGGTTCTGGGACATGGGACTTTCAATGCAAACACTGAGAAAGTCCTGGGCAAACCAAGATGAGTTGGTTACCCTGTGTGCAAGTGATTTGTTAACGGATGGAGTCAGGATGGGGAAGGGGAAGAAACCACGTAAGATATGCTTTCAGATGAAGTCTGCCCTCGGCCTGACCCCATGACATGCCCAGGAGTGTAAACAGTAAATCACCCCACAGTTTGGTCCACCTTAAGGCAAGGGGTCTGCCTTTTGGGCCGGTCTTTTGGACCCCTGTCTTTGTCTGTCATTGGCAGTGATTCGGTTCTAATTGCCCAAGGCAATCCTCCAGAGAAGGCTGTAGTGTCAGATGGTACAGATGGAGCCACCAACAATGGGAAGTGCTACACGATCATTCACTCAGTCAGCTGCCCAACCTCTTCTCTCAGTCTTGATCCTCTCATCTGCCAAATGGAAATAACCACAAGAACACCTATCATACACTGTTTCTGTGAGGATTAAATCAACTAATGCGGCCAGACGCGGTGCCTCACACCTGTAATCCCAGCATTTTAGGAAGTCGAGGCAGGCGGATCACCTGAGTCAGGAGTTCAAGACCAGGCTGGCCAACATGTGAAACCCGTCTCTACTAAAAACACAAAAATTAGCCAGGCGAGGTGGCTCATCCCTGTAAATGCCAGCCACTCGGGAGGCTGAGGCAGGAGAATTGCTTGAACCTGGGAGGCAGAGTTTGCAGTGAGCTGCGATCGTACCACAGCACTCCAGTCTGGACAACAGAGTAAGACCCTGTCTCAAAAAAAAAAAAAAATTAACTAATGTGTGCATAGGAGATAGGTTCCATCACAAGCCACCTGGAAGTGATGGAGCTCCAAAGAGGGGAGAGAAGCAGAGGCCCCTCAAGGCCCAGCAGGAAAAAGTGCCGAGATCCATAAATGACGGCCACTGTGGATGGAGCAGTGGGGGTGCCTGGATCTTACATTTGCCACTCTGATGGGATGTAGCTGCTGCTTAGCTAGTCTAGCTGTTCTGTGAATTGTAACATGAATTCACATAGTCATGGCTGTTACTATATTAGGTATAATGACATCTAGAAGGATGCCTGCAAGTAGTTCCTTTTATTATCATTTTCCAAATCCACCAGGCAGAGTGGGGCGCTCTGAGCTGCTACCCACTGAGAAGGTGGCCCCTTGTCCATGATGTAGGTTCTGTGGGCTGCAGAGTGGAGTCTGGGGAATGGCCTTGCTTAGAGCAGGGTCCTGCATACCAGCTTTGCCCATTACCGACCCACCCTCTCTGCCCTTGCCCAGCTGCAGAAGGCTGCCGACCCCTGGGTCCTGAAGCACTCGGAGCTGGAGAAGCAGGACAACAGCTGGAAGGAGGTGAGTGGGGCGGCTGCTGCCATGCTATCTTGGCTCCTGGCTGCACCATAAAGGTCCCTGCTTGTGGGGGACATGAGAGGAAGTTGCTAACCCTGTCTCATAGGTCACACCCTTGCACCTTGGGCTCCTCAGCCCTGGAGTCTGTATCTCATGGTTCCTGCCTCAAAAAAATAAAAAAAAAACCCAACCACCCAGGGACTGGGCTAAGTGAGGGGGTAGGGTTGAGGAGGAAGAAGACAAGCCCACCACCAGCTGAGCAGTGGACCACTGGATGCTTTGTTGCAGTCACCACATTTGGATTAAATTTTAAGTGGTCCCTTTCCTTGGGTGGGTCACTCTTGGAGCTCTGATTGGCCCAGCCTGGATCACATATGGTGGGGGAGTTGGATGCAGGGCAGCCAGAAACTGACCATGCTAGATCATTGATGACATCATTCCTGCTCTCCGGATGAGGAGATTCAAGCACTGAGGTCGGGGCTGGTCTCTTGTTCCATGCCCTTAGTGCTCTGGTGGCCAGAACTGACCCTTCCTGTCTCTCTTCCTTGACAGACACGCAGTGAGAAGATCCACGACAAGGAGGCTGTTTCCGAAGTTGAGCTTGGAGGAAATGGTTTAAAGAGGTGCTTGCATGCTGGTCCCCTGCTCTGCCTCTCTGACCGGCCCCACAGCCTCGCCCCTCTCCACCTCCTGCTGCGCCCTGCACCCACTCTACCTGCTTTCACCGCAGCCCTGCCCCGCCCCTTTGCCCTCTTCCTGCCGCCACCCCACCGCATCCAAGTTGGGAGAGCATCGGGATATGGTTTCTCTGGAACCCGAGCCACTCAGGAGCTGGAAGGCTTGGGGCAGTGGGAATTCCAGGCTGCTGCATGTTGTTTGAGTCCGGGAATGGAACACAGGTGGAAACAAAACATTTTGCTCCTCTTGGGATTCTTTTCTCCTGCCTCTGGAGTTAGGAGAGTCAAGATTGACCTCTATTCCTGGGATTATTGAGCAGCATCCTTTGGGCCCAGCCCTGTGCTATGGCCAAGGAGACCCCCACCCCAAGACCATAAGGACCACGTCTCCACTGTTAGGAAACCCATGAAAGGAGTCAGGGAAACAGAACCCCCAGCCGCTATCAGACCAGCCCAGAAGCAAGGCAGGCGGGACAGGCTGTGGAGCCAGAGGGCCAGGTTTGAATGCCAGCCCTGCCAGTTCTAGCTCTATGACCTTGACCTTGAGCAGTACTTCCCATCTCTGTCTAGTGGGGATGATAGGAGCTGCCTCTTGAAGTTAATCAGAGTGGTCTGACACGTGCATTTCCATATGCCTGGTGTGTTCAGTGATTCAGGCAATAGGTGTGCCAGGAGCTTCATGGCGTCTTAGTTTGGGTTCCCCCATAAGCAAACCCTGAGACAAAGATTTAAGTGCAAATGGTTTATTTGGGACAGAATTTCAGGAAACACTTGGAAGTGAGACAGGGAAGGGAAAGCAGCCGATAAAAGGAGCTTCAACCAGGTTATTCCACGGGCAACTGGAGTTCAGGCTGTCGGAGGAACTCAGGGAGCCAGAGGAGAACATGCAGCTTAGAGTCATCCCACCACAAGGAGGCTGGGGCACTTGTTCACCATATCCCACCTATTGTTTGTTGAGGGCTGTGTTTAGGGGTGTGAACTCATTAACTCTGTGCTATCTCTAGCTTCGGTTTGGGCGTGTGTTTTGTTTTTTTTGTTTTTGTTTTTTTTTTGAGGCAGAGTTTTGCTCTGTCTCCCAGGGTGGAGTGCAATGGCACAATCTTAGTTTACTGCAACCTCCACCTCCCAGGTTCAAGCAATTCTCCTGCCTCAGCCTCCTGAGTAGCTGGGGTTACAGGCTAACGCCACCACGCTTGGCTAATTTTTGTATTTTTACTAAGAGATAGGGTTTTACCATCTTGGTCAGGCTAGTCTCAAACTCCTGACCTCAGGTGATCTGCCTGCCTCAGCATCCCAAAGTGCTGGGTCTAGCTTCTTCTATGTGTAGGACAGCCAAGTATGATCCCACAGGCAGAAAAAAAAACCATCAGATAGAGAATGGTGGAGTATGCAGTTCAGAGTATGCAGTTTTAGGTGTATAGGTGAAAGTGCAAAGAGAGGCCAGGTGCAGTGGCTCATGCCTCTAATCCCAGCATTTTGAGAGGCAGAGGCAGGAAGATCTCTTGAGGCCAGAAGTTTGAGACCAGCCTGGGCAACATAGGGAGATCCCCATCTCTACAAAAAATTTTTTAAAAATTAGCCAGGTGTTAGGCTGGGCACAGTGGCTCACATCTGTAATCCCAGCACTTTGGGAGGCTGAGGCGGGTGGATCACCTGAGGTCAGGAGTTCCAGACCAGCCTGGCCAACATGGTGAAACCCCGTCTCTACTAAAAATACAAAAATTAGCTGGGCGTGGTGGCGCACGCCTGTAATTTCATCTGCTCCGGATGCTGAGACAGGAGAATCTCTTGAACCTGGAGGGTGGAAGTTGTAGTGAGCCGAGATCATGCCACTGCACTCCAGCCTGGGTGACAGAACAAGACTCTGTCTCAAGAAAAAAAAAAGAAAAAAAAAAGCCAGGTTTGGTGGTGCACACCTGTAGTCCCAGCTACTCTGGAGGCTGAAATGGGAGGATCACTTGAGCCCAGGAGTTTGAGGCTGCAGTGAGCTATTATTGCACTACTGCATTCCAGCCTGGGTGACATATCAAGACCTGTTTGGGAGAAAAAAAAAAAAAAGAAAATGCAGACAGAATGTGGGACTGGGCACCAACAACATCTCTACAAGAGGTGAACAAGACGGTCCTGGTCTTTGCCCTCACGCAGCACACGGACCAGGGTGGTAGACCAGAGTGTGCCCTCAGTGTTATTTCCACTAATAACGACGTTTCCTCCTCTGTCCTTCGCAGAACCAAATCTGTTTCTTCCATGTCTGAGTTTGAAAGTTTGCTCGACTGTTCCCCTTACCTTGCTGGCGGAGATGCCCGGGGCAAGAAGCTGCCTAACAACCCTGCCTTTGGCTTTGTGAGCTCCGAGCCAGGGGATCCAGAGAAAGACACCAAGGAGAAGCCTGGGCTCTCGTCGAGGGACTGCAACCACCTGGGTGCCCTGGCCTGCCAGGACCCCCCAGGGAGGCAGATGCAGCGCAGCTACACGGCTCCTGACAAGACGGGCATCCGAGTCTACTATAGTCCCCCGGTGGCCCGGCGCCTCGGAGTCCCTGTGGTTCATGACAAAGAGGGCAAGATCATTATCGAGCCCGGCTTCCTCTTCACCACAGCCAAGCCCAAAGAGTCGGCCGAGGCTGATGGGCTGGCTGAGAGCTCCTATGGTCGGTGGCTCTGCAACTTCTCACGGCAGCGCCTGGACGGAGGCTCAGCGGGCAGCCCCTCGGCGGCCGGGCCTGGCTTCCCAGCGGCCCTGCATGACTTTGAGATGTCAGGCAACATGAGTGATGACATGAAGGAGATCACCAACTGTGTGCGCCAGGCCATGCGCTCCGGCTCACTGGAGAGGAAAGTGAAGAGCACATCCAGCCAGACGGTGGGCCTGGCCAGTGTGGGCACACAGACCATCCGCACGGTCAGCGTGGGCCTGCAGACCGACCCACCCCGCAGCAGCCTCCATGGCAAGGCCTGGTCACCCCGCAGCTCTTCGCTCGTGTCTGTGCGCAGCAAGCAGATCTCCTCCTCCCTGGACAAGGTCCATTCGCGCATCGAGCGGCCCTGCTGCTCCCCCAAGTATGGCTCACCAAAGCTCCAGAGGCGGTCTGTGTCCAAGCTGGACAGCAGCAAGGACCGCAGCCTGTGGAACCTGCACCAGGGCAAGCAGAACGGCTCGGCCTGGGCCCGCTCCACCACCACGCGGGACAGCCCTGTATTGAGAAACATCAACGATGGACTCTCCAGCCTCTTCAGTGTGGTGGAGCACTCAGGGAGCACGGAGTCTGTCTGGAAACTAGGCATGTCTGAGACGCGGGCCAAGCCCGAGCCTCCCAAGTACGGCATTGTGCAGGAATTCTTCCGTAATGTGTGTGGCCGGGCACCGAGCCCCACCTCATCAGCAGGAGAGGAGGGCACCAAGAAGCCAGAGCCCCTCTCCCCAGCCAGCTACCATCAGCCAGAGGGTGTGGCCAGGATCCTGAACAAGAAGGCAGCCAAGTTGGGCAGCAGTGAGGAGGTCAGACTCACCATGCTCCCCCAGGTGGGGAAGGATGGTGTCCTCCGGGACGGAGATGGAGCCGTGGTCCTTCCCAATGAGGTAGGTGGGTGGGATCTGTCCTTTCTCTTAGTAGGTGGAGTTAGTATATAAGGTCCAAGCTCTTTTGGTTTTTAAGTTCAGAGATATGGGCCGAGGTGGGTGGATCGCCTGAGATCAGGAGTTCAAGACCAGTCTGGCCAACATGGTGAAACCCCATCTCTACTAAAAATACAAAAATTGGCCAGGCGTGGTGGCATGCACCTGTTGTCCCAGCTGCTCTGGAGGCTGAGGTAGGAGAATCACTTGAACCCAGTAGGCGGAAGTTGCAGTGAGCTGAAATTGTGCTATTGCACTCCAGCCTGGGTGACAGACTAAGACTCCGTCTCACCAAAAAAAAAAAATTATCTATCTGTCTGTCTGTCTGTCTGTCTGTCTGTCTGTCTGTCTGTCTATCTATCTATCTATCTATCTATATATCTATATATATAAAATAAAAATTCAGGGATATGGCCATGTGTTCCAGGAAGTTCTTATGCTGGTCTAGGATAGAGTTGGAAGGTCCCAGACCTGGAACAACACAGACCTGATGGTCACATGGTCTGAATTCCAAGAGACTAGTGAGCATGGCTTAACTAGCAGCTTTTGCTCCACCCACCAGAGACTGCCAGCATCCCCTCCAGGGAAGGGGCCTTACTGCTCTCCTGCCACCCAGTGGTGTGCTAGAGCCAGCTTGTTTGGCTTGCAGGAGCCAATTGTCAGCATCTCTGTGGGTTTTTTTTTTTTTATTGTTTTTGTTTTTGTTTTGAGAGAAGTCTCGTTCTTGTCCCCCAGGCTTGAGTGCAATGACTCAATCTCGGCTCACTGTAACCTCCGCCTCCTGGGTTCAAACAATTCTGTCTCTGCCTCCCAAGTAGCTGGGATTAAGGCACCTGCCACCATGCCCGGCTAATTTTTGTATTTTTTAGTAGAGACGGGGTTTCACCATGTTGGCCAGGCTGGTCTCGAACTCCCGACCTCAAGTGATCCGCCCACCTTGGCCTCCCAAAGTGTTAGGATTACAGGCGTGAGCCACCGCGCCTGGCCACATCTCTGTGTTTAACATCACCTTGGTACCTTGAGATTGGCCACAGTGGGAGGATTTACAGCATAAAAATTGGTAAACACTACAAATCGGGGCTCCTCCTATCACTCCTGGAAAACTAATTGTTAAACATTAGCGGGCATACCACTTCTCCACCCCATCAAGACTTCACACCTAAGTGCTCACATTTCCTCTGAGAATCTTTCACACCCCACTCCTGCTATCAGTTTCTTATAAGTTAATTAGTAAACCTTATTTGAATGTTAGTGAGCATTATTTGAATGTGTTAGAATGTGCATAAGTTAACTTTGCAGAAAGGGAAGGAAATGTATTTGAAGGATGGCATGTTTTATAAAACCCAAGAGTAGGAACCTGACAACCTCAGCAGCTTCTCCCTGTCTTCCTCTCCTCTCTTTAAGCTTCACCCTCTCTGATATCATATTCCTCCTTTTTCTCTGTTTCTCTCTCTGTTGCATTTGCACAAGGACTGGGTGGGCTGTCCCAGCTCTGACTTTACAACATCTTCCAGTTCAAGCCCCTAGGAGAGACTGACACAAATCCCTGTCTCCCAATTCCACATTTCTGAAAGAAGGAAACTCTGATTGGTGCAGCTAGAGGCGAGTGTACCCCTTGGTCCAGTCTATGGCTGGGAGTGGTACCATGTGGTCTGCTGTGGGGCACAGAGACATGAGAAGGGCTGTGTGTGGAATGGGCTGTGATAGACTCAAACATTCTACTTTTCTATTATTGTACGTTTAGGTGGTTTCTAGTTTGTCCCTACTGCAAATAATGCTGTGGTGAACATCTTGGTGCAAAATCATTTTTTTACATTTCAGACTATTTCCTTAGGTATAAGTTGCAGAAATGAGATTAAAGGATAATAGAATATAAATGTGGCCGGGCGCGGTGGCTCATGCCTGTAATCCCAGCACTTTGGGAGGCCGAGGCGGGTGGATCACAAGGTCAGGAGTTTGAGATCAGCCTGGCCAATATGGTGAAACCCTGTCTGTACTAAAAATACAAAAATTAGCCGGGCATAGTGGTGGTCACCTGTAGTCCTAGCTACTCAGGAGGCTGAGGCAGGAGAATCGCGTGAACCCAGGAGGCGGAGGCTGCAGTGAGCTGAGATGGTACCACTGCACTCCAGCCTGGGTGACAGAGTGAGACTCCATCTCCACACAAAAAAAAAAATATAAATGTTTTAAAGTTATTTGATAAATACTGCCAAATTGTTTTTCAAAAGTGTGCCATATCTACAGCTTCCAGCAGTGTGTGGCGAGTGCGTTACTTTTCTATACTCTCACTCAGCTGGCTGACATTTAAAAACATCTTTTAAATATTTATTCCTTTTTTGGCCAGGTGCAATGGCTCATGTCTCTAATCCCAGCACTTTGGGAGACTGAGGTGGGCAGATCACTTGAGCTAGGAGTTCAAGACCAGTCTGAGCAACATGGTGAGAGCTCATCTCTACATTAAAAAAAAAAAAAAAGAGGCCAGGCATGGTGGCTTACGCCTGTAATCCTAGCACTTTGGGAGGCCGAGGCAGGTGGATTGCCTGAGCTCAGGAATTTAAGACCAGCCTGGGCAACACAGTGAAACCCCATCTCTACTAAAAAATACAAAAAATTAGCCAGGCGTGGCAGCATGCGCCTATAGTCCCAGCTACTCGGGAGGCTGAGGCAGGAGAATTGCTTGAAGCCGGGAGGTGGAGGTTGCAACAAGCTGAGACCACGCCACTGCACTCTAGCCTGGGCAACAGAGCAAGACTCCATCTTTTAAAAAAAAAAAAAAAAAAAAAAGGGCCAGGCGTGGTGGCTCACACCTGTAATCCCAGCACTTTGGGAGGCCGAGAGAGGTGGATTGCTTGAAGCCAGGAGTTTGAGACCAGCCTGGCCAACGTAGCAAAACCCTGTCTCTACTTAAAAAATACAAAAATTGGCCGGGCGCAGTGGCTCACGCCTGTAATCCCAGCACTTTGGGAGGCTGAGGTGGGTGGATCATGAGGTCAGGAGATCGAGACCATCCTGGCTAACACAGTGAAACCCCGTCTCTACTAAAAATACAAAAAGTTAGCCAGGCGTGGTGGCAGGCGCCTGTAGTCCCAGCTACTCGGGAAGCTGAGGCAGGAGAATGGCATGAACCCGGGAGGCGGAGCTTGCAGTGAGCCGAGATCGCGCCACTGCACTCCAGCCTGGGTGACAGAGCGAGACTCCATCTCAAAAAAAAAAAAAAAAAAAAATACAAAAATTAGCTGGGCATGGTGGCACATGCTTACAGTTCCAGCCACTTGGGTGATTGAGGCATGAGAATTGCTGGAACCCAGGAGGCAGTGAGCCAATATCGCACCACTGCACTCCAGCCTGAGCAACAGAGTGAGACTCTGTCTCAAAAATAAATAAATAATAAAGTCTCAAGGCAGGAAAAAAGCAAGTGTCTCAGTCTGAAGGCTGTCAGGCAGGAAGAATTCTCTTACTTGAGGGAGAGTAAGCCCTCTTGTTCTGTTCAAGCCTTTAACTGACTGGATGGGGTCCATGTTAGGGAGAATTCGCTTTTTTTTTTTTTTGAGACGGAGCCTCACTCTGTCACCCAGGTTGGAATGCAGTGGTGTGATCTCGGCTCACTGCAACCTCTGCCTCCCAGGCTCAAGCGATTCTTGTACCTCAGCTTCCCAACCAAGTAGCTGGGATTACAGGCACATGCCACCACGCCCGGCTACTTTTTTATTTTTAGTAGAAATAGGGTTTCACCATGTTGGCCAGGCTGGTCTCGAACTGCTAATCTCAAGTGATCCGCCTGCCTCAGTCTCCCAAAGTGGTGGGATAACAGACGTGAGCCACTGCGCCTGGCTGAGAATTTACATGTTAATCTCATCTCAAAGCACTCTGACAGAAACACCCAGAACAATGTTTTACGTAATATCTCGGCACCTGTGGCCCAGTCATATTGAATATAAAATTAACCATCACTTCCATATAACCAGCACCACATCAAGAAACAACAGCACAAAGCTGGCTGGATTTTGAATGTTGATTTTAAAGTTGATCCAAATATTGTTCAGTATGTAAAATGTGCGTGCTACCCATTGACCCAGTAGTTCTTCTTTTACGAAGGTAGCCTATGGAAATATTCACAGAGATGGATAAAGAAAAATAAAAAGAGGCTGGGCGCAGTGGCTCACCCAATCACCTGAGGTCGGGAGTTTGAGACCAGCCTGACCAATGCCGAGAAACCCCATCTCTACTAAAAATACACAATTAGCCGGGCGTGGTGGCACATGCCTGTAATCCCAGCTACTCGGGAGGCTGAGGCAGGAGAATCGCTCGAACCCGGGAGGCAGAGGTTGCTGTGAGCTGAGATCGCATCATTGCACTCCAGCCTGGGCAACAAGAGCTAAACTCTGTCTCAAAAAAAAAAAAAAAAAGAAAAGAAAAGAAAAAGAAAAAAAGAGAGAGGGGAGGAAATCAAAGCTCAAGAGAGGTTAAGTAAATCTCCCAAGGTCACACAGCTAGTAATTGGCAAAGCTGGGATTTAACCAAGCAGTTTGGCTCTATCACAGCACTTTTATTTTATTTATTTATTTATTTATTTTTGAGACGGAGTCTCGCTCTGTTGCCTAGGCTGGAGTGCAGTGGCACGATCTTGGCTCACTGCAAGCTCCGCCTCCCAGGTTCACGCCATTCTCCTGCCTCAGCCTCCTAAGTAGCTGGGACTACAGGCACCTGCCACCGCGCCCGGCTAATTTTTTGTATTTTTAGTAGAGACGGGGTTTCAGATGGTCTCGATCTCCTGACCTCGTGATCCACCCGCCTTGGCCTCCCAAAGTGCTGGGATTACAGGCATGAGCCACCGCGCCCGGGCCATTTTATTTATTTTTTAAAGAGATGGGGTCTTGCTCTATTGCTCAAGCCAGAGCCCAGTGACACAATCATAGCTCACTGCTGCCTTGACCTCCTGGGCTCAAAGGATCCTCCTGTCTCAGCCTCCCACATGGCCCAGCCCAGCAGCACTTTTTTTTTTTTTTTTTTTTGAGATGGAGTCTCACTCTGTCCCCCAGGCTGGAGTGCAGTGATGTGATCTCGGCTCACTGCAACCTCCGCCTCCTGAGTTCAAGCCGTTCTGCTGCTTCGGTCTCCCAAGTAGCTGGGACTGCAGGAATGTGCCACCATGCCCGGGTAATTTTTGTATTTTGAGTAGAGATGGGGTTTCACCATGTTGGCCAGCCTGGTCTTGAACTCCTGACCTCAGGTGATCCACCTGCCATAGCCTCCCAAAGTGCTGGCATTACAGGTGTGAGCCACCATGGCCAGCTGTCCAGCAGCACTTTTTTTTTTTTTTTTTTTTTCAGATGGAGTCTTGCTCTTTCACCCAGGCTGGAGTGCAGTGGCACAATCTCAGCTCACTGCAACCTCCGCACCCTGGGTTTAAGCGATTCTCCTGCCCTAGCCTCCCGAGTAGCTGGGACTACAGGCGCATGCCACCATGCCCAGCTAATTTTTGTATTTTTAGTAGAGATGGGGTTTCACCATGTTGGCCAGGATGGTCTCGATCTCCTGACCTCGTGATCCACCTGCCTCAGCCTCCCAAAGTGCTAGGATTACAGGCATGAGCCACCGTGCCTGGCAGCAGCACTTTTGATCATTATTTCTGTTTATTGGTAATAGTAAAAAATTAGAAACTACCCAGATGTACATAAAAAGTGAATTGGGGCCAGGCACAGTGGCTCACACCTGCAATCCCACCACTTTGGAAGGCCGAGGCGGGCAGATCACTAGAGGTCAGGAGTTTGAGCCTGACCAACATGCTAAAATCCCCTCTCTACTAAAAATACAAAAATTAGCTAGGCATGGTGGCACACGCTTGTAATCTTAGCTACTTGGGAGGCTGAGGCACAAGAATCACTTGAATCCGTGAGGTGGAGGTTGTAGTGAGTCAAGATCGTACCACTGCACTCCAGCCTGGGGAACAGAGCAAGATTCTGTCTAAAAAATAAAAAAATAAAAAAAGCGAATTGGGTATATAAATCAGTTATTTCTATCTAGTGAAATGGTACAGAGACACTAAAAAAGAAGGCGATCAGCCAGGCATGGTGGCTCATGCCTTTGGGAGGCATGAGCACCCAAAGGTGCTAATTCCAGCAGTTTGGGAGGCTGAGGCAGGAGGATCGCTTGAGCCCAGGAGTTCAAGACCAGCCTGAGCAACATAGTGAGACCCTGTCTCAAACGAAAAAAAAGGATAAAAAGGAAGGAGATCTAGACATACCTAGTGACAGAAAAGTGTTCGTGTTTTACAGTTGCAAAATAAGCTGTCATTTTGGTAAATGTATGTTAAGAATCTCTTTGGCGTGCAGGACCATGGACAGTGTCCACTGTCCTCTCTGTATAGCCTAGAATATATTACAATGAACTTCCATTACCGCTCTAATGGGAGAAGAACAACAGAAAGAAAAAATTGGTCCAGTGAGGAGCTTCAGCCCCTGGGAACTGGTTTATGGCCGAGTCTCAGTTCCTTGCCTGGCATACCACACAGCTCATGGTGGTCCATGTCTCCTGGCTCCTCTTGACTTCCTGCCTCCCTGCCTCCCTCTTCCTAGGACGCTGTTTGTGACTGTAGTACCCAGTCTCTCACCTCCTGCTTCGCCCGATCGTCCCGCTCTGCCATCCGCCACTCTCCTTCCAAGTGCAGGCTGCACCCTTCAGAGTCCAGCTGGGGTGGGGAGGAGAGGGCACTCCCCCCCAGCGAGTGACAGAGCAGCCAAGCTCCCCGCCTCAACCAGCCCAGCCCCTGGATAGCAGAAGGGAACCAGCAGAGACGAGACGAGGTGAGGCGAGGGGCTGTGTCCTCAGCATTGCCTGGCCCTGGAGGGACAGCAGTGATGCCACTGCCAGAATGCAGCTTTCACATCAAGGTAAAGCCGGGTCTCCTGCTGGCCCCTGGGTGGTGAGCTTCGACTTCCCAGGGGAAGGCAGTGAGTGGGAGAGAGACCAAACCTGGGCTTCCCAAGCATCCACTGAGAGATCTGTCAAGAGCCGATCCCTGGGTCCTAAGAGAGAGCCTTGCCTGGTTCTGCCCATGCCACCCTCTTGGAAGAGCCCAAGAAGGATACATGTCTGGCCATGCCTTTGGGGAAAAGGAGTCGGAGAGATGTTTCCTGCTGACCATCCACCCCTTCATTTGGGAGGAGACACTGCTGAGAAGAACAGGCTTTGCTCTAGGGCTCCATGTTTGGTTCCTGGTGGAGCCCTGTTGGGCATCATCACCATCACCTCCTTCTCTCCACCACCTCCTCCTCCCAGCCCCACTGCTCTAGATTGCTGGGACACTAGGGAGTATGATAGGGCAGTAGCCAGGGCCATTGCTTAGTGTCCTGGAGCCCTGGATCTCCCTGCCCATAGCCTGGATGCAGCAAGAGCTGGGAGGCGAAGTGGAAACATGCAGGGCTCAGGGTTGGGGAGTGATTGCAATTGCCTTCCTTGCCAAAGTGACTTGGGGCCCCAACGTTCCCAGCAGACCCCTTGAGGACAGAAATAGGTAGAGTCAGTCTCAAGACCTGGTGCATAGATAAATGCCTAAATACACTGCCTTGATCTCAAGTGATCTCAGAGGCCTCTTTCCCTGGCACCCTGAGAGGCAGCAGGCACTACATCTCCACTGTGTTTACATCCTGCAGCTGGTCGGGGGGCAAAGATATTCCCAGTAAGAGATTCTTGGTTGGCCAGGTCAGGCCCAGGAGAACACCAAGAGGCCAGAGCCCAGGACACAGCAGTAGACTGGGGCCTGGAAACACGTATCTTGCCTAGATTGTTTATTTGAATTTTTCCTACTATAAATATTTAAGGTGGTTTACTTTATTTTAATAATTTAATTTACCCCAAAGTCCCTAAGGTAATTTATTGGAGGTTGAAACATGCATTCTTGCCACTGGGACAACATGAGGCCTCTAACAGCACGGGCAGGCATGGGGTCCCCTGGGTGGACGAGGCCGCTTGGCAGCCAGGTTTGGAGACCTGGCCTCCTGGTCAGCTTTGGAGGGCCCCTCAACAGAGCTGGAGCCCTGCACCCCAACACGGCTGGCCATGTGGCCTCAGAACACTACTTATTACTCAATGCCTGGTACTTGGCCAGCCCCAGCGGTCAGTCTATAAATACTCACTGACAAGGTGGAGGGCTGGACGGCCATCACCACTCCCCAGACGTTCTCCATTGCCTGTCTCATTTCCCTCCCTCCCTCTGACACCTTTCTTCATGAGTCGAACGTGGATTACTAAAGCTCTATTAAGAGTGTGGAGATCCCTCCAAGTTTCCCAAATGAGAACTCACAGGAAAACAGGACTGAACTTTGAGAATGTTGTTTATCGCAGCTTTGCACATAAACCTGAGTGTCTCCCAGCCTGCCTCGGTTCTCACCAGCCTGCCAGCCTTTTCACCAGCCTCTCTCCTTAGCCTTATGGCCTTTCACGGCTCTTCTCCCTGCCCCAGCTCTGCTGCCCGCCCTTCCTCACGTCCCCTGTGAGCTGCCTGAGCCATTGGTTGGATTTCGATGTGGCTCATTGCAGCATGTGGGGCAGCGCCTCCCATGGCCTCGCCTTGGTGCCGGTGAACCCCTTTTGGTTGCACACATGCTCCCCACACACACATAGACATCAGCCTTCCTGTAACTGACTGGGGACCCAGAGTGGAAACACCAGGATGGATCAGCTTGTCTGCAGAATTGCCCATCAGGAAGACCAAAAGCCAGTAGCTTTGCTGATCTGCCCCCAGGACTCTGGAGGCGCCCCTGCACTCCCACCTCCCACCTGCCAGTTCCCAGACCCACCCATTCGGGATCACCTGGACCAGTTACCCCAAGTCCTGCATCTCCCTTCCCTGCAGGCTGAACACCAGGGTCATGCCAGTCCCGCCAGCCGCCTCCTCCATGCCCCAGTGACTGGTGTGGGCAGAGCAGGCAGCCAGTGGAGCTGTGGGCCAGTTCCGCTCTTGGATGCTGCTGCTCTCACCCATGAGGTCAGGGGGGCCCTCCAAGGTTATCTCCAGGTGAGGGGATTCACATCAGGCCACAAGCCACCAGAGGCCTTCTGCCACCTCCCAGAGCGACAGCCAGGGAGGCTGCGTACTCAGCCTCGGGGAGAAATCCCCGTGGGACCTGAGCCCCAAGACCTACGGACCACTCAGCCTTACCATCGTACCGTCCAGGATTGTCCTTGCCATCTTTGTTGTCTCAGCCAGACCTTGGTTTTCAGTAAAGCCCCAGTTTCTACTTCCTGCATGCCACTGTGCAAGGCCACTCATCACTGTTCCTGCAGAAGCCTCTGGACGTGGGGCTGGATGGGGTTGAAAATGTTACATGTAAATATTGGTTTGGTTCGGTTTTTAGCATTTTACTTGGTAACTGGTTGTTTTCTTTTTTGGGGTGGGGGGATTGGTTTGTAAAAATTCTCTACTCTTTTGGAATGTGATTTCTAAGTTTGTTGGTTTCTTCAAATGCCTTTTAAGTCTTGGTAACATTCCCAAAGCAGAAAACTGCCTGACCCACAGTGGGGATTCCCTGGAGAATTGGGGTCCCAAGAAGGAATGCTGCCCTTCTCGAACCCGTTCTCCCCCTTCCTCCTGCCTCTCTGCCTTTTACTGCTATTCCCTTCTTCTCCTCCTTTATCCTTCTTTCTGTTTTCCCCATCTCCACTCTCTCTTCAACCAAAGTCCCAAGGAACCCTCGGGGCTCAATCCCCCATAGACCACTTGGCTTGGGTCCATGGGGTTGGCATCAGTTGGTTGGCGGAAATGGGGGACCAGTTGGCATGATGGCCCTAAACTGGGAAACCTCATGTTTCTTATGTCTCACCTCTTTCCAGAGCCAAATCAGCCCCTTTTGGAATGATGACTTCATTGGAATGCAAATCAAGTCATTTTGGTGCATCAGTGGCTCTTAGGCCTGCACACACGAGACATCAGAATCCAATCCTCTGACCCTGTGCCAGCCCTTTCCCCCAGTTTATTTCCCACCAAAGGCTGACCTCTAAGAGGTCTTGCTTTCTATGAACTCAAGATGGGTCCCACCTCTAGGTGTCCCCAGGTGCACTCTTCTACCGGTTGGCTTCCGATGTGACAAGGCCAAGGGCCCAAAGACTTGACCCTCTTACACCCTTGCTGACATGGTTCCATCATGTCCACCCGCATGCACTTTTATGGTTTCATCACCCAGCCTCTTCTCCTCTGGCCCACCCAGCGTCCAGGCTCTTTCTCCCTCTCCCCTCCTATCTAGAATGTCCCCTGCTTCTAGCCTCACCAGACCCCCCAAGCTCCCACTACTTCTTCCATAATAATAGTAATAACAATGGTTATCATCATCCCCTGCACATCCCGCCTAAAGCACTTTACTATATAGAAAACGTTTCCCCTGGCCGGGCATGGTGGCTCACGCCTGAAATCCCAGCTCTTTGGGAGGCTGAGGCGAGCGGATCAGTTGAGGTCAGGAGTTCAACGCCAGCCTGGCCAACGTGGTGAATCCCTGTCTGTACTAAAAGTACAAAAAATTAGCTGAGCATGGTGGTGCGTGCCTGTAATCCCAGCTACTCGGGAGGCTGAGGTGGGAGAATCGCTTGAGCCCAGGAGGCGGAGGTTGCAGGAGCAGAGATTGCGCCACTGCACTCCAGCCTGGATGACAGAGTGAGACCCAATCTCAAAAAAGAAATCGTTTCCCACCCCACATCTCCTTCAGACCTCTCAGGGACAACTCTGGGAGGCAGCCTTGGCAGGACATGGGTTAGTGCGCCCATTTTGCTGTGAGGAAACTGAGGTACAGGTCTCATCCCAGAGCATGAGAAGTCACTGAGTTTAGATGAGAACTTGGGTCCAACTCTGTCCTGTTTGCTGTGCAAATCCGCTGCCCTGCTGGGGGCTTTTGGTGGGTCCAGAATACCCAGAATATGCTGCTGGCCAACCCAGGCATAAAACAAGTCCATTCTAGATCACTGAGCCTTGTGTATTCCAGAGGGTGATCTGAGGTCCCCATTCAGCAGAATTCTCTGAGGGCATGTTCAGAATGTAGATTCCTGGGCCCCACCTTGAATTTGCATGTTTAACAAACTCTCCTGGGGTTGAGGGGTGGGTGCAGTGGTCACACCTGTAATCCCAGCACTTTGGGAGGCTGAGGCGGGTGGATCACTTGAGCTCAGGAGTTCGAGCCTGGCCAATATGGTGAAACCCTGTCTCTACTAAAAATGCAAAAATTAGCCAGGTGTGGTGGCACATGCCTGTAATCCCAGCTACTTGGGAGGCTGAGGCAGGAGAATCACTTGAACCTGGTGGGGAGCAGCGGTTGCAGTGAGCCGAGATTGTGCCATTGCGCTCTAGCCTGGGCAACGGAATGAGACTTGTCTCAAAAAAAATAAAAAATAAAACCAGCCCTCCCCGGGGGATCTTAGGCACTATTGGCCACACCATTGGTGTTCGTGGCCCTGATTATTAGGCTATCTTTCTTTTTTTAAGTTTTTTTAGATTTATTTTTTATTTTATTTATTTATTTATTTATTATTTATTATTATTATTTTTAGAGACAGGGGGTCTCCCTATGTTGCCCAGGCTGGTTTCAAACTCCTGGGCTCAAGTGATCTGCCCTCCTCAGCCTCCCAAAGTGCTGGGGTTACAGGCAGGCATCAGCCACCGTGCCAGGTCATCTTCCTTTTTCTTTTTTTTTTGGAGACAGAGTCTTGCTCTGTCATTCAGGCTGGAGTACAGTGGCGCCATTTCAGCTCACCGCAGCCTCCACCTCCCAGGTTCAAGCAGTTCTCCTGCCTCAACCTCCCGAGTAACTGGGATTACAGGTGTGTGCCACCACACCCGACTAATTTTTTTATTTTTAGTAGAGACGGGGTTTCACCATGTTGGCCAGGCTGGTCTTGAACTCCTGACCTCAGGTGATCCACCCACCTCGGCCTCCCAAAGTACTGGGATTATAGGCGTGAGCCACGGCATCCAGCCTCATCTTTCTTTTAACCAATAAACATGATGCTGTATCTTAAAAAGAGCACTGAGCAGGGACTTAAGGGATCGAGTCCTCAACCAAACTGATTTAATTACTCAGGATTTTCAAAAAGCATCAGAGGCTATTTACAATCTTAATCATAGGGGTTCAGTAAAATAAAAATAAGAAGTAAAAAAGCAAGAGAAATTATTCTGTAAATCTAACTGGTGTAATTCCCATAATCATGCAATTAAGTTTTACTCTTGAGTTTCCTGACAGCCATTGGTAAAAAGAGAAACACATCAGGATTTATAATTTTTATCATCCAATTATGGGAAGCAAGCATGTTGGCCCCAGGAGACGAACTCTTCTACTAATTTATAGCATGTATCCTTTCATCAAGGGCCACTGAGCCAGTTGGTGAGTCAACGGGTGAACCTAAGATGCAAGGATGTTTTCCAGGTGACTATTTAAAAAAATAAATAATCCACCAACGTGATTGACCTTGGCGAGATCATGTTTCTAGTCTATACCTCAGTTTCCCCATCTGTAAAGTGAGGATAATGTCCCACCCCATGTAACTGTGGTGAGGACCAACTGCAACACTGTGCCTGCGAGTCTCCTTGGAAAAGTGTAAGGTTCTACACAAATGGAAAGTGATCTGATCACACTCAGTGTCCCCAGCCCAGCCTTTCAGTGCCCTGGCCCTGGGGTGGGGGACAATACTCTCCTCACCCCCTTCACTAGTCTTCATGAATAGCAAGGAGGCCATAACATAATTTGGTCTAAACCCCTTCCTTTTTAAAAGAATGATGGCAAAATGTGCATAACATTAAATTTACCATTTTAAAGATTTCTAAGTGTCTCGAAGTACATTTGCAATGTGTAACTGCCACCTCCAGAACTTTTTCATCATCCTAAACTGAAACTCTGTACCCACTAAACAGTAACTCCCCACTCCCCCTGTCCCCAGTCCCTGGTAACCTCTATTCTACTTTTTTTTTTTCTCTGTGGATTGGCCTATTCTAGGTATCTCTTTTAAGTAGAATCATATAGTATTTGTCCTTTTGTGTCCAGCCCCCTCATTTTTTGAGATGAGGAATCAGGCCCAGAGAAGGCAGTGGCTCACCCAAGGTCACATCGCAAACCAGAGGCAGAGCCAAGACCAGAACCCAGGTTTCCTGACTCCTAACAGGTCTTGCATCCCCAGTAGTGAATGAGACACTGCTTTGACTTTCTGTAATCTTGGTTTAGCCCCTTCCTTTCTCTGGGCTCAGTCTGCTTCCCACCACTCACCCATTCTTTCTTTATCATCTCCCTCCAAAGCCTCTTGTCCTCCTGCCTCCTCTTCTCCTTGGCTGGTTCCTGCCAGCAAATGGAGTGGCCCTGGTCCATGCCAGGTTTTCCTCTTCTGGGTCCGGAGCTCACTATAGTATTCAGCCCTCAGTCCTCCCAGGATGTTCTTCCCAGCACTGCTGCCTCGTGCGGATTTTCCCGTAACCTCAGTAACTGGCTTCTTGTCCCCCTGCTTCCTACCAGGGAAGCCTTCCTGTCCGCGTCTGTGGTTTCCCAACTCTGATATTTGCTCTCAAATGTGGTGGTGTCCTGGTTCTGTGTTTATTTATTTTGTGTTTTCTCACACACACAAAAAAAAGCCTCTTCCTCCAATGCATCAGGAGGCACCAGCCCTGCCAGCCCTTCTCACTGGGCTCACCCTGCCCCAGCAACCCCCCGGTGCCACCCTTAAGCCACACTGTCTTCTCTGTAAGCAGCCTGCCAGCAGCAGCCCCAGCACTTTGCAATGGGCGTGTGTGTGGTGGTGGGTGGGGGGGGCTTGGATCCCTCCTTTTTCCTCCCCTGCCCTGCCCAGGCCCAGATGGCCTTGACTGTAAAGCAGGTGCTGCCTGACAGGTTCTTCTCTCCCTGTCTCTGGTCATTGATCCATCTCTTTGTCCATTCAGTATCCAACCATCCTCTCCATTCTCCTCTGGACCTCACCACTCTCAGAGCTGCTTGTCCTGGCAGAATCTACAGTTCACCCCAACTCTATGCCTTACCCCTCCCAACCCAACAGCATTTGCAGTTTGCAAAATATACAGACCCAAGTCCTGAGGGGACTGAGGACATGATGCTGGGCCCAAGTCTCCTGCTCAGGGCTTCTCTCCAATGCCAGCCCTGCCACTCCTTCCTCACCCTCCTTGGAGCCTCCTCTGCTGCTTGTCTATCCCAACGGCCCTGCTCCCCTCCCTTCCTGCCCTTCACCAGCTTTCTGGACACCATGCCCTGAGGAAGGGACCTTTGGTTTTCTCTAAACATCTTTGAAGGGCTGAGGCAGTCAGGGCTGGCTGCCTTGTCACTCTTTATTTGGAAGCCACTCAAACCATTCCCAAGAAGAGGGACCTCAGCTGGCAATCTGGAAACCTGGCCCAGGTCTGGGCAGATGTCTTCACTTCTCCTACCTTCCCAGTCTTGTGATCCTGTGATGAGCACCAGGATGGCCCTGTGGTCCCTAGAGCACCCCTCATGCTGTAGGGTCCTGCAGCCCCATCCTTTCTCTACTGGGCCCTGGTATCCTGGCTCCTCTCTCAGCTCTGCCACTGATCTCTGTGCCTTAGTTTACTTCTCTGCACGGGGGACTCACCCCAAGACCATTTCCAGCAGCTTCCCAGGTGATGTGGTGCCCCAAGGCTGGGCTTTGCCAGCTGTGGCCCAGCTCCTTAGTGCTGCCCAGGAGACACCAGGCTGCTCAGAATGAGGTGACTGCGGGCACCATTCTCAGCCAGTGGTTCTTGTATTGCATTCCAGCAGCAGGAATATCACCTGGGAACTTGATAGAAGTGCAGATTAGCAGCCCCACCCAAGACCCACTGAATTAGAGCTTGTGGAGTGGGGCCCTACAAGCTGGGGTTTTAAGGAGCCCTCCAAATGATTCTGACGCATAAGAATATGCCAACTGCTGATCTGGGCTAGCCATTAGTAGAGCCTGGGGAGGGACTGGGACTGGCTAGGCCAAGAACAGGTGGAAAACACCAGCCTTATCTGGACTCCTGAGATTGGGAACCACCACCAACAAAAACCAACCCTATAGTCGCTCCTCTTGGAAGAGGAAGAGAAGTTGAAGGGCCTGGAGAAAGCACACATTGTTTGTTTCCCTGCTCCTGCTCACCTCTCTCACTTGTCTTGGTTTTACAAAAGGCTGTGTGGATGGTGCCAGCCAGGGAGGGGGTGGGAGTCCTGGGGAGGCAGGAGGCAGAAGACCCTGACTGTTTCTCCCTTGGGAACCTCACCATAGGCCAGATAGCGCCTCTTCAAACTGAAAGAAATCTTAACTCCACAAAGAAAGCATCCTAAATCCCCAGTTCCTCCTCCTCCCAACCCCAGGGATACCTTGTAGACAGTGCCAAAAAACAGCTCCAACCCCCAGCAGCTGGGAAGAGAGCCAGAAGCTGCCCTTCCTCCTCATCCTGGCCCCTCCCCAGCCCCCGCCAATACTGTGAACCCCCTTCCCACTCAGCCTGGTTTCCTGGTGAGGGTCCTGCAGTCATGGGCCCTGGGGGACCCCCAGGGCAAGGCCCATGGGAGGGAAGGGACCAAGGGCATCCTTGGGCCAACTGTCCACCTCTCTTGTCCACTATTCTCTCCTTTCCACTTCTGTCTTCAAAAGGCTCCTTCCTAGGATGGATCGGGTGCTAGGACAACTGCAGTCCAATCCACCAGCTCTCCCTGCCCCTGTGTCTTATTTCAGACATGAGAATAACTGTACAGTGTAAACTTATAAAGCGTTTTTAATGGTTGTAGATTGGAAATAAAGTATGTCATATGAACAGCTGCTGTGGACTTGGCCTCCTCTCTGATTTTTCTAATGAGGTGGGTGGGGGCCCCAGCGGATCTGAAACCTAACTTTTCCCCACTCCCAGCTGCCTGGGAAGTGGGGAGCCCAGGGAGGCCACAGCCAGCTGGCTGGTTTGGAGTCACTTGGGAGGGGCCACCAGGTGTTCTGGCTGCTGCCTGCTGATACTTCAGCGTCTCCCACACAGTGTGATATGACCACTGAGAAACAAATGCAGTCTTCAAAAAGAAGAAAAATAGAATTGAACTTTTCTACAAAAGACTTTAACAATTTTATGAAAAAAAAAAAGACACTTTTAGGTGTGTGTCAATTGTCTATTGAAGCGTAATTAATTATTCCGAAACATTTATTATACCCCACAGATGCTATGGGTCAGGAATTTGGGAGCTGGGCAGTTCTGATTCAAGGTCTCAGGAGGTTGCAGTCAGTTGTCAGTCAGGCTACAGTCATTTGAATGCCTGATGAGCTGGAAGACCCATTTGCAAAGTAGCTACTTATGCCTGGCAAGTCATTGCTAGCTGTTTGCAGGAGGCCTCAGTTCCTCACCATGTGGACCTCTGTAGGCTGTTTGCGTGCCTTCACAACATGGCGTCTGGCTTCCTCCACAGCATGTGATCTATGAGAGAGCAGGGAGGAAGTCACAATGTCTTTTATAGCTAAGCCTTGAAACTCACAGACTAGGCCAGGCGCGGTGGCTCATGCCTGTAATCCCAGCACTTTGGGAGGCCGAGGCGGGCAGATCACCTGAGGTCGGGAGTTGGAGATCAGCCTGACCAACATAGAGAAACCCCATCTCTACTAAAAATACACAGTTAGCTGGGTGTGGTGGTGCATGCATGTAATCCCAGCTACTCGGGAGGCTGAGGCAGGAGAATCGCTTGAACTCAGGAGGCAGAGGTTGCTGTGAACCAAGATCGCGCCATTGCACTCCAGCCTGGGCAACAAGAGCAAAACTCCGTCTCAAAAAAAAAAAAAAAAGCCACAGACTATAATGTCTATAATGTCTGCAATATCTAATTGGTTATATAGACTAGCATTCTTCAGCATGGGAGGGGACAACACGAGGGCATGAACACCAGGAACCAGGGGTCATTGGGGGCCATCTTAGAAGCTGGCTACATGATACTTCATAGATCTCTTCTATGAGGGGCTAATAACAGCCAGGCATGTGCTAGGTATTGAGGATACAATGGATGGGCCTGGAAGATATGAAATCAAATGTTAATGGCAGGGGGAGCCCAGGGTGCTCAGCCAGCCCAGAGGAAACAAGAAAGGCTTCACAGAGGAAAGGACATCTGAATGACACCTAAGATTGAGATGTTGACCAGATGAAGGCCATGGTGGTGTGTTGTAGGCACGGGACTGAGGGGAAGTGGTTCCAGGGAGAGGGAATACCATGTGTGAAAGCCTCGTAGAAAGAGAGCAGAGCAGAACTGGGGAACTGAAAGAAGAGGCTGGGTCAGATCACACAGTGCCTTTTTTCTTTTTCCTTTTCTTTTCTTTTTTCTTTTTTTTTTTTTTTTTTGAGATGAAATCTTGCTCTGTTGCCCAGACTGGAGTACAGTGGCATGTTCTTAGCTCACCGCAGCCCTGGCCTCCCAGGTTCAAGTGATTCTCCTGGCCTCCCAGGTTCAAGTGATTCTCCTGCTTCAGCCTCTCAAGTAACAGGGATTATAGGTGCATACCACCACACCTGGCTAATTTTTGTATTTTTAGTAGAGACAGGGTTTTGCTATGTTGGCCAGGCTGGTCTCAAACTCCTGACCTCAACTGATCCGCAGGCCTCAGCCTCCCAAACTGCTGGGATTAGAGGCGTGAGCCACCACACCCAGCCTAATGACACAGTGCCTTATAGGGGAAAAAAATGTGTGCCTCCTGTGGACAGGAGGGAGCCATGCAACAATTCAAAGCAGGGAAACGATGTAGAAGATGTATTGGGTCTGTATTCCATGAAATCATTTTCTCATTGTGCCCCAGGATGGCCAGCCCTAGCTGGGAAGGAACACTGAGTTCTCTTCCTGGCACGTTGACAGAGAGGAGTTTAAGAGGCAGGCAAGCATAAAAGGAACTGGGTACCTCTCAACCCCAGAAAGTGATATTCAGGGAGCCAAGGGCAAATCTCTGCTTTCAGAATGGCTGCTGCAGCCAGCAGGCTGGAACCACAGGGTGGAAATTTCAGGAAGGCAGATTTTTGTCTCCCACCAGAAAACTTTTCCAAGGACCACAACTGCTATGGAAGGATGACCACGGTCAGCTCCAGCTGCCTCTCTCCAACCCCTCTTTTGGACTGTGGGCTGCTTATAATTCAATATTTGGAAGTTTTTCTGTGAAAGAAAGGACTGTGCACATCCAAGGGGACATTTTGGTGGCGTCGTGCTGGGTGCTGAGGAAGCAGCCCGCTCTCTGGAGCCTCCTAGACCAGCATGGGATAGTGGAGCAGGAACAGATTGGGCTCCTGGGAGCACAGAAAGGACAGTTGGTTTTCAGCCTAAGGCCAGAGAGAATGCTTGGAGAGAAATCAATCATTCCTTAGCTGAGGCTTAAAATTCGAGGATGTGGCCGGGCGCAGTGGCTCATGCCTGTAATCCCAGCTCTTTGGGAGGCCGAAGTGGGTGGATCACTTGAGGTCAGGAGTTCGCGACCAGCCTGGCCAACATTTTTAGTGGCCGTCTCTACTAAAAATACAAAAATTAGCCAGGCGTGGTGGTGGGCGCCTGTAATCCCAGCTACTCGGGAGGCTGAGGCAGGAGAATCGCTTGAACCCGAACCCGGGAGGCGGAGGTTGCCGGGAGCCGAGATCGCGCCACTGCACTCTAGCCTGGGCGACAGAGCGAGACTCCGTCTCAAAATACAAAAAAATTGGAGGATGTAGCTAGGAAAAGCAGGGAAAGCCTTCCCAGGCAGAGGGAACAGCGCCTGGGAATATAGCGCCTCAAAGGGCATCTGATGCCCTGTCCCCGTCCTACCCCTAAGGACCAGCCCGACCTGCCGCACCCCCCGACCCCGACTAAGGACACTGCGACCACTTGGGGGCGCTGCGACCTCCTCCCGGGTGAAATGAAACCCGAGGGCAGGCCCCCACCCACCAAGCAAGTAAAGCAAGCCGTTTGAGGGAGTGGCCTGGAAATGAGAGAGAAAAAGTCCTAGAGCAGGAGTGGGATAGACTGTGAGGCAAACTGAGCTCAGAGCTCCAGTCCACCCTGGGGAGAGTCACGGTCCACATTTTGGGAGTTAAGGAGATAAAGGGAGTGGGAACCAGAGCCTAGCGACGGGGACAGGGCATCAGATGCCCTTTGAGGCGCTGTATTCCTCCGGCAAGAATCTCTCCGGGCCTCTGTTTCCCCCATCTTAGATGGGCTCTGGGGCCGTCGGGCGCAAAAGGACACGATAGTGTGGCGGGTCCCGGAAAGGGACTCCCGGGCGGGGTGTTGCGGGGAGGTGGTGACGTGGCCAGACAGGACCTAAAGGACTTGGACTAGAGGAGCGGAGCTGGCAGGAGCGTTGGACGGCGGTGTACGCATGCGCGTCGGGCGGCGGTGTACGCATGTGCATCGCCGGAGGCAGGCGTTCTGCGCGCGCGTGCCCGAGAAACTGACGGCCGCGCATGCGCCCTTGGTTGGCGGGAGTTTCGGAGGCGGTGACCGTGACGTAGAAGGTGGAGACCGCTTCACCCTGATCAGGGAGTATCGGCTGCGGGTGCGCAAGGCGTCCAGGAGTGACCTGGGGCTGTGGAGAGCGACCCGTGGCCTTGTGTTTCAGGTACGGAGGTTCCGGACTGGACGGGCGTCAGGAAGTCACAGACTTGTCCTCTGATGTGGCCCCGCCCGCCGCCGCACTAATCTCTTCGGCGTCGTACCCGTCGGCCCAGCTCGACCCGCCGCAGCCCCGGCCCCGACCGTGGACACTGGGGGTCCCCGAGGGCGCTGCGACCTCCTCCCGGGTGAAATGAAACCCGAGGGCAGTCCCCCTTACCGACCCCATTAGAGACGTATCTGCCGTGCCAGGGGTCTAGGCTCCAGAAACAGGGGTGAGGACTGGGTAGAGGGCTGGGGTTCGAATTGCCCCTGTGCCCCCAGGCTGGCTGTGTCACAAGCTTGGGCCAGGCTTTTTGCCCCTCTGAACCTCAGTTCCCCTGTCTGCAAAGTGGAGTTAATGGTGCTTACGGAGTTGTGGAAGGGATTAAGTGGAATAACGATGCAAGTAAAGCGCTTACATAGCACAGGTCCTAGCACAGAATAAGCGTTTAACAGTTGACAGTTGTTGCTTTTCTAAGCCTGGATCTGTGTGATACAGTCGTTATTATCCAAGCCTGGATTTGTGTGATATTGTCATAAGGACCGTGGGGGATTCAGATCCTTGACCGAGCCCTCCTTGTTATCTTTTCCTTTTTGTCCCTCTGCATATATTCATATCTTTTTACTTAGCACCCCCCACAGACAGATTTCTGCTGGGAGGGAGGGGACGATGAAGAGATGCCTAGGTGACATCCCTGCCTTCCAGGCAGTTGTTCCTGACAGTCACTAGGAATACAAATACAGCCTGGCTGGGGAGACAGACATGTAAACAGATTTTATAGCCAATGCTACGAAGGCCAAGGGGCATAACCACCAACTCTGCCAAAGATAAGTGATGTGAAAGCTTCATATTTGAGCCAGGTTGGGAAGGATGAATAAGTTTAACAGGTAGAAGGACAGATATGTGCAAAGATTCAGAAGTAGTACAGGGAATAGGACTGGGAGGAGAGAGCAGGAATGGGTAAATTGGGACTAGTTTACCTGAGGTGTTGACTACACTTTGGAAAAGTCCCGGCAACTGTCTGAAGAATAGACTGGGCCGGGTGTGGTGGCTCAGGCCTGTAATCCCAGCACTTTGGGAGGCTGAGGCCGGGCGGATCACCTGAGGTCAAGAGTTCGAGACCAGCCTGGCCAATATGGGGAAACCCCATCGCTACTAAAAATACAAAAATTAGCCAGGTGTGGTGGCAGGCACCTGTAATCCCAGCTACTCAGGAAGCTGAGGCAGGAGAATTGCTTGAACCTGGGAGGTGAAAGTTGCAGTGAGCCGAGACTGCGCCACTGCACTCCAGCCTTGGCGACAGAGTGAGATTCCACCTCAAAAAAAAACAAAAACAAAGAATAGACTGGAGACGGGCCGTTGGAGGTAGAAAAACTAGTGGAGAGACTATTAAGATAGTGGGAGGGACCAGAAATTATGAGACCTGAACTAAACTAGTAACAGTGAGGCTGGGCGTGGTGGCTCACGCCTGTAATCCCAGACTTTGGGAGGCCTAGGCTGGTGGATCACTTGAGGCCAGGAGTTTGAGACCAGCCTGGCCAACATGGGGAAACCCCATCTCTACTAAAAATGCAAAAATTAGCCAGGTATGGTGGTGCATTCCTGTAATCCCAGCTACTCAGGAGGCTGAGGCAGGAGAATCACCTGAACTGGGGAGGAGGAGGTTGCAGTGAGCCAAGATTGTGCTACTGTACTCCAGCCTGGGCAACAGAGCAAGACCCTGTCTCAAAATAATAAATAAACTAGTAACAGTGAGAATGGAGAAAAGATTTAGAGACTGTTTATAAAACAGTTAGGACTTTGGATCTGGAGAACTAAGAATAAGAAGTAATGGATGATGTGGTTTTTCTAGTTTGGAAGACCAGGTAGACCATAATGTCATCAATGGAATTAGGGACTAGTTAAACACAAAGTAACTGGGAAGTAAGGTAGGGTATGTGTTCAGGGAGATTTGAATATTTCTAGCAATAAAGTGTATAGAAATTCAGAAGAGGAGGTGATGGCCCCTGCTGATATTCTCTGTCAGGGAGGTGGATAAGGGTAGCTCAGAGAGGCTGGAAAGCACACGGCCTATTTATTCTGGGGCTGTAAAGCCCCATTGAGACTGCAGTGAAACGTGAAGAACAGATCACTTCCATTTTCCTATTTTCAGAGTTTACCACCTAGGATGACTTCAGTGACTAGATCAGAGATCATAGATGGTAAGTATTGTAGTGAAATTCAGTACCTCTTACCTTGGGTTCAGGCTTCTGAGCTATACCCAAATCTTTCCTGGCTCCTGGTAGATTTGGAATCACATACTCATTATTTGCAGAGATGCTTTCTTTATGTTTCCACGATCTAGGGGCATACATTTACTTTTTCCACTTTTTTGCACAAATAGTTGTGGCGGGCTTGATCTTGTATTTTGACTTTTTTATAACAAATACTAGAAAAAGGACCAGTGATGTCTAAGACTCATGATCATCAATTGGAATCAAGTCTCAGTCCTGTGGAAGTGTTTGCTAAAACATCTGCCTCCCTGGAGATGAATCAAGGCGTTTCAGAGGAAAGAATTCACCTTGGCTCTAGCCCTAAAAAAGGGGGAAATTGTGATCTCAGCCACCAGGAAAGACTTCAGTCGAAGTCCCTTCATTTGTCTCCTCAAGAACAATCTGCCAGTTATCAAGACAGGAGGCAATCCTGGCGGCGAGCAAGTATGAAAGAAACGAACCGGCGGAAGTCGCTGCATCCCATTCACCAGGGCATCACAGGTGGGGTGCTGTGTACACAAGACAGTGAGGTTCCAGCTCAGATAAGAGACAGGTTCCAGCTCAGATAAGAGGCAGTGAGGTATGGCAGAAAGTGTGGGAGAATAGACATGACTTGCTACTTTATAAGTACTGATGTCAAACACCTAGTAAATGTTCAGTATTACTGCTATTTCTTTTTAAGAGACAGGATGTTGCTGTTTTGTCTAGGCTGGACTTGAACTTCTGGGCTCAAGCAATCCTCCCACTTCAGCCTCCCAAGTAGCTGGGACTACAGGCGTGAGCCACTGCACCTGGCTTACTACTTATATTATATTATTAGCTGCCACAAATAAATTTCTAATTGTTCAATACTCACCTCTGCTAGGGTGAGAAACATTAAAGATTTCTTTCTGTGGTTTTCTGTCTCATACCCTAAAGTGGAGCAGAAGATAGTTGGGTTGATACCTGATTTTAGCCTTTATAACTGGAAATACCTCAGAGGGAAGATGCACATACAAATATCTAGAGTGGGCCAGGCACGGTGCCTCATGCCTATAATCCCAGCACTTTGGGAGGCAGGAGGATTGCTTGAGTCCAGGAGTTTGAGGACAACCTAGGCAAGATGGCAAAACCCCATCTCTACAAAAAGTTTTTAAAAAAATAGCAGGGCATGGTGGCACGTACCTGTAGTCCCAGCTACTGGAGAGAGGCTGAGGCAAGAGGATCACTTGGGCCCAGGAATTCAAGAAGGCAGTGAGCTATGATTGCGCCACTCAATCTATCCTGGGTGACAAAGTAAGACCCCTGTCTCTAAAAAACTTTGTCTCTTTTTCCCTATCCCCTCTCTCTTCCCTCCTCCCTCCCTGCACCCCACCCCTCTCCCTTCCCTCTTCCCTCCCTGCACCCCACCCACCCCCGCCTCACTTTCTTTCTCTCTCTGTCTCTCTCTCTCTGTGTGTGTGTGTGTGTGTGTGTGTGTGTGTGTGTGTGTATCTACAGTGAAAAACAGTTTTTAGGGATGCTATACAGAACGTGATTTGTGTCATTTTGTGTGAATTTACAATAGTAACTATATCTTAGCATCAAAGTACAGAACATAACGTGGAAAAGCTTGCATATTTCAGGAAGACTATACTAGCTCTGTGATGTTGAGTAAATTACTTAACCTTCTTTGTCTTAAGGTCCTCATCAGCAACTTGGAGATGAAATAGTACCTATCTTACATAACACAGTACTTGGGACATAGTAAGCCCTGAAATGTTAAGCTACTGTGATTAGTTTTAAGGTATCGTCCTATTTCCAAGTGGTCTGATGCACAGAAGGAAATCTGGGTAAAGATAGGCACTTAGCACATCAGAAAATTGCTGCCACAAGGCCCATGTACTTTAGTCCCTAAATGTGCTGAGAAAACATCAGTGCATCCCAAGATTAGCCCTACCTTTAGCTCTATGCCGGAGTATTTAGACTTAAACAGAAAAGCATCAGTGTAATAAGATTGGTTCTTGCCTGGTTATTTCTGGCAACCTGTCAGGTTTCCTTGGTTATAGGCAGAAAGTATCCTGTTTTTCTTGACTAACAGCAGTGACAATTAAGAGACAAGAACTTTAAAAACACAACCAGCTGAAGCTAGAGGGCAAAAAGACATGTAGCTCTCATAATTCACAAAGCAAAATTCCTTTGCTATGTAGTAATTGTTTACAAGTGGACATAATTTTAAAAAACGGTATCTACATCTTGCGATTGGTTAGGGATTCAGTTGCATAATTATGTAAAATGCTCACCCAATTCAGTCTAATAACTCACTCTATGACCTTGGGCAAGTGACCTATTACTTTGTGCCTGTGTCATTATCTGTTATCTGAATGGAATTCATAGGATACTTGCCTCAAGGTTTAATGAAATACGTATATAGCATTTCATAAAATGCTTTTTATATAGCAAGTGTTCAACAAATGTTAGTTATTAATGCTATTATGAGGTCATTATAGAGAGGCAGTGTGGTAATAGAGGGAAAAACACAGATATCGGTGAGAGACTTGGGTTTGAATTCTGGCTCCACCGATTTCCAGTTTCTGGCCTCAAGCAAGTCATTTCCCCTCAGAGCTGCAGTTTTCCCATTTGTAAAATGGAACTTTATAATAGTACTCTTCTTATAGTATACAGTACAGAGTGTTTAAAGCACATTGCAGTGCCTGTCCTATAAAAAAGCTCAGATGTGGCCAGGCACAGTGGCTCCCACCTGTAATCCCAGCACTTTGGAAGGCCAAGGCAGGCAGATCACTTGAGGCCAGGAGTTCAAGACCAGCCTGGCCAACATGGGGAAACCCTGTCTCTACTAAAAATACAAAAAATTACCTGGGTGTGGTGGCGCATGCCTGTAATCTCAGCTACTGCAACCTCTTGGCTCACTGCAGCCTCCGCCTCCTGAGCCCTTTTGATTCTCATGCCTCAGCCTCTGGAGTAGCTGGGATTACAGGCGCATGCCACCACTCCTGGCTAATTTTTCTGTTTTTAGTAGAGACGGGATTTCACCATGTTGTCCAGACTAGTCTCCAGCTCGTGGTCTCAAGTGATCCCATGCCTCGGCCCCAGAGTGTTGGGACTATAGGCATGAGCATCGTACCTGCCCAATACAAAGATTCTTATAACTTTTTTTTTTTTAAGTTTAGATGAACAAATGGGTAAACTTCATTCCTCAGTGATCCTGCAAAAATTAGAATTCTGTCTTTAACTAAAGAAGGCTGTTCTTGCCTTAAGTTGGATTTATCAAGAGGGAGGACATTTTTCAGTTTTGTTAGTTGCTAACTATGTAACTATCCAGCTCCTTAAATGTGGCTATGTTTTATGTTAGAGCTCAGCCGGTCTATCAGTGTCGATTTAGCAGAAAGCAAACGGCTTGGCTGTCTCCTGCTTTCCAGTTTCCAGGTAAGGTTCTTATAACTAGGAAATGTTTTTGTGTTTGTTAACTGCTATTGTGACAATCTTTTGTTTTTAGATGGAGCCTGACTCTGTCACCCAGGCTGGAGTGCAGTGGTATGATCTTGACTCACTGCAACCTCCGCCTCCCAGGTTCAAGTGATTCTCCTGCCTCAGCCTCCCGAGTAGCTGAGACTACAGGCACATGCCACCACGCCCCGCTAATTTTTGTACTTTTAGTAGAGACAGGGTTTCACCATGTCTGCCAGAATTGTCTCGATCTCCTGACCTCCTGATCCGCCTGCCTCGGCCTCCCAAAGTGCTGGGATTACAGGCATGAGCCACCGCATCCAGCCCTTAATTTTTTGCATTTTAGTTGAGACGGGGTTTCACCATGTTGCCCAGGCTGGTCTTGAATGCCTGAGCTCAGGCAGTCCACCCACCTTGGCCTCCCAAAGTGCTAGGATTACAGGTGTGAGCCACCGTGCCCAGCCTTTTTTTAAGGTGTATTGTGTATTATGTGGCTACCAGGTGCTTACATCAATTTAGATAAGCAGGTAATTTGTGTGAATTAAATAACCTTTTTTTTTTCCTGAACCGAAAGTCAAAATCTGTAGTCCAAGCAACAAAAAGTCTTTTGTTTTTTCTTTGTTTGTTTTTTGTTGTTTTTTTGAGACGGAGTCTTGCTCTGTCACCAGGCTGGAGTGCAGTGGCACAATCTCGGCTCACTGCAACCTCCGCCTCCCAGGTTCAAGCGATTCTACCGCCTCAGCCTCCCGAGTAGCTGGGACTACAGGCACGCGCCACCATGCCCCGCTAATTTTTTTTGTATTTTTAGTAGAGATGGGGTTTCACCATGTTGGCCAGGATGGTCTCCATCTCCTGACCTTATTATCCGCCTGTCTCAGCCTCCCAAAGTGCTGGGATTACAGACGTAAGCCACTGTGCCTGGTCAACAAAGAGTTTTTTTTTTTTCCCTTATCTATTTATTTGTTTCTGTGAAAAGTCTTATGTGTAAAAATTACATCATATTTAGTATTTAGTTTCATATTTATTAAACATCATAAAATGACATAAATTTAGGACTGGCCTGGAAGTTTTTGGTGGTTGTACTAAAAATGCTTTTCTTTATTTAGTTCTCTATTCAGAAACTTGAACCTTTCCTAAGGGACACTAAGGGCTTCAGTCTTGAAAGTTTTAGAGCCAAAGGTAAGTTGCTAACAGATGAGTGAGCTTTGACCCTGGGCAGTCAAAGCTTTGCTCACAGCATCCCCATTTACAGAAGCTGCTCCCTTATAAAACTAGCTCCCCCACCTTTTGTTTTTTAGACAGAGTCTCACTCTTGCCCAGACTGGAGTGCAGTAGGGTGATCTTGGCTCACTGCAGCCTCTGCCTCCTGGGTTCAACCAATTCTCCTGCCTGAGCCCCCCGAGTAGCTGGGAGCCACCACACCTGGCTAATTTTTGTATTTTTAGTAGGGAAGAGGTTTCACCATGTTGGCCAGGCTGATCTTGAACTCCTGACCTCAGTGATCTGCCCACCTTGGCCTCCCAAAGTGCTGGGATTACAGGCATGAGCCACTGTGCCCAGCCCCCTACTTTTTTTAAATTGCAAGAATACATGCTTATGAAGCTAAGGAAGTGTGAAAGTGGAAAATAATCTTCCCTTCCATTCTGGCCCCCAGTCTAAGTTCCTCTCCCCAAAGGTAGCTATGGCCACCAGTTTCTTGTGTATCCTTGCAGAAATATTTATTGCTTTTTTTTTCTTTTTTTTTTTTTTTTTTGAGATGGAGTCGCGGCTCTGTCACCCAGGCTGGAATACAGTGGCACAGTCTTGGCTCACTGCATCCTCTGCCTCCTGGGTTCAAGCGATTCTCCTGCCTCAGCCTCCTGAGTAGCTGGGATTACAGACACCCACCACCACGCTCAGCTAATTTTTTGTATACTTAGTAGAGACGGGGTTTCGCCATGTTGGCCAGGCTGGTTTCTAATTCCTGACCTTAGGTGATCCGCCCGCCTTGGCCTCCTAAAGTGCTGGGATTACAGGTACAAGCCACTGTGCCCGGCCTGGATTTAACTAGTTCTTTACTAATAGGCTTTAAGTGTTGTTTTTTGTTTTTTTTTTTTTTTTTAGTCTTTTGCTACTACAGTAAATAATGTAATGAATTTTTTTTTTTTTTTGAGACAGACTCTCGCTCTGTCGCCCAGGCTGGAGTGTAGTGGCGGGATCTCGGCTCACTGCAAGCTCCGCCTCCCGGGTTCATGCCATTCTCCTGCCTCAGCCTCCCGAATAGCTGGGACTACAGGCGTCGGCCACTGCGCCCGGCTAATTTTTTGTATTTTTTGTAGAGCCGGGGTTTCACCATGGTCTCGATCTCCTGACCTCATGATCCGCCTGCCTCCGCCTTCCAAAGTGCTAGGATTACAGGCGTGAGCCACCTTGTTGCCCAGGCTGGAGTGCAGTGGTGCAATCTTGGCTCACTGCAACCTCTGCCTCCCAGGCTCAAGCAATTCTCCTGCCTCAGCCTCCCTAGTAGCTGGGATTTCAGGCATGTGCCACCACGCCGGGCTAATTTTGTATTTTTAGTAGAGACGGGGTTTCTCCATGTTGGTCAGGCTGGTCTCGAACTCCCGACCTCAGGTGATCCGCCCACCTTGGCCTCCCAAAGTGCTGGGATTACAGGCATGAGCCACTGCATCTGGCCTTTTTTTTTTTTTTTTTTTTTTTTTTAACACAAGCCTTTTGGCACGTATGCAAGTAAAAAGAAGATAAATTCTTAGAATTGGAATTAACTAGTTCAAATGAAATTATGGGAATTACCAGATTGCTTCCCAGACAAGTGGTATCAATTTATTCTCTCACCAGCAATACATGTAGGGACTTGTTTTCTTACACTCTCACCAATAAAAAAGCCTTTTAGATTTTCTTACTATATGATAGGTGATAGAAGATATTTTGTAGTTTTAATCTGTGTTCCTTTTTCTTTTGAAGAAGATAAGCATTTTTTCTTTTTTCATATTTTTAGAGCCATTTGTACTTTCTTTCTTTTTTTTTTTTTGAGATGGAGTCTCACTCTGTCTCCTAGGGTGGAGTACAGTGGTGCGATCTTGGCTCACTGCAACCTCCACCTCCTGGGTTCAAGCGAGTCTTCTGCCTCAGCCTCTGGAGTAGCTGGGATTACAGGCATGCACCACCATGCCTGGCTAATTTTGTATTTCTAGTAGAGACAGGGTTTCGCCATGTTGGCCAGGCTGGTCTCAAACTCTTGACCTCAGGTGATTCACCCACCTCAGCTTCCCAAAGTGTTGGGATTATAGGCGCGAGCCACCATGGCTCAGCCTCATGTTCGTTTTTAAAACTTAGGATGGTGGCTCTTTTACATTGATTGGTAGGAACTCTTCATATTACGAGGCAGTTAGCTAGTTGTCTGTGAAATAAAATACTAATGATTGAACTTTCTAGGAAGTACCTATTCTGCTAATAGTGTAAATATACACTTATCCAGGGTCAGAAATACTCAAGTTTACCCACTTAAAAGATCTAGAAAATACATGAACTTGGGCTTACTTGCCAGTTAAAATTGTTTATCTCAGAATTGTACCATCACCTTAATTAAAGTAGATATGCTAGGATTATCCTGATAACTAATTAACATAGCCTTTCCCCTTAGTGTTCTTCACCTGAATGTAGTAGTGGACTCTTCAAGTCTAGCAGAGGCCTGTTTTTAACCTTACGCCCATAATTTTTTTTTTTTTTTGAGACAGGATCTCGCTCTGTTGCCCAGGCTGGAGTACACTGGCATGATCACAGTTAACTGTAGCCTTGATCTCCTAGGCTCAAGCATTTCTCCTTCCTCAGCCTCCCAAGTAGCTGGAACTATAGGCATGTGCCACCACACCCAGCTAACTTTCTAAAAAAAATTTTTTTGTAGACATGGGGTCTTGCTGTGTTGCTCAGGCTGGTCTTGAACTCCTGGGCTCAAGTGAAACTCTCACCTCAGCATCCCAAAGTTCTGGGATTATAGCAGTGAGGCACTATGCCTGGCCTTTTTGGTTTTCTGTCTTTCTTTTTTTTTTTTTTTTTTTTTTTTTTGAGACAGAGTTTTGCTCTGTTGCCAGGCTGGAGTGCAGTGGTGCAATCTCGGCTCACTGCAACCTCCGCCTCCCAGGTTCAAGTGATTCTCCTGCCTCAGCCTCCTGAGTAGCTGGGACAACAGGCATGCGCAACCACGCCCAGCTAATTTTTGTATTTTTAGTAGAGATGGGGTTTCACCATGTTGGCCAGGATGGTGTTGATCTCTTGACCTCGTGATCTGCCCGCCTTGGCCTCCCAAAGTGCTGGGATTATAGGCATGAGCCACTGCGCCCAGCCTGGTTTTCTTTTTTTCTAATAAAGAGATGGGGTTTCACTATGTTGCTCAAGCTGTGCTGGGCTCAAGCAATCCTCCTAAGTAGCTGGAACTACAAGCACTATGCCCGGCTATGCCCATAATTTTTTATTTGCCTCCGTGTTTCTTATTACCCTCTTGCCTATTGCCTGACTTCTTTTTTTTTTTTTTTTTTTTTTTCTTTTTTTGAGACAGAGTCTCATTCTTGCCCGGGCTGGTGTGCAGTGGCACCGTCTCAGCTCACTGCAACCTCTGCCTCTCAGGTTCAAGCGATTCCCCTGCCTCAGCCTCCCGAGTAGCCGGGATTACAGGCGTGTACCACCACGCCCAGGTATATTTTTGTATTTTTAGTAGAGACAGGGTTTCATCATGTTGGCCTGGCTGGTCTCAAACTCCTGACCTCAAGTGATATGCCTGCCTTGGCCTCCCAAAGTGCTGGGATTGCAGGTGTGAGCCACCCCGCCCAGCCTCAGATATACCTTTTAAACTGCTTTTTCACAGTTCATTTATAGAAACATTTATCATAAATGTCATAAAGGCTGGGCACAGTGGCTTACGCCTACAATCCCAGGACTTTGGGAAGCTGAGGCAGGCGAATCGCTGGAGCCAAGGAACTGGAGACCAGCCTAGACAACATGGTAAAACCCCATTTCCACAGAAAATACAAAATTTAGCTGGGCATGGTGGTGCTGCCTATATTCCCAGCAAATAGGGAGGCTGAGGCGGGGGTTATATTGCTTGAGCCCAGGAGGTGGAGGTTGCAGTGAGCTGAGATCACACCACTGCACTCCAGCCTAGGTGACGGAGCGAGAGTCTGTCTAAATAAATAGATAAAAATGAGTTGTCTTTCATTTTATCTATACCTACCAGAAAAAAAAGATAAAATCTTTCTACATACTTAACTCCACACTTTTGGGTGGGCTTGAGGACCAACATGTAACAGTACCTAGAGCTGAGACTACCTTAATATACCTTTGTCAGCATCTCACTATGAAAACGTATATTTCCTTTATTTTATGACACGTAAATTTGTGCTGTCTAGCATCTTCTCTTTCTGAAGAATTGAAACATTTTGCAGACGGACTGGAAACTGATGGAACTCTACAAAAATGTTTTGAAGATTCAAATGGGTAAGAGCAGTTCCCCTTCTGTCCTAAATTATGATTGAATTAGGACTTTAGGCCGGGCGTTGGTGGCTCAGGCCTGTAATCCCAGCACTTTGGGAGGCCGAGGTGGGCGGATTACGAGGTCAGGAGATCAAGGCCATCCTGGCTAACACGGTGAAACCCCATCTCTACTAAAAATAAAAATAAAAAATTAGCCAGGCGTGGTGGCAGGCGCCTGTAGTCCCAACTACTCGGGAGGCTGAGGCAGGAGAATGGCATGAACCCGGTATGCGGAGCTTGCAATGAGCCAAGATCGCGCCCCTGCACTCCAGCCTGGGTGACAGAGAGAGACTCTGTCTCACAAAAAAAAAAAAAAAAAAAAAAGAATTAGGACTTTTGTTGTAATTAGATAGTTGTTCATTCACCAACAAACATTTATTCAGCATCTTCTCTTTTTATTTATTTATTTATTTTTTGATTCGGAGTCTTGCTCTGTACCCCAGGCTGGAGTGCAATGGTGCAATCTTGGCTTACTGCAACCTCCATCTCCCGGGTTCAAACCAGTCTCCTGCCTCAGCCTCCCAGGTAGCTGGGACTACAGGCATGCGCCACCATGCCTGGCTAATTTTTTTGTATTTTTAGTAGGGATGGGGGAGATGGGGGTTTCACCATGCTGGCCAGGCTGGTCTCGAGCTCCTGACCTCAAGTAATTCGCCCTACTTAGCCTCCCAAAGTGCTGAGATTATAGGTGTGAGCCATCCTGCCTGTTCTTATTTTTTGTATTTTTCTAGAGATGAAGTTTCACCATGTTGGCCAGGTTGGTCTTGAACTCCTAACCTCAGGTGATCTGCCTGCCTCAGCCTCCCAAAGTGCTGGGATTACAGGCATGAGCCACCGCGCCGGCCTATTTTTAATTTTAAAGGCGGGGTCTCCCTATGTTACTGAGGCCTTTAGAACTCCTGGGCTCAAGCGATCCTCCTGCCTCTGCCTCCCAAAGTGCTGGGATTACAGCCATGAGCCCCCACACCCAGCGGATTCAGCGTCTTATGTACCAGGCTCTTTTAGATGCTGGTGATATAATGACAAGTGAAGCAAGGTCTCTTTTGTCATACATTATAATAGAAGACACAATAAACAAATATATGGGAAATAATGACTCAGCGATAATCTAGGTCAGTAAATATAATCATGACTTGAGGGGGTGGGCAACTTTAGCTGGAGTGTTCAGAGACCTCTAATGATTTGACCTTGGGCTTGAAACCTGTAAGATATGAATGGTGAGAAGGAACCAGCCATGAAAAGATGAGGGGAAAAACATAATTCACATCTTTGCTACCTTGCCAAGAGCCAAAGAACATGGCTCTTGAATATTAGCAGAAATTTAAAACTACCCCCAAAACTGGTACTTCCTCTGTAGGGGTGAGACTAACATCCTTAACACCCTAATTTCCACCCAGCAACAAGTCACTTCACTTGGGCTTACATCATGAACTTTAGGTTTTGACTTCACAAAGGTCTTTAGGATTGACATTGCTAGACAGGAAATGAAAAACATTTTAGTTTAAAGTAGCATCTCTTTTTTTGTTTGTTTTTTGAGATGGAATTTTGCTCTCGTCACCCAGGCTGGAGTGTAATGGCGCAATCTCTACTCACTGCAACCTCTGCCTCCCAAGTTCAAGTGATTCTCCTGCCTCAGCCTAACCCGAGTAGCTAGGATTACAGGCACCTGCCACCACGCCCAACTAATTTTTGTATTTTTAGTAGAGGCAGGGTTTCACCGTATTGTCTAGACTGGTCTCGAACTCCTAACCTCAGGTGATCCACCCTTCCTGGCCTCCCAAAGTGCTAGGATTAGAGGCGTGAACCACCACACCGGGCCTATTTTTAATGCAGTATATTTTAGCACAGGCTAGTGTTTCTTAGCCAGAGGTGGTAATGGCTGTGTGTCTCAGGCTTTTCTAGAAAAAAACCTGAATGGTGGCACAAATAATTTGTTTTTGCGAGGTAGAATACCAAGTACATATAAAATATTTTGGCATTTTCAGGCCTGCTTCTTTTTCATAAGAATTAATTACCCCACTCATTTAAGCCATTGGGTAACAGTAGGAATCAAAGTTGGTAAGCTGGACGGTACCAGAACACAGAGAGCCTTAAGTGCCAGGTTAAGGAGTTTTGACTTTTCTTCTGTATGCAGTAGAGAGTCACAGAGTTGTTTTTTTGTTTTTGTTTTTGTTTTTTTTTGAGGCAGAGTCTCGCTCTGTTGGCCAGGCTGGAGTGCAGTGGCACGATCTCAGCTCACTGCAACCTCCACCTCCTGGGCTCAAGCAATTCTCCTGCCTCAGCCTCCCTAGTAGCTGGGATTACAGGTGTGTGCCACCATGCCTGGCTAATTTTTGTATTTTTAGTAGAGACGGGGTTTCACCATGTTGGCCAGGCTGGTCTTCAACTCCTGACCTCAGGTAATCCGCCTGCCTCGGTCTCCTAGACTGCTGGGATTACGGTCGTGAGCCACCACGCCTGGCTGAGAGTCACAGAGTTTTTAAGCAACGAGAAAAAGAAATTAGAGAAATATTTTAAGAAAGGTTAATCTGGCCATGATGTGAATTGGAATTGATAAGAGAAACAGAATATAAAGAGACCACTTAGAAAGCTATTACCTAGCTATTTATTACCTACAGCTTAGAAAGCTATTACCTAGTGCAAGCCCGGCACAGTGGCTCATGCTTGTAATCCCAGCAGTTTGGGAGGCCGAGGCGGGCGGATCACGAGGTCAGGAGATCGAAACCATCCTGGCTAACACAGTGAAACCCCGTCTCTACTAAAAATACAAAAAATCAGCCGGGTGTGGTGGCGGGCGCCTGTAGTCCCAGCTACTCGGGAGGCTGAGGCAGGAGAATGGCATAAACCTAGGAGGTGAAGCTTGCAGTGAGCCAAGATTGCGCCACTGCACTCCAGCCTGGGTGACAGAGTGAGACTCCATCTCAAAAAAAAAGAAAGTTATTACCTAGTGGAAAAGTGAAATAGAGTCCAACATTAAGTATTTTTTGAAAGACAAAAATTATGTAAGGGATTCTGGGCATGGTGGCTCCCACCTGTAATCTGAGCATTTTGGGAGACCAAGGTGGGAGGATCACTTGAGCCCAGGAGTTTGAGACCTGGGCAACATGGCGAGACTCCATCTCTACTAAAAGTAAATAAATAAAAGGCTGGGTGTGGTGGCTCACGCCTGTAATCCCAGCACTTTGGGAGGCTGAGGTGGATGGATCATGAGGTCAGGAGTTTGAGACCAGCCTGGCCAACATAGTGAAACCCCGTCTCTACTAAAAATACAAAAATTAGCTAGGGATGGTCATGGGCACTTGTAGTCCCGGCTACTCTGGAGGCTGAGGCAGGAAAATCACTTGAACCCGGGAGGCAGAGGTTGCAGCAAGCCGAGATTATGCCACTGTACTCCAGCCTGGGTGACAAAGCGAGACTCCGTCTCAAAAATAAATAAATAGCTGGGTGCTGTTGCTCATGCCTGTAATCCCAGCACTTTGGGAGGTTGAGGCGGGCGGATCACCTGAGGTCGGGAGTTTGAGACCAGCCTGACCAACATGGAGAAACCCCACCTCTACTGAAAATACAAAATTAGCCGGGCGTGGTGGCACATGCCTATAATTCCAGCTACTCTGGAGGCTAAGGCAGGAGAATCTGTTGAACCAGGGAGGCAGAGGTTGCAGAGAGCCAAGATTGTGCCATTGCACTCCAGCCTGGGCAACAAGAGGGAAACTCCGTCTGAAATAAATAAATAACTAATTTATAAGCGATTATATTAAAGCAAATATTTCTTGAAAGATTTATGTCATAATCCTATCTGTTTTCCAGAAAAGCATCAGATTTTTCTTTGGAAGCATCTGTGGCTGAGATGAAGGAATACATAACAAAGTAAGTTAACCTTTGTTAGAAAATCTAAATTCGTTCTCCCATCTGGGGAAATTAACTAACTTGGAAAAAATGAATAGTAAGCATTGTATTTGGAGAGTCAGCATTAGTGCATCAATACTAGAAGTTAGAAGGCTGCATATTGAGATTTTTATGGACTCTACTAATGATCAATTTCATAGAATGGAGTCTAGAGAATACAAATATTAATTTGACTTGAAGAACTCAGGTTTGATATGATTAAATATTCTCTGAATTGGTCAGGCTTTCTAACCCTGTAATGACCTGTCAACTCACATTTTACATCCAGATTGTACACCTCACATACTTATTGTTACTGTGAGTGATTCAGAATAAGATTATAAAAATTAACTGAACTTTTTTTCCTGATTCTTACAGGTTTTCTTTAGAACGTCAGACTTGGGATCAGCTCTTGCTTCACTACCAGCAGGAGGCTAAAGAGATATTGTCCAGGTTAGATCTATGAACTGTAAAAACTCTTTAAAAATCTTATGGAGTTTGATTGGTGTTTATTTCAGTTCTGTTAGCACAAATTGAAAGATGAATCCTTTCTCACGGGCCAATAAGCTCATCAAATTCTGTAGTGTGTATTAGCACTCTCTGACCAGAAACGGGAAGTGAGTGAGAGGAAGGAAGAGTTGGTGTCACTATTTTCAGTCCAAGAACACAATTGTTTCTGTTCTGTGTCCTTGGCTAACATTTCATATCCTGGGGGAGACAGACACATCTCTGCATTGTATCTGGCAGCCTGGGGTTGGGCCAAGAACAGTAACCAAGGGGCTTCAGTGAGCACATGGCCTATGAGCTGCAGGTTTGGGGGATGCCCTTGGCCAGGGCCTTCTTGGAGACAGAAAGACATGAAAGTGGGTGATGAGGAAGATTGAGGAAAGAGAGGATCTTTGGGTCTTGAAGGTAGAGGAAAAGTAGGAAAGTGCTAGGTGTTGTTTTGTTTTGTTTTGTTTTGTTTTGGAGACAGACTCTCGCTCTGTTGCCAAGGCTGGAGTGCATGGCGCCATCTGAGCTCACTCTGCCTCCCGGGTTCAAGCAATTTTCCTGCCTCAGCCTCCTGAGTAGCTGGGACTACAGGTGTCTGCCATGATGCGTGGCTAATTTTTGTATTTTTAGTAGAGACAGGATTTCACCATGTTGGCCAGGCTGGGCTGGGTGTTTTTTTGTTGTTTTTTTGTTTGTTTTTTTGCTCTGTCGCCCAGGCTGGAATGCAGTGGCACGATCTCGGCTCACTGCAGCCTCCAACTCCCTAGTTCAGGCGATTCTCCTGCCTCAGCCTCCCGAGTAGCTGGGATTACAGGCATGCTCCACCACACCCCACTAATTTTTGTATTTTTAGTAGAGACAGGGTTTTGCCATGTTGGCCAGGCTGGTCGTGAACTCCTGGCCTCAAGTGATCTGCCCATCTTGGCCTCCCAATGTGTTGAGATTACAGGTGTAAGCCACAGCACCTGGCCAGAAAATGCTAGATTTTGATTTAGTTGAACATTTAAACCATGGTTTTAAGCTTTTTTTTGAGATAGAATCAGCTAGAATCCCAACTACAAAATGTTAGTCAAAACCCTAATTACAAAAGTGGCCTCTCAGTAGAGAGGGGCTTTGAGGAGCATGGTTTGAAAAATTTCCCCAATCCAGGTAATGATGGTTATCAGTTACTTTATTCACCCCTTACATACTGTATTTATGAAGATAGATAATGTGTAAGATGCTAGTTTCAGATAAAATCTTTTGTGGCAAAGCTTGTAGGTTAAGAGGAATGGTTCTGGAAGCAGACTGTCTGTTCAGACTCTAACTGTTCCTTAGTTTTGTGACCTTGGGCAAGTCACTTAGTCTTGAATGAGCCTGAGGTTCCTCATTTGAAAATGGGGATGATATTAGTACCTTCCTCATTGGGTTATTGTGTCAAATTAGGTTAAATGTAAAGTGCCCAGTAATATCTGGCATATACTTAGCACTCAGTAAATTGTAGTAGTTGTTGTTATTAAAGTTGTTGTTCATCAGTTTTCATGAACTCTCAGTCCTGTTCAGTTATTTTAGATAATTGAAGTAGGCCAGCATGTTTTGGTAAACAATTATAGACACTGACTTTAGGATAGTAAGCTTTGGCTTCACTCTCTCCCAAGTATAGTCCTTCTGGTATATGGACCTTACTATTAAGTGGATTCAACTGACTGGAAGCTTCCAGCATTTCCTGGAGTCCGGAGGTATAAAGACATGAATACTAGACAATTGTTTCAGAACTTCTTGTTAAGGCCAGGCGCGGTGGCTCACGCCTGTAATTCCAGCACTTTGGGAGGCCGAAGCGGGCAGATCACAAGTTCAGGAGTTCGAGACCAGCCTGGCCAACATGGTGAAACCTCGTCTCTACTAAAAATACAAAAAATTAGCTGGGCATGGTGGCAGGTGCCTGAAATCCCAGCTACTCAGGAGGCTGAGGCAGGAAAATTGCTTGAACCCGGGAGGCAGAGGTTGCAGTGAGCCGAGACCTGAGACCGCACCACTGCACTCCATCCTGGGCAACAGAGTGAGACTCCATCTCAAAAACAAACAAACAAACAAAAAAAAACCTTTCTGTTAAGAAGTGAGCCTATAGCTAGCGTAGAGTGGAGGAATACTGATTCAGCTTTATAGGATAATCTTTGGTATCTCTTCCAGAAAATAATTACAGAATCTCTCAAAAGCTCTTGTGTTTTGTTTTTAGAGGATCAACTGAGGCCAAAATTACTGAGGTCAAAGTGGAACCTATGACATATCTTGGGTCTTCTCAGAATGAAGTTCTTAATACAAAACCTGACTACCAGAAAATATTACAGAACCAGAGCAAAGTCTTTGACTGTATGGAGTTGGTGGTAAGTGGGCTCATGTTTATTTAGTTGAGTTATCCAGCTTTGCCACCTTGTAATCCTTGGAAATTAAAAGACCTGGAGAAATGTATAAGTGTAAGTTGAATATGTATATTCAACTCTACCTTAGGAAAACATGGAGAGACAATTAAAAAATAATAAACAAATGAATATATAGTGGTAAATGCTGATGAAGCAGGGTAAGAGAGACAGACAGTATAGGGAGGTTGGTGGGTTGCTATTTTATATAGCAAGGTTATTGAAGGCTCCTCTGAGGTGCCATTTCAACAGACTTGAAGGAAATGAGCCATGAGGACGTTTGAGGGAGTAGTGTTGTGTCAAACCAGGTATTAATAGCAAGCAGATGGCATTTGAAAGGACAATTCAAGGAGAGTTTATTTTCAGAAAGGCTAAATAGAAAGGTATGGGTATTGGAGAACCACAAGGGTTAGTGGAGTAACCTGGGGCTTATAGGCAGTAGAGCTCTTACTCCTCCTAGGACTCAAAGGGAGGAGGGAGTAGCAGTTACTGTGGCATCTAATGGGAGAAAGTCACATGGTTAGCTGAGTTGAGCCAACTCAAGATGACTCGTTCAGCTCCTTCCCACTTAGGCATCCTGTTGGTAGAGGTTACATGGGTCAGCCTCCTGGAGCATAGAGCAGCCTGGAGAAGAATGTGGTGTGACTTTGGAGGAACAAACAGAATTATCTGGCATAAGCATTCCAGGCTGAAAGAACAGCAAGCCCAGAGCTCCTGAGCAAGAGCTTGCTTGTCAGGTTTGAGGAACATCCAAGAAGCCATGGACCTTTACAGCTCACAGCTGTCTTTTTTCTACAGATGGATGAACTGCAAGGATCAGTGAAACAGCTGCAGGCCTTTATGGATGAAAGTACCCAGTGCTTCCAGAAGGTGTCAGTACAGCTCGGTAAGCTTGTCTCTTGAGGGGACCAGAGTTCAGGCTGTTTTCCATGATAGCCTTTGGGATACAAACTGCCCTTCAAAGCCTATGGTCCAAGAGGGTAAGACCTATATGAGGTGATTTGTTTTTCTCCCCACAATAAATAGTATGTTATGGGTACTCAGAGTTGATAGGAAATTTCTAGATGTAAATTCTACAGAAGCACAGTAGACTGAGAATTAAATCCCCATGAAATATGTTGTTGTTTTGGTAAATCCAAGACTTAAGAAATACCCACCCATTGCTTTTTCCCTCTTCATTTCTCAAGAATTCACTAAGTGACACTGACATTACTCCTCCCTAGCTTTTCCTGACCTCCTTCCAGCCCTAAATTATTGGCTATACATACCTTCATTTTCTTTCTTCTTCTACTTTTTTTTTGGGCTGGGGGGGCAAAGTCTCTCGCTTTGTCATCCAGGTTGGAGTGAATGGCACAATGACTGCACAGCTCACTGCAGCCTCAACCTGATAGGCTCAAGCAGTCCTTTCACCTCAGGCTCCCAGAGTAGCTGGGACTAAAAGCATGCACCACCACCACCACACCCAGCTAAATTTTTAATTTTTTTGTAGAGATGGGGTCCCCCTGTTTGTCCAGGCTGGTCTTCAACTCCTGGGCTCAAGTGATCATCCTGCCTCAGCCTCCCAAAGTGCTGGGATTACAAGTGTGAGCCACTGCACCTGACCATCTTGTTTTTTTGGGTTTTTTTGTTTGTTTTTTTTTTTGAGACGGAGTTTCACTCTTGTTGCCCAGGCTAGAGTGCAATGGTGCGATCTCGGCTCACTGCAACCTCTGCTTCCCGGGTTCAAGGGATTCTTCTGCCTCAGCCTCCCGAGTAGCTGGGATTACAGGCATGCTCCACCATGCCCGGCTAATTTTATATTTTTAGTAGAGACGGGGTTTCTCCATGTTGGTCAGGCTGGTCTCGAACTCCTGACTTCAGGTGATCCACCTGCCTTGGCCTCCCAAAGTGCTGGGATTACAGGCATGAGCCACTGCTCCCAGCCTCCATCTTCTTATTGATCACATTGTATTGTGATTGTAGTGGTGGCTGGCTTTCTTTCTTTCTTTCTTTTTCTTTTTTTTTTTTTTTTTTGAGACAGTCTCGCTCTGTTGCCCAGGCTAGAGTGCAGTGGCATGATCTTGGCTCACTGCAACCTCTGCCTCTGGAGTTCAAGATATTCTCCCACCTCAGCTGCCTGAGTAGCTGGGATTACAGGCATGTGCCACCATGCCTGGCTAATTTTTGTATTTTTAGTAGAGATGGGGTTTCACCATGTTGGTCAGGCTGGTCTTGAACTTCTGACCGCAAGTGATCTGCCCATGTTGGCTTTCCAAAGTGTTGGGATTACAGGGATTACAGGCATGAGCCACCCTTTTTTTTTTTTTTTTTAGACAGGGTCTTGCTCTGTTGCCCAGGGTGGAATACAGGGGCGCAGTCATGACTCATTGCAGCCTCAACTTTCTGGGCTCCCAGGTGATCCTCTTGCCTCCCATGTAGTTGGAGGATCGTGCTAGGACCATGCTAGGCTAATTGTTTTTTTTTTTTTTGTAGAGACAAGGTCTTACTGTGTTGCCCAGGCTAGTCTCAAACTCCTGGGCTCAAGGAATCGTCCCGCCTTGGTCTCCCAAAGTGCTGGGATTACAGGCGTGAGCCACCATGCCCAGCTGTGGCTGGCATTCTTACCAAATTGTCATCTCCTTGAGGCCAGAGACTCTCTTATTTGTCTTTGTAATGCCCTTCCATGTGTGTCACAATGTCCCTACATTAAGTTTTCAATAAATGTTACGTTATTTCAATTGAAATTTATTTTTTGGCCTCTTTTCTCTGCAGGAAAGAGAAGCATGCAACAATTAGATCCCTCACCAGCTCGAAAACTGTTGAAGCTTCAGCTACAGAACCCACCTGCCATACATGGATCTGGATCTGGATCTTGTCAGTGACTTTATGAGAGTTTCTGCCACAAGGTGCCCAAGAGGAGAGGAATGGGAAGAGTGCCCCAGCACGTGGTGACTGCGTGATTTCTGCTCGTTGCCTTTGAAGATAACTGGCAGGACTGACTGTAGAACACTTTGACTTTTTTCAAAAAGTGATGGAATTTGTACATCCAAATGAATATTGTATAGACAATTTTCCCAGGAATGTGCAAAATGCTTGAAAGTTCAAACTTCTTTTTTGAAATGATCTTCAGATCCAGTGGCCCATTCTTTTATCTTTATCCTGTGAAGGTGTTTTTCAGGTTTTGAAACAATCCAAAAATCATTTAGGACCAAGTCTAAGGAAACATTTTAGTGGCCAAGTTGGATTCCGATTGTAAAGGAATGATACTAATTTTCTAGCATGGCTCTGAAGGTGATTTTAGGTAGAAGAGTTTTGAGGCTGGGCGCAATGGCTCACGCCTGTAATCCTAGCATTTTGGGTGACTGAGGCGGGTGGATTGCTTGAGCCCAGAAGTTGAAGACCAGCCTGAGAAATAAGGTGAAACCCTGTCTACAAAAAATACAAAAAGTTAGCTGGGTGTGGTGGCGTGTGCCTGTAGTGCTAGCTACTCAGAAGGCTGAGGTGGGAGGATTGTTTGAGCCCAGGAGGTTGAGGCTGCAGTGAGTTCTAATTGCGCCACTGCACTCCAGCCTGAGCGACAGAGTGAGACACTGTCTTAAAAAAAATTAAAAATTGTAAAAAAATGAAAAAAAAAGTTTTGAGCATTATTTGCATCATTGGGATACATATGTCACTTCACAAGATGTTCAATTTGAAGGAAATACCACTCATTCTCTATGTCCTGTTGTCTGTAGTGTGCTTCAGTTTTTCATATTGAGTTGACCTAAATCCTGGATTCATGACAAGAAAGGAGTAAGTACTACTATTCATTGTTCTATTTGTTTATAATCTGTATTATAAAATTGCACATAATTAAAAGCTTTCCCTTGTCTTCATCTATGTTTTGAGTGTATAAACAAAAAGGGAGTGCCGGGTGCGGTGGCTCACACCTATAATCCCAGCACTTTGGGAGGCCAAGGCGGGCAGATTGCCTGAGCTCAGGAGTTCACGACCAGCTTGGGAAACATGGTGAAACCCTGTCTCTACTAAAAATACAAAAAATTAGCCGGGCGTGGCGGTGTGCACTTGTAGTTCCAGATAGGAGGGTGAGGCAGGAGAATTGCTTGAACCCGGGAGGCGGAGGTTGCAGTGAGCCGAGATCGTGCCCTTGTACTCCAGCCTGGGCGACAGAGTGAGACTGTCTCAAAAAAAAAAAAGAGGGAGGGCTGGGCATGGTGGCTCACACCTGTAATCCCAGCACTTTGGGAGGCCGAGGTAGGTGAATCACTTGAGGTCAGGAGTTCGAGACCACCCTCGCCAACATGGTAACCCATATCTATAAAAAAATAGCCGGGTATGGTGGCACACACCTGTAATCCCAGCTATTTGGGAGCCTTAGGCAGGAGAATCACTTGAACCCGGGAGGCAGAGCTTGTGGTGAGCTGAGATAGTGCCACTGCACTCCTGGGCAGTGCTTTTTCCCGGGCGAAAAGGCGAGACTCCATCTCAAAAAAAAAAAACCAAAAAAACTAGGAGGGTTTAACAGAAAATAGGATTCTTTGCCAAGATGCTGAAGTGAACAGTAGTGTTGAGATATACCTCTGCATTAATTATCAGTAGAACACCAACTAGGCCAGGCACTTCAGGAGGCTGAGGTGAGTGGTCGCTTGAGCCCAGAAGTTTGAGGCCAGCCATGGGCAGCATGCCAAAACTCTGTCTACAAAAAATACAAAAATTAGCTGAGAGTGGTGGTGCATACCTGTATTTCCAGCTACTTGGGAGGCTGAAGTGAGAGGATCAATTGAGCCCGGAAGGCCAAGGCTGCAGCAAGACATGATCACAGAACTACATTCCAGCCTGAGCAACAGAGTGAGACCCTATCTCAAAATTAAAAAAAAAAAAAAAAAAAAAGCCACACACACACAAAAAAACCCACCATCTAATTTATTACTTACGTTTCTTATTCTGGCCAGGCATGGTGGCTCACACCTGTAATCCAGCATTTTGGGAGGCTGAAGTGGAAAGATCACTTGGGGCTAGGAGTTCAAGATCAGCCTAGGCAAGATGGTGAGACCCCTGTCCCTACAAAAAATTTAAAAATTTTTTAAAATTTGATGGTGTGTGCCTGTAGTCCTCATGCCTGTAGTCCCAGCTACTCAGGAGGCTGAGGCGGGAAGATCCCTTGAGCTCAGGAGTTCAAGGCTGCAGCGAGCTATGATTGTGCCTATGCACTCCAGCCTAGACAACAGCAAGACCCTGGCTCAAAAACAAGCTAAATAAATAAATAAATCCAGGCAGTAGTGCCATGGCATGCTCATGGCTCACTGGACCCTCAACCTCCTGAGCTCAAGCAATTCTTCCACCTCAGCCTCCCAAACAGCTGGGACTACAGGTGTGCACCACCACATCTGACTAATTTTTGTTTTGTTTTGTTTGAGACAGAGTCTCCCTCTGTTGCCCAGGCTGGAGTGCAGTGGTGCCATTTTGGCTCACTGCAACCTCTGCCTCCCGGATTTAAGTGATTCTTCTGCCTCAGCCTTGCGAGTAGCTGGGATTCCACACATGCACCACCACACCTGGCTAATTTTTGTATTTTTAGTAGAGATGGGGTTTCACCATGTTGGCCAGGCTGGTCTTGAACTCCTGACCTTAGGTGATCCACCCAACTTAGCCTCCCAAAGTGCTGGGATTACAGGCGTGAGCCACCGTGCCTGGCCTAACTTCTGTACTTTCGTAGGAATGCGGTTTCTCCATGTTGCCCAGGCTGGTCTCAAACTGGACTCAAGATATACACCCACCTCAGCCTCCCAAAATGCTGAGATTACAAGTGTGAGCCACTGTGCTCAGCCAAAATAAAATGTTTCTTATTCTCTGATCCCACTAAAGGGACAAATCCCATTTCAGTTAAACACCCAGTCATAATCTTAAGTCTTAAACCTTGGCGCAAGTGCCAGTTAATGAGAAATGACATCTCCTTGCTTGGACCTACATTTGTTCTTTATTCCTTTATATATTTACCGAGTACCCGCCATATGCCACACACAGTTCTAGGATTGGAGGAGGGAGCAAAGAGCAAAAACACATGGGTTCTCTCTCATGATGCTCAGTTTGCTGACGATACAAGGAACAAGAGAAAACTCTGCAGAAGAGATATTTTAGCTGACATGGGAAAGATGAAGGAGTTAAATGGGGCAAGTATTTCAGGCAAAAGGAGAAGCAATTTTCAAAGGCTTGAGGAGGACAGTGGAGCATGCTGGGACACTTAAAAAAAAAAAAAAGAATAAAGCAGGAGTGCTGGGCACCAGTAGAAGACTGGCCTGAGACAAGTATAATTGAAAGTCATTAGAAGGCTTCAAGAAAGGGCGAGAAGATCAGAACTTTATTTTTAAAAGAGTACTCTAGTTGTGGTGTGGGGAAAAGATAGCAAGGTATGGGTGTGGGAGACCAGTTAGGTTATTGCAGGAGTCTAGGAGAGAAATGACAGCTTGTGCTGGGTGTTGGCAGTGGATGAGTGGGGTGGGACTGCTCGTGTTGCCCACAGTGGCTAGAACATAGGCATGTAACCTAGGTGTTAAAAACCTAACTCTAGCCAGGCATGGTGGCTCATGCCTGTAATCCCAGCACTTTGGGAGGCTGAGGTGGGTGGGTCACCTGAGGTCAGGACCAGCCTGGCCAACATGGTGAAACCCCATCTCTACAAAAATACAAAAATTAGCCAAGCATGATGGCAGGTGCCTGTAATCCCAACTACTCAGGAGGCTGAGGTGGGAGAATTGCTGGAACCCGGGAGGGGGTGAAAGTTGTAGTGAGCCGAGATTGTGCCACTGCATTCCAGTCTGGATGACAGAGCAAGACTCTGTCTCAAAAAGAAAAAACCCCTAACTCTGCCATTTATTAACTGTGACTGAAAAATTTATTTAATCTCTTATCTCGAAGGTTGAGAGAATTATAGAACCTATATCACAGGGATGCTGTAAGAATTAAATAATATAAAAGTTTAGCGGTATCAGTATGCTGCAGGAGGTGAAGCCTGAACAGTGGGTAGATGATGGAGCAATTTGAGATGGGAAAGCTCGTTCTATTTGGAATACCAAATGGAGAAATCAACTGGTCTGTCAAATAACACAGGTGGAGAACTGGGTGGAGAAATCGAGACTGGAAATAACATTTGAGAGTTGCTGATGTCTAGTTCTTGATGACTTGAGAATGAATGATATAGTCCACAGTAGAGCAAGAAGGGAAAGTTTGGATGGTCTCATGGAAATCCAACATTTAAGAATCAGAGCAGAGCGGGACACAGTGGCTCATGCCTATAATCCCAGAACTTTGGGAGGCCTAGGCAGGAGGATTGCTTGAGTCCAAGAGTTCTAGACCAGCCTGAGCAACATGGTGAGACCCTCGTCTATATCTATCTCTATCTGTATCTCAAGAATCAGAGAAATGCTCTTAATTGCCTACTCTTTCATAAACAAAGTAGTACAATGGAGAGAGTTGGAGTGAATTTTCCTTTTTCTTTTTTTTTTTTGAGACGGAGTCTCGCTCTGTTGCCCAAGCTGGAGTGCAGCAGCGCAATCTCGGCTCACTGCAAGCTCTGCCTCCCGGGTTCACACCATTCTCCTGCCTCAGCCTCCCGAGTAGCTGGGATTACAGGCACCCGCCACTACGCCCAGCTAATTTTTGTATTTTTAGTAGAGACGGGGTTTCACCTTGTTAGCCAGGATGGTCTCGATTTCCTGACCTCATGATCTGCCCGCCTCAGCCTCCCAAAGTTCTGGGATTACAGGCGTGAGCCACTGCGCCCGGCCATGAATTTTCATTTTATCCTCAATTTCCTCATCTGTAAAATGGGGACAGATTATCTCTCTAAAGATGATTATACCCTCCCCCTTTTTATTTATTACATTGTATTGCATTTTTTGCTTATAAGGATTTCTTCAAACTCAAGAAGTATGTTTTGTGTCTTCAACAGTAAAATACGATAGAACAAAGAAAAATAATACTTACTGAGCTCTAAGCATTTTACATGCATATTATCATTCAGTCTTTGCCACAACCTTGTAACTTCTATTTCTGGGTGTGTGACATAGATGAGGAATTCGGGCATGGAGAGGTGTGGAGAGACTTAATTGTCTAACCAAGGACATAGGGATAAATAGTGGATGGTGAACTAGAACTAATTTGAATTCAGTAAATGTTAACGAACATAAACCATAAAATAAATGGCTGTGCTCAATTAATGTTAGTTTTCCTTCCAACTAAATTCAGTTCAAGAATTGTGCTTGATGAATAACAATATTATTGCTGCCCTCTGAGATGTTTGGTAATATTCATTTGTTCAGTTTGCCTTAATTAAAAGAATATGCTTTTAGTGGCCGGGCGTGGTGGCTCACACCTGTAATCCCAGCACTTTGGGACGCAGAAGCAGGCGGATTGCTTGAGGTCAGGAGTTTGAGACCAGCTTGGCCAACATGGTGAAACCCCATCTCTACTAAAAAAAAAAAAATACAAAAATTACCCAGGCATGGTGGCGCCCGCCTCTAGTCCCAGCTACTTGGGAGGCTGAGGGACTTGGGAACCTGAGCCGAGATGGCGACACTGGCTCGGGTTAAAAGGGCGTGGTGGCTCACACACCTGTAATCCCAGCACTTTGGGAGGCCGAGGCGGGCAGATGACGAGGTCAAGAGATCGAGACCATCCTGGCCAACACGGTGAAAACCCGTCTCTACTAATAATAGAAAAATTAGCCAGGCCCGGTGGCACACGCCTACAGTGCCAGCTACTCGGGAGGCTGAGGCAGGAGAATCGCTTGAACCCAGGAGGCAGAGGTTGCAGTGAGCCGAGATCGCGCTAGTGCACTCCAGCCTGGCGACAGAGTGAGACTCCGTCTCAAAAAACAAAACAAAACAAAACAAAAAAACTTTTAGTCAGTGGTACTTAATGGTAAAGAAATAATAGATAATAAATAGAGGAAGAGTGTGTCCTGTACATTTTGGTGTTAAATTGTTGGGTCATTAAGTTTAATATCTGCAATCATTCTGGGAAAAAAAATTCCATCTCTAATGTTGCATTCAAGAAAGTAGATGATTTGGCTGACGGTTGTAATAGGGGTGATACAATGGAGGACTGGTAATTCGGAGCCCTGAGTCTTGGACTCTAGTTCTTAAATTACTATGTTCATTCACCAAAAATTTACTAAGCTCTTTCCACGTGCCGAGCACTGTGCTAGGCGCCCTGTGACCTTGGGTATGGCTCTAGGTCACCTTAAAAGGAGGATGCCATACCCTGCAAGAGCTCTTAGGGGCTTCATAAGGATGCGACTCAGGGAACTGAGGGAAGCGCTCCAGACGCAGAGCTCAATGGCCCTGCCGCCCAGCGCCTCCAAAATCTGAGATTCTTCTCTGAGGAAACTCCGCAGCAAGAAAAACTACATCAAAGATGGCGCCGCCGGCCTCTCCTGGCTCAGCCACCATCTTCTCGGTAGTTCCCGAGGTGGACGGGCACAGCACTCATGCGCCGCCCTGGCGTCCTCGGCGCGCCTGCGCGGACCGCAGCACCTCCCCCGCCCCTCTCGCCGCCGCCGCCGCCGCCGCCGCCGCCGCCGCCGCCGCCGCTGCTGCTGCACTGACGGCGGGTGCCCGCGCCTCAGGTGAGTGAGCGCCTCCGCCCGGCCCGCGGGGGGCGCGCGGCGCCGCATTCGGGGGCGTCGCTCCTTTGCCCTGCTCCTTCCCCGCATCATCTCCGCGGCACGGCGAGGCCCTGGTGGCCCGTGCTGCTTGCCTCCCCCGTGCCCCCGGGGCCCTCTGCCCCGCCCCGCCCGCCCGCCGGACCCAGGTCAGCCCGGCTTTCCTCGGCCGCTCCCCGCGCCCAGCCCGCCGGCGACAGCGTGTGGGTAGCAAGAGAGCCTCCCTCCGGGCTCAACACCCTGGGTCACAGGGACGCCCCCCGCAGGCGCGAACCCTTCTCTCGCTCTGGCTCTGCAGGCGGCAGAGCTTGGTGGGCCTTGGGGTTGCTCATCCATCTACCTCGCCCGCTCCAAGAGCCCAGATGCTTGGAAGAGGGGCCGTGAGCAGCCCTTGCACCCGTCCGGCCCCAGAGCAGCAGAGGGCATCCTCTAACGGGACCCTACGACTACCCTACCGGGGAGAGGCTTCTTAGCCCCACTTAACAGCCGAGGAAACTGAGGCACGGAAAGGTGAAGTGCCATGCCCAAGGTCACGCAGCTGACAAGTGGCAGGGTCAGCTCTCAACTCAGGGTCTCGGGCTCTCAGGCCAGTGCGGTTGGAATTTGATCTCGTACCTTTGAAAAAATTTTGAAATCACTTGTCATCTCTGAAGTTGCTCTCGAACGTCGTAAAAGTAGGCTGCACAAAAAAGATTTTCTTGTTGTCGGAGTACAATTGAGGTGTTACTGTAATAATAATAGTGTTATTAATATAAGAGCTAACGTTCTTCCACCGCTCGCTGTGTGCCAGGGATCTTGCTAAGCATTTTATTAAGATAACCTCGCATAACCACCTCTGCACTTCCCAATCCAAATGCTTCCCCCTTCCTTGTCATGAAGCCCTTTTTTTCTTCCTGCAGAGCTGGCCTCCCTATCACAGGTAGACTAGGAGCCCCGTGGATTAGGAAGCAGGGAAGCTTTCCTTTGGTGGCTTACTGACAGAACAAGAGTGATCCTTGCCTGCTGGCATCCAGATCACCCCCGCCGCGCCCCCCCCCCCCCTTACCCTGGCCCTCAGGGGATATTATTAGCCTTCCTTTCCTGCCAAGAGAGCAGGACTGGGCTGACTGGGCTAGCTGGGCGGGCTGGACTTGGAGGTGACAGAGCAGATTTGGCTAGCACTCACCTCATTCCGGGGCTTTCTGTCCGAGGCTTTCTGCCTTTGCCCCAAGGTTGGGCTTGAACATTTCAGTATTTAAGATAAAGCAAGAAGAGAAAGAGAACATTGATAGAGTGGTGCTGAATTTAAGAAGCCTCCCATGATTTAAAGTTCCAAATGAACAGCTATAAAAATATGTGAATGTTTCTCCCCCAAAATAACTAGCTCAAACTGTCGTTTTTCTCCCTTAGCAAATCCTCCTCCACATTTCAAAGGCTCCACTAAATCACCACCTTCTCTGTGAAGCCTTCCCTGCTTGATTTTCCCAATTAGAATTACACGTTCACAAAACAGGGTCTTAGCCTCAGTCTTACCCTGCGGACTTCTAGCCCCTTGAGGGCATGGTCCATCTTTGCAGCTCCAGATGCCTGGCTCACAGTAGATCCTTGGTAAGGACTCAGTTAATTTCCACCCCCCCTTTTCATTACTCAAAGCGTGGTGTTCTTCTGGTGCCCTTCTGTTCCTCCTTCCTGCCCTTCAGTTTCTCTTTGCTTGTCTCTTCCTTCAGATTAAACTTGTCATCACCATTTACCACTCAAAGGCCTCCATCCACCCTGTTGTTTTTGAAAACTTGCAGATAAGAGTCTTGCATCAAAAAGCCTGTTTATGGACCGGGCGCTGCGGCTCACGCCTGTAATCCCAGCACTTTGGGAGGCCGAGGTGGGTGGATCACGAGTTCGGGAGATGGAGACCATCCTGGCTAATACGGGGAAACCCCGTCTGTACTAAAAAATAACAGAAAATTAGCCGCGTGTGGTGGTGGGCGCCTGTAGTCCCAGCTACTCGGGAGGCTGAGGCAGGAGAATGGCGTGAACCCGGGAGCTGGAGCTTGCAGTGAGCCGAGATCGCGCCACTGCACTCCAGCCTGGGCAACAGAGCTCCGTCTCAAAAAAAAAAAAAAAAAAAAAGCTTGTTTATGTTACTTGAACGTGCACTCACGATTGAGCTGCTTTTGTTTTTTGTTTGTTTTTTGTTTGTTTTTGTTTGTTTTTTGAGACGGAGTCTCGCTCTGTTGCCCAGGCTGGAGTACAGTGGCGCCATCTCGGCTCACTGCAAGCTCCGCCTCCCAGATTCACGCCATTCTCCTGCCTCAGCCTCCTGAGCAGCTGGGACTACAGGTGCTCGCCACCACCCCCAGCTAATTTTTTTTGTATTTTTTTAGTAGAGACAGGGTTTCACCGTGTTAGCCAGGATGGTCTCGATTTCCTGACCTCGTGATCCGCCTGCCTCGGCCTCCCATAGTGCTGGGATTACAGGCGTGAGCCACCAAGCCAGGCCGAGCTGCTTTTGTTTTATTATTATTATTATTATTTTTTGAGACGGAGTTTCGCTCTTGTTGCCCAGGCTGGAGTGCAGTGGCGCAATCTCGGCTCACTGCAACCTCCGCATCCTGGGTTCAAGCGATTTTCCTGCCTCAGCCACCCAAGTAGCTGGAATTACAGGCGCCCGCCACCATGCCCAGCTATTTTTTGTATTTTTAGTGGAGACGGATTTTCACCATGTTGGCCAAGCTGGTCTTGAATTCCTGACCTCAGGTGATCCGCCTGCCTCTGCCTCCCAAAGTGGTGGGATTACAGGCGTGAGCCTCCGAGCCCGGCTGCTTTTGTTTTATTCTAAATTGTTACTTCTGAGCAGGGAAAAATGCCTGTTTACAGTGGAGTTGGTATATGCTATTTCGATGTACAGGGTACTTTTCATTTGCATGTTGCAGTAGGATAGTCTGAGGCTTATACCCCTTTAGTCTGTCCCTCAATGCATGAGAAATCCATTTTTACATTCTTTTGCCCTCTGTGGCTGATTGCCCCTGGTTGTATCAAAGTAATCACAATTTTTACTGTATATCATTACATGGTATTTATAATAATAAATATTCAAAAAGGTCCTTTGGGAGGCAGCAGATATGTGCATAGATTCTTTATTTAAATGAAGGTTCTTAAAGAGTTTTTCCAAATAATTTTCTGTAAATATATTGACTATGGGTAAGGCATGGATGTATGGCGCCTGATATGGTGGAAGATTCACAGTTGAATCAAACAGGTTCCTGTTGAGAGAACTTACTAGCTAATTGGGAAACATTGTCTTTAACTGTACTAAAATCAAGTCTAAACATTCCCATATTAATGTTACAAGCAAAGCAATATTAGACTATAATGGAATAAGATATTCCTACATGGGGTGTTTCATAAAATTGTATGTTATTCAGGATGAAATGGAGCATCGAGTCATTAAGTCCATCCTTCTCACTTAGCACTGTGATTTTTAAAAATTCATTTACCAAAGAAAGCCCTGAAACCTGGTAAATATCCATAATCAAGCTAGCTAAGTTTTTGTGTGCTATTTTCAAGCACTATTAAGAAAGAAAGGTGGCGGGGGGCACCTTGAGAATTGAACTTGTCCAAGGTCGCAGAACTGGCTACAACTTGAAATTCCAGACTTTTTAGCCACTAAAGGTTTATCAGTATTTCTTCTCAGTGAATTCATCCTTAAAGACATTAACTAGCAACTCTATTATGATTCTATTTATGTGCTTAGAACAGGGGTGGGAGAAGACATACAAAAACATGATTCATGTCTTCAAGGAGGTTATGGTCTGTTGGGGAAGAGTAAAGCACTGTTCTCTAATGTTGAAGTCAGCGTATATATAATTGTTAAATTATATGGTAGGGGGACTAGCTGTATCATGGGAGCTGGGGAAAGGGGGCAAGAAGGATCAGTATGAGATGTGGTGGTGAGACCACTTTGGGTTTTGACTTTCTGGGCTTTGACAGGTGGATAGGGTCAGAATTAATCAAAAGGACAGGAAAACATTTTGAATCGGGGCTGATAAAACAGACAAGATAGCAGTGCCTGCCATGTTTAACGGACAGTAAAAAAATTGGCTTGGCTGGCTTAGAGCAGTGGTTCTCAATCTTTAGTGTGCACCAGCATTACCTTGAGAGCTTATTAAAACCCATATTCCTGGGCTCGACCTTCAGAGTTTCTGATTCATTAGTTCTGGAGTGGAATCCGAGAATTTGCAGTTCTAACAAGTTCCCAGATGATGCTGATGCTGCTGGTCTAAGGATCACACTTTGAGAACCACTTGATTAGAAGGTTGAGCAGCTAGAGTCAGAAACTGTCAAATAACTTGTTTCAAAAAAGTGCGTGTGAGTCAGGTGTGGGGGTATACTGACATAGGAGAGTTCTGGAAAGATATATACCAAGCTCTAATGGTCCTCACTTCTGGGAGTAAGATTTAGAGGCTTGGGGAATTTACTTTTTTACCTTTCTATATTATTTTTGCATTGTGCACATAATGCTTTTGTGTTTTAAAAATGAAAGAAAAATAAGAATCTTTTTTGAAGATATATAGTAAAATATTTATGGATTAAAAAAAGAGCTTGCTAAAGTAATCTAGTGTCATCCAACAAACATTTTTAGAGTGTCTGCTATATGCCAGATGCTGCTAGCTTCTGGAAATACAAAGCCTTTGCTAAAGCTTGCAGGCTGGTGATGGTGATTGAGATGGGCAGATAGCAGCTTTACTTGGTATCACGTAAGCTTCCTAAGAGCAGGGACCAGGGTCTAGCTCTGTGCTTGGCTGATAATAGGCGCTTAGTAAATGATGAATGAATGAACAAATCCGGGTAAGAAGTGAAGACAGAAGGAAAGAAAAAAAGGCCAAATGGGAGATTCTGGAAGAAAACGGACAAGCCTGGATAGGAATGGTGAAAGGAAGGGGTGCATCAAAAAGTACTTTCAAGTGCAAAGATTGATAACATTTTGGGTTTACTGCAGAACTGGATGTCAAATTGTTTCTTCTAAAAGATTCCCCCCCCACCTTTCTTTTTTAATAGCACTTGAAAATAGCACACGAAAACTTAGCTAGCTTGATTATGGATATTTACCAGGTTTCAGGGCCTTCTTTGGTAAATGAATTTTTAAAAATCACAGTGCTAATTCTATAAAACTAATGTATAATATTTACCTACAATTAATTGTTCTCTCATTCATGTGAAATTAACTGATATATGAAGGGTGTTTTGCATGTTATACAAAAATGGGTAGTATTATGTCTTTTGATTTTATCTCTTCAGTGAAAGGGCTAGTAGTCCACTCAGAGTTCTGTGATATGTCTCATAGTACATGACAGAATTTGACATTTTATCAGTTGTAAATAAAAATTTGTTGCCCAGGTGTGGTGGCTCACGCCTGTAATCCCAGCACTTTAGGAGTCCGAGGCGGGCGGATCACGAGGTCAGGAGTTCGAGACTAGCCTGGCCAACATGGCAAACTGTCTCTACTAAAAATGCAAAAATTAGCCGGGTATGGTGGCACACATCTGTAGTCCCAGCTACTCGGGAGGCCGAGGCAGGAGAATCGCTTGAACCCGGGAGGCAGAGGTTGTGGTGAGCCGAGATCACACCATTGCACTCCAGCCTGGGTGATAGAGCGAGACTCCGTCTCAAAAAACAAAAAAAAATTGTTGTTGATGGCCAACTGGGGTGCACTTTGGAGGAATCCGGCTTCTTTGCATTCTGAATTTAATTCTTTATAAACACTAATTGCAGTGGCAAACATTAATTAATGTTATTGATATGGAGCTGGTATCCTCCCTGGATTTGGGAAGAATGTGTTATATGGAGTCTTTTTGTGTGGAGATGCCACTTTTTATCTTCCCTAGAGATTTAATATAGTAAATGAAGATTAATTTTCTAAGTACAGTGGTGGTTTCCGCCAGGCTTTAGCTATAGCATTTGACAATAATCCCCTTATTACCTAAAAGTGCCCATGGTCTACAGTCTGGGGTTTTCAATTGATCAAGTAGAATTCTGGATATAGCCACTCTTTATACTTAATTTTATTACTTATTAGGTTTTTCTATTGTAAGGTTTACGGTTTTTTTTTTTTTTTTTTTTTTTGAGACGGAGTCTCGCTCTGTCACCCAGGCTAGGGTGCAGTGGTGTGATCTCAGCTCACTGCAAGCTCCGCCTACCAGGTTCACGCCATTCTCCTGCCTCAGCCTCCCGAGTAGCTGGGACTACAGGCGCCCGCCACCGCACCCGGCTAATTTTTTGTATTTTTAGTAGAGACGGGGTTTCACCATGGTCTCGATCTCCTGACCTCATGATCCGCCCACCTCAGCCTCCCAAAGTGCTGGGATTATAGGCGTGAGCCACCGGCGCCCGGCCGAGACAGGGTTTCACTGTGTTAGCCAGGATGGTCAGGATCTCCTGACCTCGTGATCCGCCCACCTCAGGCTCCCAAACTGCTGGGATTACAGGTGTGAGCCACTGTGCCTGGCCCAGTGCTTCTATATTTTTAAGGCTGAATTTTCTTTCATGGATACAAGTTGACAGCTTTTTTTTTTTTTTCTTTTTTTTTGAGGCGGAGTCTCACTCCGTTGCCCAAGCTGGAGTGCAGTGGGGCGATCCCGGCTCACTGCAACCTCCGCCTCCCAGGTTCATGGGATTTTCCTGCCTCAGGCTCCCGAGTAGCTAGGATTACAGGCCCATGCCACCACACCTGGCTCATTTTTGCATTTTTAGTAGAGACGAGGTTTCACCATGTTGGTCAGGCTGGTCTCGATCTCCTGACCTCGTGATCCGCCAGCCTCGGCCTCCCAAAGTGCTGGGATTACAGGCATGAGCCACTGTGCCTGGCCTTTTTTTTTTTTTTTTTTTTTTTTTTTTTTTTGAGATGGGGTCTCGTTTTGTCACCCAGGCTGGAGTGCAGTGGCAGGATTTCGGCTTACTGCAGCCTCTGCCTCCCGAGTTCAAGCCATTCTCCTGCCTCAGCCTCCTGAGTAGCTGGGAAGTAGCTGGGATTACAGGTGCATGCCATCACCCCTGACTAATTTTTGTATTTTTAGTAGAGATGGGGTTTCACCATGTTAGCCAGACTGGTCTTGAACTCCTGACCTCAGGTGATCCACCCGCCTCGGCCTCCCAAAGTGCTGGGATTACAGGCATGAGCCACTCTGGCTGGTTCCTTTTTTTTTTTTTTTTTGAGACAGTTTTTTACTCTGTGGTCCAGGCTGGAGTGCAGTGGCATGATCTCAGTTCACTGCAACCTCTGCCTCCCAGGTTCAAGCAGTTCTCCTGCCTCAGCCTCCCGAGTAGCTGGGATTACAGGTGCATGCCACCACACCTGACTAATTTTTGTATTTTTAGTAGAGATGGGGTTTCACCATGTTGGCCAGGCTTGTCTCAAACTCCTCACCTCAAGTGATCCGCCCACCCCGGCCTCCCAAAGTGTTGGGATTACAGGCGTGAGCCACTATGCCTAGCCCCATTTTTTAACTTTTGAAGGTGTTGCTTTTTTTTTTTGCAAAGGAGTTTTGCTCTTTTGCCCGGTCTAGAGTGAAGTGGTGAAGTGGTGTGATCTCGGCTCACTGCAACCTCTGTCCCCCGGATTCAAGCAATTCTCCTGCCTCAGTCTCTCGTGTAGCTGGGATTATAGGTACCTGCCACCATGCCTGGCTAATTTTTGTATTTTTATTAGAGACGGGGTTTCACCATGTTGGCCAGGCTGGTCTCGAACTCCTGCCTTGGCCTCCGAAAGTGCTAGGAGAAAGTGTTGCTTTTAAGTCATTTTGTTGGGATGGTTTTAACCAGGGTGTTCACTAAAATATAACTTTGGATGATTAGTCCACAGGTTGTATTGCATTTCCAATACCCCCAGGTAGGTACAAGTCTCATATTAAAGTAGTAATGATAATAACGATACCTAAATTTTGTATGGGGTTTAGAATTTTTTTTTTTTTTTTGAGACAGAGTCTTGCTCTGTCACCAGGCTGGAGTGCGGTGGCACAATCTCAGCTCACTGCAACCTCCACCCCCTAGGTTCAAGCAGTTCTCATGCCTCAGCCTCCTGAGTAGCTGAGACAACAGGTGACCGCCACCATGCCTGGCGAATTTTTTGTATTTTTGGTGGAGGTGAGTTTCACCATGTTGGCCAGGCTGGTCTCAAACTCCGCCCACCTCAGCCTCTCAAAGTGCTGGTATTACAGGTATCAGCCACTGCGCCCAGCCAATTTTCAGAATTATTTTATAGTAACATCCTGGTAAGCTCCCGTAACCTAACCTGAGAATATGCATTAGAAGGATTAATGATCAGATGGCATCAAGTGGGGAAAATTGGTTATAGAGGTCAGGATGCAGATTGCTCAGGTTCAAATCCTTGCTCTGCTGCTTGCTAGCTGTGTGACCTTTGGCAAATTACAATACCCCGTCCGAGCTTCAGTTTCTTCATCTGTAAAATGGGGTGGATTAAATATGTTGGGAAGCACAATGAAATAATGAATCCATAAAGTGCTTATCACGGTACCTGGCATAGTGTTAAGCGCTCAATAAATTTGGCTCGTATGAGTATTATATACTGCATTTTAGGGCTCTTGTTTGTCCTTTACCTCACTCAGGCTGCCTTAAAGTACAAATTGTTTTTAGGGATTCCGCCTTACAGCTGGCAGGAACCTGGAGCCATCTAAGAGCACACCCCAGGGCTTTGCTGGTGGTAGCTTTCCTCGTGTCCTGAGTTGCCTTCTTCAGGAGTGGAAGGCAGGGGGTTGTGCTTCTGCTTTTAGAGTTACTTTAGTATGACTCCTGTGTTAAAACTTCCGCTGGCCGATGGGTGTCTGGGATTAACAAGAAGGCTCCTAGATGGGTCTTGCTTTGTTCTAGCAGTTATTTATACCAGGACCCTGGAAGGGATAGAATTAATATATAAGACAGACTCAGATTTCCAGCTTGGCAGTCTCTACAAACCTCTCATTTACCACCTGCTGCCAGAACCCAGGAGTGACACAACAGGAAGGTGGGCCTATTGCAGGGGTTGCTGCCCTTTTCCTTTCAGGAAAATATGAGGGGTGTGAATGGCCCTTATCTAGGCCTGAGGATGAGCAGGGGTACTTCCTGTTACAGTGAGGATCTGTGAGCATATCAGCTACTTAAGTAGCTGCCTTTGATCCTTCCCCACCCCTTAGCTTATGGAGATAGGGGGGATAGCATCTCTGAGAGAATTTCTTCTGGCGAAGAGGTACCCAGACTTTCCTTTATGCAGTGAAAAATCTCAGCTGCATTTTTAAAAGTCTTCCATGGAGCTGGGTGGTTTGGCTTGTTTATCTGGCTTCCTGGGGGAGTCTCCTGAGATCCTTTGCTTTCCTAAGGGCCCCCAGGAGACAGCAGTAGAACCAACATCCATTACCGTAGACACTTGAGGGGATGTTTAAGTCAATAGTTTTAGGATTAGATTAATTCAGCCTTTAACCCTGAGGAAACTTAAGAGCCAAGTCATCAGATAATTGTGCATCTTCTAGACTGAAGTATGGAATTTAGCCCAGTACTCTGGGATCTCTTTCAGAGCTGAGCTAGGAATCCGCATGCTAGTTCCAGCTCCACACCTAGCTGGCTGTGTGAATTCAGAAATCACTTAAATTTTCTGGGCCTCTTTTCTCATTGGAGAATGAGGGCATTACTGTAAACCAGTGGTTCTTAGCCCTAGCTGCATGTAAGAATTACCTGTGAAGCTTTAAAAACAATACTCAGGCCCTACGTTAGCCCAATTAAATTGGATCTTTAAGGTTGGGGCTGAGTCATTGATAATCTTCACTGCTTCCCAGGTTTAAGTGTAGCTAAGATAACTACGTGGACAACATGACCAAGTTTTAAACAACTGAAAAAAGTTAAGCTTCTGTGTCATTCTGCTCCTCAGAAACCTTCAGGGGTTGTCTGTGTAGTAAAGTCCAGCTCAGGTGCTCTGCATTCTGACCTAGGCTACTTCTGCAGCTTGTCTTCTTTCCCAGCTATATTGTTCTTGGTGTCTCCTGAATGTATTGTCTTTTTTTTTTTTTTTTTTTTTTTGAGACAGGGCCTCGCTCTGCCCAGGCTGGAGTGCAATGGTGCAATCTCGGCTCACTGCAACCTCCACCCCCTGGGTTCAAGCCTCAGCCTCCTGAGCTGGGATTAAGGCATGCGCCATCATGCTCAGCTAATTTTTGTATTATTAGTGGAAATGGGGTTTCACTTTGTTGGCCAGGCTGATCTTGAACTTCTGACCTCAAGTGATCCTCCCACCTCAGCCTCCCAAAGTGCTGGGATTACAGGTGCCCTGCCTGAGTGTATTGTCTTTAATTCTTTCTTTCCCAACCCTGATGTCCTCACCTGTATGTCCCTCCTCCCTTCCCCTGTTCAAAACATATCCCTTTAGGGCCCATCATTCTCCCTTCCCTTGGGAAACTCCTGACCATCCTAATCCTTAGTTATTTCTCCTGCCTCTGCATTGGTTTTGAGCTTCATTAGCTCTGAGTGTATGTTCCAAACACTAGCTGCAATGTAAACATGATAACTCAAGCAGCATTCAATCCTTCAGAGAGTGGGACACATGGAAATACAGGTTGAGTATCCCTTATCCAAAATGCTTGGGACCAGAAGTGTTTCAGGTTTTGGATTTTTTCCAATTTTGGAATATTTGAATTATACTTACCAGTTGAGCATCCCTAATCTGAAAATCTAAAATCCGAGTGCTCCAATGAGCATTTAGTCTGAGCGTCATGTCAGTGCTCAAAAAGTTTTGGATTTTGAAGCACTTCGGATTTTGGATTTTCAGATTAGAGATGCTCAACATGTGCCACTGGGGTGACTTGTATACTGTTAAACGTGTGATATGGTGTATTGTTGGCTATGTCATTATGTATGTATATCTTGTAAATATTAGTTGATGGATAGCTATCCATGACCAGCCTCCAGCTGTCATTTTTACCCTTATTTCCTATTTCCAGCAGACCTTGTGCTTTCTCATCTCCTTGCCTTTAAGTTATCCTCCCTTTCTGGAATTTCCTCTTTTATTCTTATTCTCATTTACAGGAATTTTATCTATTTCTCAAGGTGCAGTTCAGATATTACCTCCTCCATGAAACTTCTTCCCAGCACCCACAAGCTGCAGTGACTCGATTATGCCCTAAACCTCTGTAACCCTTAGAGCAGTGCTTCTCAATTGGGAGTGATTTTGCCCCAAAGAGGACATTTGGCATTATCTGGAGACATGTTTGGCTGTCACAGCTGTTGGGGGAGTGTGCCACTGTCATCTAGTATTGGAGGCCAGGGATGCTGCTACACATTCTGCAATGCATAGAACAGACCTCCCACAACAAAAAATCATCTGGCCTAAAATGTCAGTTGTGCCAAGGTTGAGAAACTGCCTTTGAGTTTGTCCAGTTCATAAGCTTCTATGTATACTGCCTCGAACTGTAACAATTTGTTTATAGACCTTATCTCCCCTATTTAATTGAATTAATAGGTAAAGACTAATTCCAGTCCCCCATCTGTGCTTTCTTGTTATTCACTACATATCAGGGCTTAATCCTAGAGCCTGTGGCCTAATCCTAACTGCTTAAGCAGAGATAAAGACATGTTCAGTGCGGAGTGGGTGTGGTGAGGCAGTCTTCTCAATTCTGAATTTCTCTTCTTTTCACTCTCAGTCTTTTCATCTGTGATGACCTGGGAGAAAGTGTGATTTAGGGCATAAAATGAGCATTTGGGATCGGAAGACCTGGGTTTCAGTTCCAGCTGTGCCATTTATTAGTTGTGGTATTTTGGTCAGTCCATGTCACCTCTTTTTTTTTTTTTGAGACGGAGTCTCGCTCTGTCACTCAGGCTGGAGTGCAATGGCACGATCTCAGCTCACTGCAAAGGTGATCCGCCTGCCTTGGCCTCCCAAAGTGCTGGGATTACAGGCGTGAGCCACCGTGCCCAGGCATGTCACCTCTTTCAGCCTCAGTTTCTTCATGTCTGTTGGTAGCCATGATGCCAGTGCCTCAGTGTTTTAGCTCACGGTGCCATCATAATAATCCAGTGAGATGTTAAATGTGAAGGTGCTCTGTAGATTGGAAAGTGCTGTAATGATTACTCATATAGCCACTGTTCAAAGGTATAAAGAGAGAGGATGTGAATCTGTTTGCTTAGGAGCTCTGCTGACTGCCTTCCCAGCCAGTCCCGTGGCCACTTCCTGTGGCTTTCTAACCATAACTGCTTCAGCACCAGCTCCAGCTGACCCTTTCCAGATTATTCTCTCCAGTATGCCCCCTTTGTTTGTTGCCGTCATTCTGTGTGTTTTTTATTTTTTTTTATTTTTTTTTTGAGATGGAGTCTCGCTCTGTCACCCAGGCTAGAGTGTAGTGGCGTGATCTCGGCTCACTGCAAGCTCTGCCTCAGCCTGCCGAGTAGCTGGACTACAGGCACCTGCAACCTCTCCCGGCTAATTTTTTGTATATTTAGTAGAGACGGGGTTTCACCATGTTGGCCAGGATGGTCTCAATCTCTTGCCCTCGTGATCCGCCCGCCTTGGCCTCCCAAAGTGCTGGGATTACAGGCGTGAGCCACCGCGCCCGGCCATACCTTCATTCTGTTTTGGTTGTCTGTCTGCAATCTTGCCAAAATCAAAGGTGATTGACTCCGCCCCTAGAATACTAGCTAGCGGCCTGGTGTCAGCACATCCTGGCAAGGCCTGACAAAGGCCAAACTTGGTCATGGGAAAAAGCTGTAAAACAAGACAGCTTGCAGTTTCAAAAGCCAATAACTTTCTTATTGTTCTTATTGTCTTTATTAAACTAACAAAGAAATTTATATGTGCATATATATATATATATATATATATATATATATTTTTTTTTTTTTTTTTTTTTTTTTTGAGACAGGATCGTGTTCCGTCACCCAGGCTGGAGTGCAGTGGTTTAATCTCAGCTTGCTGTAGCCTTCACCTTCTGGGCTCAAGCAGTCTTCCCACCTCAGCCTCCTGACTAGCTGGGACTACAGGCACACGTCATCACACCCGGCTAATTTTTGTATTTTTTATAGACACAGGGTCTTGCCATGTTGCCCGGGCTGGTCTCAAACTCCTGGGCTCAAGCAATCCACCCTCCTTGGCCTCCCGAAATGCTAGATTAGAGGCATGAGCCACCTTGCCTCGCCAAAGCAATGTTTTTAAGTGCTTGAAATCTCAGTGAGCTTCATCTGACTAAATGGACACAGTGCAGAATGAGATACAAGCTGAGACCCTCATGTCCCCAGGGTCAGGCCAAGTGTACCCTCCTGCTTATTTGCTGAGTGATCTCCAGCAAGCGGTTGACCCTCACTAGGCTAATACCTGGGGAAATGCTTAGGATTGTAGTAAGGCTCATGCTGGTGGGGAGGAATGTGAAGTACTACTTCTACAGGGAGCTTCAGGATCACAGAATTCCAGCCCTGTCAGGGACTCAAAAAGGTCATCCTGCCCAATCTTTTCCCTTGACAGATGGGGTAACTGAGGCCCAGAAAGGGAAAATGCTTTGCTCAGCACCACTGAGCTATGTAGGGGCCCATTTAGGTTTAGAATCCACATCTGATGTGCTTACATGCTCTTTCCATTACTGGAAGAATCCATGCGTCTCTGGGTGTCTTTTTTCTGAGTGAACAAAGGATTGCACTCTGTATTATCACGCTTTAAACGGTGTTCTGCAGAGCCCTAGTGGTCTCACCACCACTTCAACCAAAGCCTCTACATGTTTTCTGTTTTCTATTTCGGAGTTTTGCTGTAAAACTTGAAAGTCACTGATCTTGTTAATCTTTTAAAGCCCCTCCCAGTGTGTGTCTCTCCTGGATTCCTGGTGACATTTTTGCTTGCATTTCAATTCAGAAATGTTAGATTCTATATTTCTATTATTTATTTATTTAGTTTGAGACAGGGTCTCACTCTGTTGCCCAGGCTGGACTGCAGCGGTGCAGTCGTGGCTCGCTGCAGCCTCAGCCTCCTGGGTTTAGGTGATCCTCCCACCTCAGCCTCCTGAGTGGCTGATACTACAGGCACATACCATCACACCCTGCTAATTGTTTAATTTTTTGTAGAGATGGGGTCTCACTGTGTTGCTCAGGCTGGTCTTGAGCTCCTGGACTCAAGTGATCCTCCCACCTCCCAAAGTGCTGGGATTATGGATTTGATCCACTATGCCAACTAACTTCTATATTTCTTTTCTTTCTTTTTTTTTTTTTGAGATGGAGTCTTGCTCTGTCGCCCAGGCTGGAGCACAGTGGTGCGATCTCGGCTCACTGCAAGCTCTGCCTCCTGGATTCATGCCATTCTCCTGCCTCAGCCTCCCGAGTAGCTGGGACTACAGGTGCCCGCCACCATGCCCAGCTAATTTTTTTGTATTTTTTTAGTAGAGACAGGGTTTCACCATGTTAGCCAGGATGGTCTCGATCTCCTGACCTTGTGATCCACTCGCCTCGGCCTCCCAAAGTGCTGGGATTACGGGTGTGACCCATCGCGCCTGGCCTAATTTCTATATTTCTAAAAAGTGATGTACATAGTCATGGGCTTTTCAGCATGGAGAACTGAACTTCATTTTTCCTAGATTTTAACACCACTGACTTTTACTGTCCAAAGTTAATGGCCCTTTCATAGTCTTCATCCTCCTCCTTTTTTCTTCAGCATTTGACAGTTTTCCTCCACTTTTGTGTAAATCTCTCTTCTCCCTTGAATTCTTTGACATTGTATTTCTGCCTTTCCTCTAGCATCTCTGAACATTTTTTCTTTGTCTCTTACTGGTTCTTTCTTTTCCATCACTGAGTTGTCCTTCAGAAGAGCCCAGGCCTACAGACCTCCTTATCTCTGGTTTGGTGGTCGTTTGGAGGCTTACCTCACTCATTCTCACTCCCACCTGTGCTCAGGTCTCTCTTGGATTCCTGACTGAAATTGATTTTCTTTTTAACAAATCAGTTTCTCTGTTACTTTTTCTCAGCTCACTAATTTCCATTCATTGTTCCATAATTCTTTTATCTCCCCAACTGAAAACTTTGGCAAAATCTAACTCTTCTCTGACCTTGTTCTACTTTTTTTCTTTCTTTCTTTTTTTTTTTTTTTCGAGACAGCATCTCCCTCTGTTGCCCAGGCTGGAGTGCAGTGGCGCGATCTTGGCTCACTCCAACCTCCTCCTCCCAGTTTTAAGTGATTCTCATGCCTCAGCCTCCCAAGTAGCTGGAATTACCACCACGCCTGGCTAATTTTTGTTTGGTTAATAGTGACGGGGTTCTACCATATTGGCCAGGCTGGTCTCGAACTCCTGGCCTCAAATAATTCTCCCATCTCGGCCTCCCACAGTGCTAGGATTATAGGCATGAGCCACTGTGCCCTGGCCAACCTTGTGCTATTTTTACCAACTTTATATCCCAGAGCTCCCCCTCCTTTTTTTTTATTTTTTTCACATTTCGTAATTTCAGGAGCCTGACAGACCCTTGTTACCTTTCAGCGAGGTTTCTGCAAACTATTTTGTTTCTCCAGTATGTTCACATTTTAGTTGATTGGACCTGCTGAGTCTTTAAAAAATCGCATCTTAGCCTGGGCAACATAGTAAGACCTGTTTCTACCAAAAAACAAAAATTAGCCAGGCATAGTGGTATATGTCTGTAGTCCTTAGCTCTTTGGGAGGCTGAGGCGGGAGGATTGCTTGACCATTGGAATTCAAGGTTACAGTGAGCTAAGATGGTGCCACTGCACTCCAGCCGAGTGACAAAGCAAGACCCTGTCTCCAAAAAAACAATTTTTTTTTTTTTTTGGAGACAGAGTCTCGCTCTGTCGCCCGGGCTGGAGTGCAGTGGCACAATCTCACCTCACTGCAACCTCTGCCTCCCAGGTTCAAGCGCGTCTCCTGCTTCTGCCTCCCGAGTAGCTGGGATTACAGGCACGTGCTATCATGCCCGGCTAATTTTTGTATTTTTGGTAGACACTAGGTTTCACCACGTTGGCCAGGCTGGTCTCAAACTCCTGACCTCAGGTGATCTGCCCGCCTTGGCCTCCTAAAGTGCTGGGATTACAGGCGTGAGCCACCGTGCCCGGCCCCTAAAACATTTAAAAATAAAAAATAAAAGTTCCATCTAGTTTACTGAAATTTTGGAAGAAGGCAGGACGAAATCAAATTAATGGAGTCTTCCTTTACCCCATCCTCACTGATCTCTATTGAAGATTGTTGCTAATTGGCTGGGCATGGTGGCTCATGCCTGTAATTCTAGCACTTTGGGAGGCTGACGTGGGTGGATCGCTTGAGCTCAGGAGTTAGAGACCAGCCTGGGCAACAAAGTGCAACCCTGACACTACAAAACGTACAAAAATTAGCCAGGCGTGGTTGCGTGTGCCTGTGGTCCCAGCTACTTGGAAGGGTGAGGTAAGAGAATGGCTTGAGCCTGGAAGACAGAGGTTGCAGGTAGCCGAGATTGTGCCACTGCACTCTAGCCTGGGTGACAGAGCCAAACTCTGTCTCAAAAAAAAAAAAGATTGTTGCTAATAATAATGAAGGCTTTCAGTTCATCTCCTCACCTCAGATTATCTCCATCTCTCCTCAGTGATGAGGTCACATGTTAGACTCTCATCACTTAAAACTGATCATATCTGAGATCCTAAACAAGATTCCCAGGTGATAGATTTTGAGGCTTGCTGTTCTAACAAGCAAGAAATAGCCCTTGCCTCTGAAACTGTTTGCCAAGTAATAGCTGGAACTTCATTTCTCTTTTCTCTACTCATTCCACATCCTCTATGCCCTTAGCGTTATAACTACTGAGATAGTGAGGGCTCTTGTCCTGGTGTGATGACTCAGAGCTTCATTTCTAAGGTGTCTGAGTCGTTGGTATGTATAGGATTGCTTTAGCCTTCTCTTACCTCAAGGAGGTGCCACAGGCTGGGTAAAGAGGAAAAAACTTGCTCAGGGTCCTACAATCAGTAGATGGGGCCTGGCACAGACATTATGGTATATGAGTTGAGTATCCCTTATCCAAAATGCCTTGAACAGCCTGGAAGCAGTGGCTTACACCTGTAATCCCAGCGCTTTGGGAGGCTGAGGTCGGCGGATCACCTGAGGTCAGGAGTTCGAGACCAGCCTGGCCAACATGGTGAAACCTTGTCTCTACTAAAAATACAAAACTTAGCTGGGCATGGTGGCACCTATAGTCCCAGCTACTTGGGAGATGGAGGCAGGAGAATCGCTTGAGCCCAGGAGGCGGAGGTTGCAGTGAGCCGCGATTGAGCCACTGCACTCCAGCCTGGGCGACAGAGTGAGACTCTGTCTCAAAACCTCCCCCCCAAAAAAACAAAAAAACCAAAATGCCTTGAACCAGATGTGTTTCAGATTTTGGATTTTTTCTGATTTTGCAATATGCATTATACTTACTAGCGTTTAAGCATCCCAAATCTGAAAATGTGAAATCTGAAATGCTCCAAAACCCCAATCTTTTTGAGCACAGACTTGATGTTCAAGGGAGATGCCCACTGGAGTTTGTTTATGTATGTATGTGTCCATGTATCCATCCACCCATCCATCCATCTATCTATCCATCTGTCTATCCATCTGTCCTTTGTCACTTCTTCCAGGCATCCATTGGAGCATTTTGGATTTCAGATTTTTTAATTTGGGATGCTCAACCTGTAATGGGAAAAGCAAAGGTTTTAAAATCCTTTCCCTGGCTGGGCGCAGTGGCTCACGCCTGTAATCCCAGCACTTTGGGAGGCTGAGGCAGGTAGATCACGAGGTCAGGAGATCGAGACCATCCTGGTTAACAGTGAAACCCCGTCTCTACTAAAAATACAAAAAAATTAGCCGGGCGTTGTGGCAGGTGCCTGTAGTCCCAGCTACTCGGGAGGCTGAGGCAGGAGAATGGCGTGAACTTGGGAGGCGGAGTTTGCAGTGAGCCGAGATCGTGCCACTGCACTCCACCCTGGGCGACACAGCGAGACTCCATCTCAAAAAAAAAAAAATCCTTTCCCTATTATTCACTTATTTAGAGGCAGGGTCTTGCTGTGTTGCCCAGGCTGGACTCAAACTCTTGGGCTGAAGCAATCCTCCTGCATTAGCCTTTCAAGTAGCTGACACTATAGTTGCATGCTACCGCTCCTGGCTCTTTATTACTTAGATGTGGGGATTTTAGAAGTTACTTAACTTCTCTGAGCCTAAATTTCTCATCTATAAAGAAATAGGCCGGGCACGGTGGCTCATGCCTGTAATCCCAGCACTTTGGGAGGCTGAGGAGGGCAGATCACGAGGTCAGGAGATCGAGACCATCCTGGCTAACACGGTGAAACTCCGTCTCTACTAAAAATACAAAAAATTAGCCGGGCGTGGTGGCGGGCGCCTGTAGTCCCAGCTACTCAGGAGGCTGAGGCAGGAGAATGGCGTGAACCCAGGAGGCGGAGCTTGCAGTGAGCTGAGATGTGCCACTGCACTCCAGCCTGGGCGACAGAGCGAGACTCCGTCTCAAAAAAAAAAAAGAAAAGAAAAGAAAAAAGAAAGAAAGAAAGGCTGGGTGCGGTGGCTCATGCTGGTAATCCCACCACTTTGGGAGGCCAAAGCAGGCGGATTACCTGAGGTCAAGAGTTCGAGACCAGCCTGGCCAACATGGTGAAACCCCGTCTCTACTAAAAATATAAAAATTAGCCGGTCCTGGTGGCAGATGCCTGTAATCCCAGCTACTCGGGAGGCTGAGGCAGGAGAATCGCTTGAACCCAAGAGGCGGAGGTTGCAGTGAGCTGAGATCGTGCCACTGCACTCCAGCCTATGTGATGAGTAAAACTCTGTCTCAGAGAAAAAAATAAAGATATCTAGGCTGGGCGGGGTGGCTCACACTTGTAATCCCAGCACTTTGGGAGACTGAAGCTGGCAGATTACTTGAGGGCAGGAGTTTGAGACCAGCCTTGCTAACAGGGAAGCCCTGTCTTTACTGAAAAATACAAAAATTAGCTGGGCATGGAGGCATGCGCCTATAGTCCCAGCTACTTGGGAGGCTGAGGCAGGAGAATCACTTGAACCTGGGAGGCGGAAGTTGCAGTGAGCCAAGATCGCCCCACTGTGCTCCAGCCTGGGCAACAGAGCAAGACTCTTGTCTCAGGAAAAAAAAAAAAAAAAGAAAGAAAGATATCTACCAGAGAGGATTGTTATGAGGATTAAACATAAGGTGCCGAGATTATAATTCCTGACAGAGTAGGTAGCCACCTTTTCTCCTTTCCCTTTCTAGCCATTTGGTATCAGATTCATTTCCTTAATTTGAAGATGGCTAGTTTTTCCTTATCAATCCTCCCTCCTACTCATATGACTAGGAAACAGGCAAAAATTATTGACTGCAATTTATAAAATCCCTACTTGCCTTTTGAAAATATTAATAGCTTTTAGTACCTGTATGGGATCTGGCAGCCATACCATTTGTACAGATGCCGGAACTGCAGGCCTTGGATCCCCAGGAGGGAGCCCGTCTGTGCAGCTGAGGGATCTGGAGATGGAGTTTTCCACCAGAATCTTAGTTTTCTTGTATATGTTATAAAACTGCTCATTGGCAAGGGCTTGAGACATTGAAAGCGGAGCAAAAATGGAGTCTCCAGAAGAATGCATTAGATCCCCTAATAGTGGAAGGTGAATGTCTACTGCCAAGTTGCCAAATCCTGAGTCACCCTGGAGCAGCTTACTGTCCTGCACAACATTGTCGCCTGAGCCTGCATTGGGCCTAGCTGATAGGGACAGCCTTCTCATTTAATTTGTGTCTTTGTTTAAGTGTTTGTTGGTGTAAAAATTGCATTTTTCTTCATCTTTAAAAAAATACTTAGGGATGGGTATGGTGGCTCACACCTGTAATCCCGCACTTTGGGAAGCCAAGGCAGGGGGATTGCTTGAGTCTAGGAGTTCAAGAGTAGTCTGGACAACATAGTGAAACTCCTGTCTCTAAAAAAAATGTTTTTTAAGTTAGCAAGGCATGGTGGCACATGCCCATTGTCTCAGCTGTGTGAGAGGCTGGGGTGGGAGGATTGCTTGAGGCTGGGAGGTTGAGAGCCATGATTGTGCCACTGCACTCCAGCCTAGGTGAAAGAGTAAGACCCCATCTCAAAAAAAAAAAAAAAAAAAAGGAACACTAGGTGAATGCCAGTCACTTTGGACTTGAGGGCACCTTAGGCCTCTCTCTGACCCTTTGACAGGCCCACCCATGTGGAGTCATATTTGAATAATTCCCATCTTGAAGTGCATTGCTTTCCAGTGAGTGAATTAAAGTAGGGATAAAGTGGGTGAGTTGAAAAAACAATTTCAGGAAATCACCATTTAAGTGGGAAAAAGAAAAACAAGTGGAAATAGGCTAAAATGGTTTTCTTTAGGTGGAAGGACAATGAGTAAATTATCTGTTCATTATTCTGTGATTTCTGTATTTTCTTTTTTTTCTTTTTTTTTTTTTTTTTTAGACGGAGTCTCATTCTGTCACCCAGGCTGGAGTGCAGTGGTGCGATCTCAGCTCACTGCAACTTCTGCCTCCCAGGCTCAAGCGATTCTCCTGCCTCAGCCTCCCGAGTAGCTGAGATTACAGAGCTTGCCACCACACCCAGCTAATTTTTGTATTGTTAGTAGAGACAGGGTTTCACCATGTTGTCCAGACTGGTCTCGAACCTCAGGTGATCCACCCACCTTGGCCTCCCAGCGTGCTGGGATTACAGGCGTGAGCCACCATTCCCGGCCAATTTCCATATTTTCTTCTTTTCTGTTTTTTGAGACAGGGTCTCACTCTGTCGCCCAGGCTGGAGTGCGGTGGCGCAATCTCAGCTTACTGCAACCTCCACCTCCAAGGATCAAGCAATTCTCCTGCCTCAGCCTCCTGAGTAGCTGGGATTACAGGCGTGCACCACCACACCTGTCTAATTTTTTTTATTTTTAGTAGAGATGGGGTTTCTCCATGTTGGCCAGGCTGGTCTTGAACACCTGACCTCAAATGATCCACCTGCCTCGGCCTCCCAAAGTGCTGGGATTACAGGCGTGAGCCACTGCGCCCGGCCGATTTTCATATTTTCTAAAGTGAGCACATATTGCTTTTATAAAAGGGAAAAAGCTGGTTTTGTTTTGTTTTGTTTTTAAATTTTTGAGACAGAGTCTTGTTCTGTTGCCCAGGCTGGAGTACAGTTGACAGATCTTGGCTCACTGCAACCTCCGCCTCCTGGGTTCAAATGATTCTCGTGCCTCAGCCTGCTGGAGTAGCTGGAATTACAGGCGTGTGCCACCACACCCAGCTAATCTTTGTACTTTTAGTAGAAATGGGGTTTCACCATGTTGACCAGGCTGGTCTCGAACTCCTGACCTCAGGTGATCCATCCATCTCCGCCTCCCAAAGTGCTGGGATTACAGGTGCGAGCCACCGGGCCCGGCCGGAAAACGCTTTTAAATTGCCATTTAAAATAACTGATAAATAGTAAAGTTCAAATAAAAAGTAGCCACAGTTTGTAGTGTTATTAATAAACAAACATGGAGTAGATTCCAGTTAGGCCAATATTTTAAGAGTTAAGTGGGGACTGTGAAAAAGAGAATGTAGATGCTGGCTGAAACTCACTGTTTAAGAGTCAAGCCACCTCACCCCCTTTTGAAATGTGACTGGTATAAAAACAAAAAAAGATTCAACTTCTGGGCATTAAGTAGCTCAATCAAGTATATGGGTGCCTGCGATCTGACAAAAGAACCACTGTCCTATAGGGAGGTTAAACATCATCAAATTTGTGGTCTCTAGGTGGTTCACACTTTTGGAATATTCACAGTTAGCATGTGGGGTTCATAGCCTGAGGAGTGTTCTCAATAGACATCCTCTGAGTCCCTTGAATAAATGATAAGAGGGCTTTTTTGTTAGTCTGTTCTAACATAGGCATAGCTGGGAGCAGGATTTATTTCAGTGTGTTGGCAAATAATAGCTAAAAGGTAGCCTGGAACACATACCCTCTCCATAGGTAATTAAATCAAAATCATGTCATTCTATCTCTAGAAGGTAAACAGAAAAGTGGATTAATATAGTACACTAGGCCGGGCGCAGTGGCTCACGCCTGTGATCCTAACACTTTGGGAGGCTGAGGTGTGTGGATCACTTGAAGGCAGGAGTTCAAGACCAGCCGGGCTAACATGGTGAAACCCTGTCTCTACTAAAAATACAAAAATTAGCTGGGCATGGTAGCAGGTGCCCATAGTCCCAGCTTCTCGGGAGACTGAGGCACGAGAATCGCTTGAGCCCAGGAGGCGGAGGTTCCAGTGAACCACGATTGTGCCACTGCACTCCAGCCTGGGTGACAGAGCAAGACTAGGTCTCAAAAAAAAAAAAACAAAAACACCAGACACACACACACACACACACACACACACACACACACACACTAGACTAATATCTTTTGAAGGCTTTCTTGATTTCCACCAATCAGACATAATTGCTTCTCCTTTGAATTCCTATGGCCCTTCTTTTTATTTATCAATTTGTAGATCAACATCATCTCTACTCTTTAGAGGCAGGGACCCTTTTTGTATCTTCCATAGTGCAATGGGTACTCAATAAATGGTTGTTAAATGTAAATCCCCAACTCTGAATTAACATTTTTCCTGACTTGATAGGTTTAGGGCCAAGACAAAAAGGATGATGCCTGAAGCTTTGAAGTCTAGGTGGGAATCACTTTCCTGCAATATTGAGTATTTGCAGCCTATCCCCATGGCTTCTTGCATGGTGAGATAGAAGAAGAATTTGTAGTTCATTACCCTGCCTACCTCTCTCCAACTTGTCTCCTCTCTCTGAGCTCCCCATTCTGCTCTCCCTATGTATTAGTTCTCTATTGCTATAGATCACTCTAAAACAAAATTATTATCTCTCATGGTTTCTGTGGGTCAGAAACTTGGGAGCAGGCTTGGTAGGGTGGTTCTGACTTAGAGTCTCTCATGTGGTTGCAGTCAGGTGTCCCTGGGGCTGTAGCTATCCGAACTCTTGACTGGGGCTGGAGGATTCATTTGCAAGGTAACTCACACACATGGCTAGCAGGTTGGTGCTGGCAAGTTGGTTCCTCTCCACATGGGCCTCGCCAGAGGGCTGTTTGAGTGTCCTGATGATTTGGCAGCTAGCTTCCCCTAGAACTAGTAGTTTATAGTGTCTTGAAGCACAAAGTGTAATGCGTTTTATGATGCAGCTTCAGAAGTCACATATTGTTGCTTCCTCCATATTCTATTAGTTACACGAGCCATCCCTGATTTATTTGGGTGGGCGATTATACATATGTGTGAATGAATATCAGGAGTCAGGGATCACTGGGCTCGTTGAAGGCCATCTTGGAGCTGACTACCATACCTTTCACCCACTGCTGTGATTCCCCAAATGAGGATTAGTAAGCTTAGCCTTGGTTCCCTCCTCTTTCATTCCCACTGCCATTCCTAATTCAAGTCCTCATCCTGCAGTAATAATCTTCAATTTTTGTCCCCGCTTAATCCGTCTTCCAGTCTGTTCCAAGCATAGTTTTGAGTATGTTGTTTCTTTATCCGTCTTCAGTAACTAAAACGTGTGCTCCATGAGAGCAAAGACTATTGTATTAATTGTATTAATCTGTTGCTGCATAAAAATATTACCGCAAATGTAGTAGCCTAAAACAACACATATTCATTGTCTCTCAGTTTCTGTGGTTCAGGAGTCTGGTGTGGGCTGTGTAGGTCCTCTGCAACATGGCGATCAAGGTGTCGGTCAGCTTCTTCTCTGACACTCAGCTGGGGAAGGATCTGCTTCCAGGCTCCTGTTGTTGGCAGCATTCAGTTCCTTGCAGATTGTTGAACTGAAGGTCTCAGTTTCTTGCTGTCTTTCTGCTGGAGGCTGCTCTCAGTTACTTGTTACGTGGCCCTCTCACAGCACATCAGCTTGCCTCTTCAGACCTAGCAGGGGAGAGTGTCCCTCAGCAAGACAGATGTGAAAATATTATATAATGTAATCATGCAAAGTCACTCATGTACATTCCATCACTTTTGCCGTATTCTAATGGTTAAAAGCAAGCCACAGGCCCTGCGCACACTCACTGGGGGTATTAGGCAAGGATGTGAATACCAGGAGGCAAGAATCCTATAGACCAGGTTAGTGTCTATCTGCCGTAACTATGTGTCTTTAGCACCCTGAGCAGGGCATGGCACAGAGTAAGTCTCATATTTGAATGAATGGGTGTACTGTGACTATTATGTTTCCAACTTCTGGCTTAAGCCTTTTTCTTCACTTCTTTCTTTTCTGTTTCAGAGTTACTGATTTATTCTTGAGATTCCTCTACTCTCGTTATCTGACCTCATGGATGAACTTCAGGATGTTCAGCTCACAGAGATCAAACCACTTCTAAATGATAAGGTAAAGACTTTTCTGTTTTCACTAAAATATGGACAAGCCTTTTCTTCTGATAGTATTTCATTTTCTGTATCATCTAAATAGTAACTTAAAACATATTTAGCTTGACTTTCAATGAAAGGAATACTTTAAAAATCTATTTCTTTTTTTTTTTGAGACGGTGTCTCACTCTGTTGCCAGGCTGGAGTGCGGTGGTGCAATCTCGGCTCACTGCAACCTCTGACTCCCTGGTTCAAGCAATTCTCTTGCCTCAGCCTCCCAAGTAGCTGAGATTACAGGCACGTGTCATCACGCCCAGCTAATTTTTGTATTTTTAGTAGAGACAGGGTTTCATCATGTTGGCCAGGATGGTCTCGATCTCCTGACCTCGTGATCCTCCCGCCATGGCCTCCCAAAGTACTGGGATTACAGGTGTGAGCCACTGTGCCAGGCCAAAAAATCTATTTCTTAAGCATCTTTTTGATGTTTCCCCCCTTTTATTTCTTCCTACTTTTGTTTCCATGAGCCACGTTCAATCACGTTATCTTTGAGATTTTTGTATTTTACAGATAGAGATGCTAAGGGAAAAAATAATGTGGCAATGTTAAGCAGAAAGCATGAGGGTGGGGCTGGGCGCAGTGGCTCACACCTGTAATCCCAGCACTTTGGGAGGCCAAGGCAGGTGGATCACTTGAGGTCAGGAGTTTGAGACCAGCCTGGACAACAAGGTGAAACCTTGTCTCTACTATAAATAGAAAAATTAGCTAGGTGTGGTGGCACACACCTGTAATCCCAGCTACTCGGGAGGCTGAGGCAGGAGAATTGCTAGAACCCAGGAGGTGGAGTGGAGGTTGCAGTGAGCCAAGACTGCGCCACTGCACCCCAGTCTGGGTGACTCAGTGAGACTCTGTCTCAAAAAAAAAAAAAAAGAAAAGAAAAAAGAAGTATGAGGGTGGAGTTTGACTCAGAATCCAAGTGTCTTGACTTTCAGTTTCAATAAGGAAAATTTACCATCCATGGCTGGTGATGTGCGTAGGCTGCAGTGTTCTCCCTGAAGTTTGCCAAGTCTATGATGTGGTCTTTCTGTCAATATGACATCAGGGAGGACTGGATGTCAGTAATATACCACATTTTTATGTTAGTGTCAGAGAACTACACAAGGAGCAGATGAGACCACAGTTGATGACCACTAGACACTGGTGTGATATGATTTACCAAAAGAAAGGTTTTGGCCAGGTGCAGTGGCTTATGCCTGTAATCCCAGCACTTTGGGAGGCCAAGGCTGACGGATCACTTGAGGTCAGGAGTTTGAGATCAGCCTCGCCAACATGGTGAAATTCCATCTCTACTAAAAATACAAAAATTAGCTGGGCGTGGTGGTGCAGGCCTGTAGTCCCAGCTACTCAGGAGGCTGAGGCAGGAGAATCACTTGAACCCGGAAGGCAGAGGATGCAGTGAGCCGAGATCATGCCACTGCACTCCAGCCTGGGCGACAGAGCAAAACTCTGGCTCAAAAAAAAGAAAAGAAGTTTTGTTTTCTCTCTTGTTCCTTATTGTTCGGTAAATGTGCCTGAAATTCCTTCTTTTTTTTTTTTTGAGACGGAGTCTCACTCTGTCACCCAGGCTGGAGTGCAGTGGTACAATCTCGGCTCACTGCAAGCTCCGCCTCCCGGTTTCAAGTGATTCTTCTGCCTCAGCCTCCGGAGTGGCTGGGATTACAGGCGTGCACCTGGCTAATTTTTGTATTTTTAGTAGAGACAGGGTTTCACCATGTTGGTCAGGCTGGTCTCGAACTCCTGACCTTGTGATCTACCTGCCTTGGCCTCCTAAAGTGCTGGGATTACAGGCATGAGCCACCATGCCCAGCTGCTTGAAATTCCTTCTTTTCCACTCTATTCTTTTGGTGTATTGTCATTGTCCCCTCTTGAAATACTCTTGTAGCTTTGTGTGAGTGAGGCCATGCCATCCTTTCCTGAGGGAGTGTTGACGGAGTGTGAGGATAAAGATGGATGGGCGGAGGGGCGGGGAGGGGGGGTGTGCGGGTGACACCAGGGGATGATCTGTTGCTTATTACTTTTTATCTGCCCAAGGCAAGGCCCTTCACCTGCAGCCTCTGGAGCTGCTGACTTATTTTGTGCTTACTAATTTGCTTTTGAATCCTGCCACCCCTATTTTCATCCCTGTGACCTCTCCATTCCCACTCCCACCCCTTCTTTTATCTTTCACCAGACTTCTCTCTCCCTTGGCAAGCTGCAGGCTTTTTTTTTTTTTTTTTTTGAAACGGAGTCTTGCTCTGTCACCAGGCTCGAGTGCAGTGGCGTGATCTTGGCTCACTGCAACCTCTGCCTCCCGGGTTCAAGCGATTCTCCTGCTTCAGCCTCCCAAGTAGCTGGGACTACAGGTGTGCAACACCATGCCCAGCTAATTTTTGTATTTTGACTAGAGATGGGGTTTCACCATGTTGGCCAGGATGGTCTCGATCTCTTGACCTCTTGATCCACCCGCCTCGGCCTCCAAAAGTGCTGGGATTACAGGCGTGAACTTCCACGCCCGGCCACTGCACGCTTTTTTAACCTCCATTTGGTTTCTCCTGCTGCATCCCCTCATATTTCCAGAAAACTCTCTCCTTTAAGTACCATTTGTGTATGTGTGTATGTGAAGGGCTGTGCCAAAAATGTTGTGCCTAGGAGAGGAGGAAGGAAATAAAATCTGAGCCAGGCACACACCTATAACCTGGCTCACACCTATAATCCAAGCACTTTGGGAGGCTGATGCTGGAGGATCACCTGAAGCCAGAAGTTCAAGACCAGCCTGGGCAACAAAGGGAGATCCTGTCTACCAAAAAATTAAAAAAATGATCCAGGTGTGGTGGCAGATGCCTGTAGTCCCAGCTACTTGGGAGGCTGAGCTGCGAGGATCACTTGAGCCTGGGAGGTTGAGGCTGCAGTGAGCTGTGATTGTGCCACTGCACTCCAGCCTGGGCAACAGAGTGAGACCCTGTCTCAGAAAATAAATAAATAGAGAAAGAGGCTCTCTTTCTCTCTCCCTTCCCCTGCCATATGGGGACACAGCAAGAAGGCAGCTGTCCACAAACCAGGAAGAGATTAATCATGAGAAACTGAACCCTTCTAGAACCTTAATCTTGAACTTTGCAGCCTTCAGAACTGTGAGAAAATAAATTTCTGTTGTTTTAAGCCATCAAGTCTATGTTATTTTGTTATGACAGCCCGAGTAGACTAAGACACAAAGCAGTGTCTCACTTCCTAACATCTATCTGCTCCTCTTTGATAGGCCTATGCTGTTCCTACCCACTTCCCACATTCCACCTTACTCCTTTCTCTCCCTGAGACGTAAGTGCTCCTGTGCCATCACTATTCATGAGAACTCTCTTGGCTCTCGCCAAGCAGGTAGATAGGCAAGAGGCCCTCTTTAGATCATGGCACCTCCAAACAAAGACTTCCACCCCGTTAGCCTCCCTCTCCCCCTCCCCAGTATGTGAATGCTTCTGTCTTTGCGCAGCAAGTGGATGGTTTTGTGTATATAGTAAAAGGTATAATGATAATAATGCCTCTCATCCATTACTTCATTTGAACCTCCCAATAGCTTGATGAGGAAGGAGCACAGATAAATGTATTCCCACATTGCCAGTGAGTAAACGAAGGCTAGGAAAGGTGAAGTAGCTTACTCCTATTGAGTATCAAAGAATGCCTGCTGTATGGCAGGATTTCTCACTGTCGATGTTTTGGGTTGGATAATTGTTTGTTGTGGAACACTGCTCTGTGCATTGTAGAATGTTTAGCAGCATCTTTGGCCTCTACCCACTAGATGCTAATAGCACTCCCCAGTGGTGACAACCAAAAATGTCTCCAGACATTGCCAGATGTCCCTGGGAGGCAAAATTTCCTTGGTTAAGAACCACTGGTATAGAGGAAAAGCCTTCAGATTTGCATAGAAGTAGATGGCTTGAGGGTTTTGTTGTTGTTGTTTTTGCCTGTCCTGCTATGATTTATTATCTCTTATGTGCCAAGTGCTTTACATACATTCTCTCTCTCAGAATATCCCTTTGAGATAGATAGTATTATTCCTACTTCACAGATTAAAAATCCGAATGAAAGGCTGGTTTGCCCAGTAAAGAAGTGGCAAAGCCAGACAGAAACCAAAGTCTTTCCTACTCTTAAAACCTGAGCTGTTTCCACTGTGTTAATCCTATAGATGTTTTGGCATCACCTTTGTGGCTTACCCTGTCTCTTTAAGGAGAAGCCTAAAAATGTGTAGTATTTCACCTTATCCTTCTGTCCATTATTCTCATAAATATACTGAAGACATTGCTGCATCCTCCAGGCTTCAGGAAGCTAAAGGAAGACTAGAACCAACCTTTTACCGTGAAATTTGTCCTGAGATGACTTGTAAGGAGGCATTCTCAATATAGCTTTGAGCAAGGCTTATGTTGTCTCTTGTCATTTGTTGGTACTTTTCCCATTTTATTTTAGTATGCCTGTAATTTTGTCTACGGCTCAGAATTGTCAAGAAGTGGATAATTTTGTCATACTTGTTTTGGCTCTAGTGATGAAAAGAAGCAACCACCAGTACTTTGTTTTGCGGGACAGAAATTGCATGGGCATATGAAATGATTTTTAAAATAGCATTTAACTATTTTCAGAGCACTTTCACCAATAATATCTTATTTTAATCTTCCAGTCTCTTGTAAATAGTTGAAGATATTTTAACTCTATTTTACAGATGACACTGAGAGGTTATCTGATTTGTTCAGAGCTAGTGTCTGTTAAGTTGGTGAAGCCAGGCTAGAACCTACATCTTTTGACTTTGACCTGGACCTGGGGGTCTAGGGTTCTTCCCACCATCTACTGCCTCTTGTACCTGGTTGTTCCAGGCTCCTCACCCAAAAGACCTTGTAATAAACAGGAGAGTAGACTGTTTTGCCTCATTTTCCCTGCCTTCCTCTACCTACTAGGTTCAGATACTACTGAACCCTGTGAAAGCCAAAGGTGAGGCTTGAGAAAACAAGTAGAAGGCCACACTTGGCTTCTGAAGAATTGAGGAAATAGCAGAAAGGGGAATAAATGTTTAGTAGAGAGAACAGAAAAAAGTTATATACTTTGTTTTGGTTGTTACAGTAGAAAGTGAGGTAAATCTTTTTTTTTTTTTTTTTGAGATGGAGTCTCGCTCTGTTGCCCAGGCTGGAGTGCAGTGGCATGATCTCGGCTCACTGCAACCTCTGCCTCCCAGGTTCAAGTGATTCTTCTGCCTCAGCCTCCCAAGTAGCTGGGATTATAGGTACCTGCCACCATGTTCAGCTAGTTTTTGTATTTTTAGTAGAGATGGGGTTTTGCCATGTTGGCCAGGCTGGTCTTGAACTCCTGACTTCAAGTGATCCGTCCGCCTCGGCCTCCCAAAGTGCTGGGATTACAGGCATGAGCCACCGCACCCACCTGAAAGTGAGGTAAATCTTACTGCAGTTTAAGTTTTCCTTTTCTACTAATCACAACATGTAAGCAGAGGAGGGAGGAGGGTGTTAGAACTAGAGGAGGGAGAACCCTGGGAACAACATTTTGTAACCTCCAGGACAACAGAGACAGCCAAAGCGTTTATGCCAAGGGCTTGCTCTGTTGCCCAGGCTGGAGTCCAGTGGCACAATCATGGCTTATTGCAGCCTCCTGGGCTCAAGTGATTCTCCTGCCTCAGCCTCCTGAGTAGCTCTTGCCACCATGCCTGGCTACGTTTTGTATTTTTTTAGAGACGGAGCTTTGCCATGTTGAAACTCTGGGGCTCAAGCCATCCACCCATCTCGGCCTCCCAAAGTGCTGGGATTACAGGCGTGAGCCACTGTGCCTGGCCCCAGGATCTTTTTTTTATTTGAGACAGGGTCTCTGTCATCCAGGTTAGAGTACAGTGGCATGGCCATGGCTTGCTGCAGTCTCTACCACCTGGGTTCAAGCAATTCCCACCTACTTGGGAGGCTACCTTAGCCTCCCAAGTAGTTGGGACCACAGGTGTGCCCACCATGCCTGGCCAATTTTTAAGTTATTTGTAGAGAAGAGGTCTCACTTTGTTGCCCACGCTGATCTCAAACTCCTGAGCTCAAGCAATCCTCCTGCCTCGGCCTCCCAAAGTGCTGGTATTATAGGCATGAGCTACCGCACCCAGCTCCAAGGTTGTTTAAAAAAAAAAAAAACCTAGGGGGAGAGAGAGAAAAGAAGAAACAGCTGTAATTAAAAATAGATTTATTGACATTTTCATCAAAGAATATTCATGAAGTGCTACATCTAGTGTGGACTAGAGTGGGTGTCCCTTAATGTACTAAGACATGATGGTTACATCTGTTGTCAGAAGTGCTCTAGACGGGACTGCAGCAAGAAATGGGTTCCGAAGCAGGTAGTGATGCCACCGTTACAGACCAGATGACCCTCAACCAGTTACAGGAGGCAAGAGATCCACATCTTAGCCACACCTTAGCAGAGTGCCCATGGGATTTTTAGAGTGGAAATTGTACTTTTTCAGCAATCTGCAGAGGATTATCTGATTGTAGATAGTTTTATCCAAGTATCCAACCTCTTTATAAATTTCTTTATGAAGTCTGTTTCTTAGTATATTTTGAAGGTAATGATTGCTATAGATACTTAAATATAATATATATATATATATATATATATATATATATATATATATATATATATACACACACACACACACACACACACAGATATAGGATTTTCATTCTTATCCCTGGATTATCAGTTTGAACAGATTTCTACTTGAAAACAATTTGCTGGGCCTGGCGCGGTGGCTCATGCCTGTAATCCCAGCACTTTGGGAAGCCAAGGCAGGCGGATCACCTGAGGTCGGGAGTTCGAGACCAGCCTTACCAACATGGAGAAACTCCGTCTCTACTAAAAATAAAAAATTAGCCGGGCGTGGTGGCACGTGCCTGTAGTCCCAGCTACTTGGGAGGCTGAGGCAGGAGAATGGCGTGAACCTGGGAGGTGGAGCTTACAATAAGCCGAGATTGCACCACTGCACTCCAGCCTGGGCGACAGAGCAAGACTCCGTCTCAAAAAAACAAACAAACAAAAAAAAACAAAATTAGCCAGGCATGATGGCACATGCCACAGCTACTCTGGAGGCTGAGGCAGGAGAATGGCTTGAACCCAGGAGGCGGAGGTTGCTCTGAGTCGAGATCGCGCTATTGCACTCCAGCCTGGGCAACAAGAGCGAAACTCTGTCTAAAAAAAAAAAAAAAAGAAGAAAATGATTTGCTGAAGATTTTTTTTTTTTTTTTTGAGTTGGAGTCTTGCTCTGTTGCCCAGGCTGGAGTGCAATGATGTGGTCTCGGCTCACTGCAACCTCTGCCTCCCCAGTTCAAGCAATTCTCCTGCCTCAGCCTCCCGAGTAGCTGGGATTATAGGTGCCCACCACCACGCCCTGCTAATTTTTGTATTTTTAGTAGAGATGGGGTTTCACCATCTTGGCCAGGCTGGTCTCTTGGCAGGCTGGTCTCGAACTCCTGATCTCATGATCCACCTGCCTCAGCCTCTCAGAGTGCTGGGATTACAGGCATGAGCCACCGCGCACGGCCCTGCTGATGATTTTAATACACCGATTTATTATACTAGTTGATTATATGAATCTTTATTATTAAAGAAAAACTGAGTATTTTCTGAGCATATGTAACTCTTCTTGCTTGTACAATCCCCCATCTTTGTTTCCACTTTTTGTAGGGAAGGATTATCTTTTTTGTGTATGGCTTTTTAATACAAAGTCATATTTTATTCTCTTTAACAGTTTTTTATCAGCTTATTTCTAAAAGCTTTTACTATTGCACCAACTCATTTTCTCCACTTTAGTCCCTAGCATGTCAATTACGTGTAACCTTTCCTCTTTGGTATTCGTTTCTTCCTCAAATCAAGTATCTCTATTTTGAGAGGTTCATAACCTCTACAAAATGATGTTTATTGCACTCATTAAGTGTCAGGACCAGGAATAGAATGGTGAATCAGAAATGGACCTTTCCTTTAAATTCACAGAACAGGTAAATTCACCCAAAATCTCTTTCTATTGATAGTTGGTCTAAGGTCTTATCTATCTCATCTTTCAACTATCTCATCTTTCTTTACATTATGTCTGTTGCTTCTGTCTTTTGAAACTATTGATGCCTTTTGACCAGATCTCATGTTAGGAAACTACATCTCTCTTCTCCCTAGCAATGACTTGTTTTTGAAACATTTCTGCTTTTCACACCCCCCTTTTTTTTCATAATTCACTTTAATCATTGACCCGTTCCTAGTTTCTTTTTGCTTATTCTCTAAGCTTGTAACTGTGAGGCTTGCTTGCTTTAATTTACCTTCTTGGGTTGCTTTATTTACCTTTTACATATGGCCACTAAGCTCCATCAGAAAACATTCCTCTTAGCTGGCTTCTACTTTGACTGCAACTTTCAGTAATAATTAATGGCTTTCCTTGATTTTTTTCCTCTTCAAATTATTCTGTTGTTTTAATTTTTTCCTTGAATCCCTTTCTGCTGCTTAAGTCTGCTTAGTGTAAGAATTTCTCTGAATATGGAATTAATGGCATCTTCAAAATGGACAGAAAAAAAGAAAGCACCCATAGCCTGAAATTTCTAGAAGTTTTGTTAGAGTGGAACCATATACTGTGAACATCAGAGACAAACAAACTGAGGCAGGAGGATTGCTTGAGCCCAGAGGTCAAGGCTGCACTGAGCTATGATCATGCCACTGCAACTCCAGCCTGGGTGACAAAGCAAGACTCTGTCTCAGAAGGAAAAAGAAACAGGGCAGGTGCAGTGGCTCACGCCTGTAATCTCAACACTTTGGGAGGCCAAGGTGGGCAGATTGCTTGAGCCCAGAAGTTGGAGACCACCCTGGGCAACATGGTGAAACCCTGTCCCTATTAAAACTACAAAAATGAGCCAGTTATGGTGGCGTGTGCCTGTAATCCCAGCTACTCTGGAGGCTGTGGCAGGAGAATCGATGGAACTTGGCAGGCGGAGGTTGCAGTGAATGGAGATTATGCCGCTGCACTCCAGCCTGGGCAGCAGATCAAGACTCCGTCTCAAAAAAAAAAAAAAAAAAAAAAAAAATATATATATATATATATATATATATATAGCCGGGCATGGTGGCACATGCCAGTAGTCCCAGCTACTCAAGTGGCTGAAGCAGGAGGATCGTTTGAGCCTGGGAGGTCAATGCTGCAGTGAGTTGTGATCATGCGACTGCATTCCAGGCTGGCTGACAGAGCGAGACCCTATCTCAGGAAAAAAAAAAAAAAAAAGAAAAAGAAAAAGAAACAAGTCTCTAGGGAAGGGCCCCAGAAGGTACTCAGCCTTTTAGAATGCCCCCAATGAGCAGTACTGAACTTTTAATGAGTACAGAGAATAAATAATATGGCCTCAGTTAATCACAGTTGAGTGAAGGACCAGCTAATGATCCCCATTCAGAAACTCTGGAGCCAGTTACTGTCAAATAGACCCAGTCATTCCCATTTTCCAGGGTGATTACTCATGAAGCTAGAAGCCATTCTTCAAGAGGGTCTGGGATCGCTCTCAAAAAAAAACAACAACAAAAAAAACAAAAAAACAACCAGGTGCGGTGGCTCACACCTGTAATCCCCTGTAATCCCAGCACTTTGGAGACCGAGGTGGGCAGATCACGAGGTCAGGAGATCGAGACCATCCTGGCTAACATGGTGAAACCCCGTCTCTACTAAAAATACAAAAAATTAGCCGGGCGCAGTGGCGGGTGCCTATAGTCCCAGCTGCTTGGGAGGCTGAGGCAGGAGAATGGCGTGAACCCAGGAGGCGGAGCTTGCAGTGAGCCAAGATCGTGCCACTGCAACTGCAGCCTGGGCGACAAAGCGAGACTCCGTCTCAAAAAAACAGCCAGGAAAACAAGTGCTAAATAGTCTTCACTCAGTTATTGGTACCTTTTATCTGGGAGTATAGCTAGGAACATGGGATTGAGAACACAGAGTTGTTTTTTGCTCGGTACTCAACAAATAAGACATAGCTTGAGGTTCTTGAGGGCATTGGCTTTCTGCTTTTGGCATGCCCCTTTGTGCTCATGTCAGGGACCGAGGGCTTTACAGAATGCCTCATGGTCATGGTCACATCATTGTAAGAAGGGAGAATTCATGGATACAATGACAGCTGCTTCCCAAAGAGCTCGTCAGAATTTGTGGCTCTATATTCTATGAGATTTTAATTCAATCTAGAGTGATTTTTTCTAATCTTAAAATAATCCCTAAAGGAACCTTTGGGAATTCTGTTAGATTGAAGCCCTAATATGGTCTGTTTAGGCATCATTATAAATCATTCCTTAAAAGGTTAGGTCAATCTTTACATTTTTGTATTTATTTATTTATTTATTTATTATTATTATTTTTTTTTTGAGACGGAGTCTCGCACTGTCGCCCAGGCTGGAGTGCAGTGGCGTGATCTCTGCTCACTGCAAGCTCCGCCTCCCGGGTTCACACCATTCTGCCTCAGCCTCGTGAGTAGCTGGGACTACAGGCGCCTGCCACCACGCCCGGCTATTTTTTTTTTTTTTTTTAGTAGAGATGGGGTTTCACCGTGTTACACAGGATGGTCTTGATCTCTTGACCTCGTGATCCACCCGCCCCGGACTCCCAAAGTGCTGGGATTATACGGGTGAGCCACCACGCCTGGCCCTTATTTATTTATTTTTTTGAGATGGAGTCTTGCTCTGTTGCCCAGGCTGGAGTGCAGTGGCGCCGTCTCAGCCCACTGCAACCTCTACCTCCCAGGTTCAAGTGATTCTCCTGCCTGAGCCTCCCAAGTAGATGGGACTACAGGCACGCTCCACCATGCCTGACTGACTTTTTTTTTTTTTTTTTGAGACGGAGTCTCACTCTGTAGCCCAGGCTGGAGTGCAGTGGCACGATCTCAGCTCACTGCAACCTCCGCCACCCGGGTCCCGGTTCAAGCAGTTCTCCTGCCTCAGCCTCCCGAGTAGCTGGGATTACAGGCACGTGCCACCATGCCCAGCTAATTTTTGTATTTTTAGTAGAGACAGTGTTTCACCATATTGGCCAATCCTATCTTGAACTCCTGACCTCATGATCTATCCGCCTCGGCTTCCCAAAGTGCTGGGATTACAGGCATGAGCCAACGCACCTGGCCCTTTAAATCTTATATTACAAAATACTAAATTGGGTATTTTTTTAGGGTTTTCTAGACCCTTTTTTTCTAGTTTTCTAATTTCAGAAAGGGAAATACATGCTCATTGTACATAATATGAAGAAAATTATAATCACCCATAACCTCTCTCTGCAGAAGCAGCTGCTATTGTTAATGTTTTTGTCTTTTATTTGTTTATTTATTTATGAGACAGGATCTCACTTTGCACCCAGGCTGGAGTGCAGTGGTGCGATCTCGGCTCACTGCAGCCTTGACCTCCTGGGCTCAAGTGATCCTCCCACCTCAGCCCCTCAAGTAGCTGGGACTATAAGCATGCACTACCACGCTCAGCTAATTTTTTTTTGCATTTTTTATAGAGATGGGATTTCGCCATGTTGCCTAGGCTGGTCTTGAACTCCTGAGCTCAAGTGATCTGCCTGCCTCAGCCTCCCAAAGTGATAGGATTATAGGCATGAGCCACTGTGCCCGGCCTTTTAGTCTTTTTTAATGCATATTTTAATGTAGCCAAGGTCAAACTGTAAAGACTATTTTGTATCCTACTTTCTTTTCCCTCTTACTAACCATACATATCTTAAGCTGGAATGCAGTAGAAGTTTTTTTTTTTAACCCAAAATTTTAACAGAATTTCCTCAACATTTAATTTTTTTATATTGGCTTATTTGTTTTATAAATCTGTATCAAGCACCTGATTTACACCAGGCCCTGTGCTATATTTGGAGGAAGGTACAAGTTGAATCAGGAACCAGAAACTCACTGGCTGGCCATTTATATCCTACAAAAACCATCTATCCTAATCCATGAGAGGACCCTTTCTTTTGCTTCTCATAGTCTATCTGTAAATTAAACACAATGATTTCTCTGAAGAAGTCCTCAGACATTTCTTAGGGCTAGTAGGAGCCATGGAACATTATGCTCCTTTTAATCAATAGCAACATTCCTTGGAAATGTGCTGCCCAGTCCCATCTGCACAGTATCTTAGTTGTCTTTCCATACTGTGACTGTATCAGACTTTTTGTGAATTCGGTTTCGTGTTAGGAATAATATTTTACTGTCTCTACCATTCTCTTGCCCATTCTCAGTGGCATCTGCAGTCTCTCTATGATTGGTAATCTGTTGTGACTTTACTGCCACCTTTAGAAAGTCAGGGGCTGCTCTTTCATAACGTTATTCCTTCAGAAGCTTTTGGCTTCCAGATCAGTGCTGTCCAGTAGAACTTGCTGCAGTCATGGAAATGTTCTGTGTCTGTACTGCCCAAGAGTATGAGCACTTGAGATATGGCTAATGTAACTGAGAAACTGAGATTTTATTTTATTGAATTTAAACTTAAATTGTACATATGGCTAACGGCTACCGTACTGGATAGTGCAGCTCTAGATAGTCCCTCTTATGGAGTGGATAGTTTGTTTCTTTGGGTGTTTATACCACACTGGGCTGTGATTTATTTAGTTATTTACTTATTTTTTAATTTTTTTGAGACAGTTTCACTCTTGTTGCCCAGGCTGGAGTGCAATGGCATGATCTCAGCTCACTGCAACCTCCGCCTCCCTGGTTCAAGCAATTCTCCTGCCTCAGCCTCCCAAGTAGCTGGGATTACAGGCATGCACCACCACACCTGGCTAATTTTGTATTTTTAATAGAGATGGGGTTTCTCCATGTTGGTCAGGCTGGTCTCATACTCCCAACCTCAGGTGATCCGCCCGCCTTGGCCTCCCAAAGTGCCGTGCTGGGATTACAGGCGTGAGCCACCGCGCCCGGCTTGGGCTGTGCTTTTTAACCTCTCTTTTGTCCAGCCAGCAGTGTAGTTGGTGGGATCCCAAAGAACTATTTCTTTTTTTCTTTTTCTTTTTTTTTTTTTTTTTTTGAGACGGAGTCTCGCTCTGACACCCAGGCTGACACGCAATGGCTCAATATCGGCTCACCGCAACCTCTGCCTCCTGGGTTCAAGTGATTCTCTTGCCTCAGCCTCTCAAGTAGCTGGGATTACAGGCGCCTCCATGCCCGGCTAATTTTTGTAGTTTTTTAGTAGAGATGAGGTTTCACCATGTTGGCCAGGCTGGTCTCAAACTCCTGACCTTGGGTGATCCACTTCCCTCAGCCTCCCAAAGTGCTAGGATTACAGGCATAAGTCACCGTGCCCGGCCCTGAAGAACTATTTCTAGGAGGATCATCTTGAAGGGAGATGGGACTACTCAGTATTTTTTGGGGATCAGATATCTGGAGTATCTCTGGAGGGGCAGCTTTTGGGAAGCTGTTAGGAACCTTCTAGAAGTCATTGTAGAGACAGAATAAATAGTTGTGATAAATCAGTTTCTACATAATGGGAGACTTTTTTCAGGAAGGGGGTTACACTTTGTGAAAAATCAAGTAGAAGTTTTCTTTTATTCCCAAATACATCACTTGTTACCTTTTTTTTTTTCCTTTTTTTGAAATGGAGTCTCACTCTGTTGCCCAGGCTGGAGCACAGTGGTGCGATCTCAGCTCACTGCAACCTCCGCCTTCCAGTTTCAAGCAATTCTCCTGCCTCGGCCTCCCAAGTAGCTGGGATTACAGGTGCACACCACAACACCCGGCTAATTTTTGTATTTTTAGTAGAGACGGGGTTTCACCATGTTGGCCAGGCTGCCCACAAACTCCTGACCTCAGGTGATCTGCCTGCCTCAGCCTCCCAAAATACTGGGATTACAGGTGTGAGCCACCACACTCGGCCCCTTTTTTATACTCTTATGACTTGCAATTCTGGCATCTGGAATGCTGGAAAAATGCTTCTGAGTTATTGCCATTGATTTTTTTTTCCTCAATCAGTCATTATTATAATATAATCCCTTTTTAGAAGCTTGGTGAATTCTCCATCGATTTTTTGACTGTGTTTGACTTTTTAAATGATTCAATGACTTGTCCTTTTTCCCTATCAGCGATTTCATAGGATGCAACAGATAGGCCAGTGTATTAAGAACCTTGTTTTGTCTTTCTTTCCCTCCTTCAGTAACACTGCCTTTCTTCTCTGTTAGATTTCAAGGCTTTCATTTCTGATCCATCCATATCTTTGTCCTCTTCCTGATCCTTTATTTAATTCCTGGTTCTGCACCTGTTCTCCTTCACCTTTCTCAGCTTTGGTCTCCAACTCCTTTCCTCCCAGGTACTTCCCTTGTGTGTTCAAGGTGTGCTTCCAGACTGTGGTCCATGTTTTACCCTCTTCCTGCAAATTCTCACCGCTCTCCTTAGGTAGGAAGGCAAGAAGTTACAAGCTTGCTAGAAAACTAGGCCCCTTTCCTTTATCTTCTCATAAGCCCACTAAAGCATAATCTCACCTCTGAAGATTTGGCCTTTATTAACACATGTTCATAACCCACTCTGCCTCTGAAACCTTCTGATGAGAACTATTTCAGTTTTATGGCAACCAAGAGGCTGCACATGCACTGCTGTCACTGTGAACTGAATGTGCTGCACATGTGGGGAAACCATGTGGGGAAACTGACTGTGTTTTCTGTCTTCTGTTGACAGAATGGTACAAGAAACTTCCAGGACTTTGACTGTCAGGTAAGGACTGTACAAGCAAGAAGGAGGCTCTGTACAGGATCTCTGCAGTGTTTCCTTTCCTGTGGTGGTGGTCTTGTAGAAGTGGATCTCTCATTATAGCTAATAATGAGTCCTTAATGTTCGTTTGGTCATTGGATCAAGTTCACTTAAAATGATTTGCAATTGTTGGCCACTGGCATGGGGGCTCATACCTATAATTCCAGCACTTTGAGAGGCCAAGGCAGACAGATCACTTGAGGTCAGGAGTTTGAGACCATACCGGCCAACATGGTGAAAACTCATCCTACTAAAAATACAAAAATTAGCCAAGCGTGGTGGTGCATGCTTGTAATGCCAGCTACTCAGGAGGCTGAGGCAGGAGAATCACTTGAACTCAGGAGGCAGAGGTTCAGTGAGCCGAGATCGTGCTACTGCACTCCAGCCTGGGTCATAGAGTAAGACTCCATCTCAAAAACAAACAAACAAACAAAAAAACTGATTTGCTATCGTGTTCAGAAATTGCCTGCCAGGTACCTGTTTTATGATTGTAGGTTACTGAATAGAGCTGTTTCTTTGTGATTAAGATCTCTTTTCCTCACATGATATTGGAAACCTCATTTGTCATAGGTGGCAAATGGAGGGTTGCTACCTTACCGCAGAGAAGATAGGAGAAGGGCAGATGGAGGAGAGATTTCTTGACAGTAAAATCTTTCCCTAAAAGAAATCTTTCCCTAAATTGTTATGAATACAATATGCAGATTTCTCTTGGGTTTATGTTTGGAAATGCAAAATTCAACTTGACTCATTAGTGTTTTCTAAATGAAACTGTTCTTCCTGGTCTGCTTTTGCATCACCTCTGTTGCCAGTTTGAAAATCAGTAAAATGAACCAGCAGTTCTCCATCTACCTCTTCTATCTGTTGACTGGTCCTGAAAGAAATGGGACTAAGGACCGGACACAGTGGCTCATGCCTGTAATCTCAGCACTTTGGGAGGCTGAGGTGGGCAGATCACCTGAGGTCAAGTGTTCAAGACCAGCCTGGCCAACGCAGTGAAACCCCATCTCTACTAAAAATACAAAAATTAGCTGGACGTGATGGTGCGTGCCTGTAATCCCAGCTACTCAGGAGGCTGAGGTGGGAGAATTGCTTGAACCTGGGAGGCAGAAGTTGCAGTGAGCTAACACCACCACACTTCAGCCTGGGCAACAGAGTGGGACTCTGTCTCAAAAAAATAATAATAAATAAATAAGAAAAAGAAAACATGGGAGTAAGAAATAAGTACATGGAACTGGAAACCTTATAAGCTGGGCAGCCTGACCCTCCCACTTTTGGGATAGATGCCATAGCAGTAACAGAAGTGACATGAAGTAGACCCAGAGGGTACTAGCAGTAAAGGAGGGTGCTGGCAACGTCCTTGCTTCCAGTATTCAGCCAACCTGTATACCCCCCAGCAAATAGTTATTTTCAAATATGCGTTTTATGTTAAGTACAGTGGAATCTCTAAGCATTAGCATCAGAAGAAAGAACTATTTATAAGCAAACCAGTTATAATAATTTGAGTACCTACTGTAGGGTACCTACTAAACATACAGTATCTTCAATACTTAGAGCAATATTACAAGATGGGTTTTTTTTCTTTTCTTTTCTTTTCTTTTCTTTTTTTTTTTTTTTGAGACAGAGTCTTGCTCAGTCGCCCAGGCTGGAGTGCAGTGGCGTTGATACTGGCTCACTGCAGCCTCTGCCTCCTGGATTCAAGCGATTCTCCTGCCTCAGCCTCCAAGTAGCTGGGATTACAGGAGCCCGCCACCACACCTGGCTAATTTTTTTTAATTTTTAGTAGAGACGGGGTTTCACCATGTTGGTCAGGATGGTCTCGAACCCCTGACCTCAAATGATTCACCCACCTCAGCCTCCCAAAGTGCTGGGATTACAGGCATGAGCCACCACACCTGGCCAAGATGGTTTTTCTTGTTTCTGTTTTATAGTCAGGAAATTAAGAATTAAGTTTTATAACTTGCCATTGAGTGGTTGGGATTGAAAAACCCCATTCTTCCTGAATCCGTTGCCCATTTTTTCCCACCTGGACATGTCCAGAGGGGAAATGAAATGTAAGGAATTAATTGTCCTTAAAGCTGAGGTTCCTTGGAAGAACAGATGAGACTCACCTTGGAAGGGTCAGGCTCATAGTACAGTTACAGATTTCTGAATCTCAGTTCCAAACTCGTTTGTAATAACTATTTGGTACTTTGTATATAGAACATTATCAGCCTAGTGCTGATACAGTCATTCACTGTAGGCAATGGCTCCTTTCCTCTAAAACAATAAGTTACGTTATTTTTTAATAAATAGTGACAGTCAAGTTTGGGTTGGATTGTTTTTAATTTGATCTAACTTCAGTTATGGTTTGGATCCTAGGTTGAACCAGTAGAGCTTGATTACTGTTAATATTTGATATAATTTACCAAGAAGGAAAACATTAGAGAGAGGGTGACAGTAAAATTCAAGGTGAGGAACTCCAGAAATAGTATATGTATACATGTATACTCCTGCCCCAAAGTGTAGAAGTATTAATTTTCATCAAATTCAGCACCTCCTCCGAAGTAAGAAAATTAGAATATAGTGGGGTGCGGTGGCTAACGCCTGTAATCCCAGCACTTTGGGAGGCTGAGGTCAGGAGTTCACGAGGTCAGGAGTTCAAGACCAGCCTGGCCAACATAGTGAAACCCCATCTCTACTAAAAATACAAAAATTAGCCAGGCATGGTGGTTTGCGTCTGTAATCCGAGCTACTCAGGAGGCTGAGGCAGGAGAATTGCTTGAATCCAGAAGGCGGAGGCTGCAGTGAGCTGAGATCCTGCCACTGCACTCCAGCCTGGGCAACAGAGTGAGACTCCATCTCAAAGAAAAAAAGGAAAAAAAGAGAAAAAATTAGAATATAAAAGATTACATACTTGTTGCAAAATAAATGAGAAAACACCAAAAAGTAAATAAATAAAAATCACCTGCTATTTCACTAGTGTTAATATTTTGGCATATGTCATTTGAGATTTTTTTTCCATACATATATATAATTGTAGATATGAAATTGAGTTTTAGAAATATAATTATGAGTCACTTTTTAATATTAAGGCTTAAAAATAGTCTGGCAAAAATTCTTGATACTTTGGGTAAAGCTTTAAAATAGTAACATGTTCCGGCCTTGTGAAATAGAACTTTTAGTTCTGTTCTGATACAAACAGAAAGGCTGGGTGCTATGGCTCATGCCTGTAATCCCAGAGCTTTGGGAGGCTAATGCAGGAGAATTGTGTGAGCCCAGGAGTTTGAGAACAGCCTGAGCAACATAGGGAGACCCCCTTCTCTACAAAAAATTAAAAAATAAAAAATTAGCTGGGCACGATGGCATGCGCCTGTAGTCCCAGCACTTTGGGAGGCTGAGGCAAGCGGATTGCTTGAGCCCAGGAGTTTGAGACCAGCCTAGGCAACATAGTGAGACCCCAGTCTTTCTCTCTATATATTACACACACACACACATATAGATAGATAGATAGATAGATAGATAGATAGATAGATAGGATATTACATATATATATATTTAGAGACGAGGGTCTCACTATGTTGAGTATATATGTATATATATATGTGTGTGTGGGTATATATATCCACACACATACATGTAAACTATATAGATATATTACAGATAACTATAGCATCTGTCCCAACACTCTCTAATATACATGTATATGATATACATATATACACGTGTAGTATACATATATGTATATTAGAGACAGCATTGAGACAGATGCTGTAATTTATATGTGTATATGATATATTGCTTTAGATAAATAACACTTATTTTGTGTATAATCAGAAACAAATTTAGAAAACTTAGAAAAGCATAAAAATAAAGATTGCTTATAATTCTGCGGGTAGATCACCTGAGATCAGGAGTTCGAGACCAGCCTGGCCAACATGGTGAAACCCTGTCTCTACTAAAAATACAAAAATTAGGCCAGGTCTGGTGGCTCACAACTGTAATCCCAGCACTTTGGGAGGCTGAGGTGGGCAGATGACCTGAGGTCGGGAGTTCAAGACCAGCCTGACCAGCATGGAGAAACCCCGTCTCTATTGAAAATACAAAACTAGCCAGGCATGTGCATGCCTGTAATCCCGGCTACTTGAGAGGCTGAGGCAGGATGATTGCTTGAACCTGAGAGGTGGAGGTTGAGGTGAGCCGAGATCGCACCATTGCACTCCAGCCTGGTCAACAAGAGCGAAACTCCATCTCAAAAAAAAAAAAAAATTAGCTGGGCATGGTGGCAGGTGCCTGTAATCCCAGCTGTTTGGGAGGCTGAGACAGGAGAATGGCTTGAACCCGGGAGGCAGAGTGTGCAGTGAGCTGAGATTGAGCCTTTGCACTGCAGCCTGGGTGACAGGAGTGAAACTCTGTCTCAAAAACAAACAAACAAAAATCTTGTATAACAAAAACTATACCCAGGCCTCATACAGTAGCCTGCTTATTGGAAACAATAACAGTTCATACTAATAAAAATATTGGGGCCGGGCGCGGTCGCTCACGCCTGTAATCCCAGCACTTTGGGAGGCCGAGGTGGGCGGATCATGAGGTCAGGAGATCGAGACCATCCTGGCTAACACGGTGAAACCCCATCTCTACTAAAAATACAAAAAAATTAGCCGGCATAGTGGCGGGCACCTGTGGTCCCTGCTACTTGGGAGGCTGAGGCAGGAGAATGGCGTGAACCCAGGAGGCGGAGCTTGCAGTGAACCAAGATCACGCCACTGCACTCCAGCCTGGGCCACAGAGCAAGACTCCGTCTCAAAAAAAAAAGTTGACATTTCCCAGAGTATGTTGTCATGCAAATATAACTAAACTAGTTCAGACTAGCCAGAAAGAGGAAGAAATAGTAACAGGCATGAAATGATCATGATTTAGTGATTTAGCATGATTTAGTTAAGTTTAGAAATATGGGACAAGTCAGATCGTGTCATTCCAGTGACAACACATTTATTGAAGTCAGAGGGCTCAAGAAAAAAGTGAAAGTTGGTTATTAAATAATGGTAATATCTTAAACTCTTACATTCTTAAAAGGCTTTTTTTTTTTTTTTTTTAAAGATGCAGGGTCTCAGCTGGGCACAGTGGCTCACGCCTGTAATCCCAGCACTTTAGGAGGCCGAGGCAGGTGGATCACCTGAGGTCAGGAGTTCGAAACCAGCCTGGCCAACATGGAGTAACCCTGTCTCTATTAAAAAATACAAAATTAGCCAGGCATGGTGGCGCATGCCTGTAATCCCAGCTCCTCAGTAGGCTGAGGCAGGAAAATTGCTTGAACCCAGGAGGCGGAGGTTGTGGTGGGCTGAGATCGCACCATTGCACTCCAGCCTGGGCAAAAAGAGCAAAACGCCATCTCAAAAAAAAAAAAAAAAAAAAGATACAGGGTCTTACTTTGTCACCCAGGCTGGGGTGCAGTGACGTGATTATAGCTCACAGTAACCTCGAACTCCTGGGCTGAAGCAATCTTCCCGCTTCAGCCTCCTGAGTAGCTGGGACTACAGGCACATGCCACCGTGCCTGGCTAATTAGAAAATATATATATTTTTTGTAGAGATGGGGTCTTGCTCTGTTGCTCAGACTGGTCTTGAACTCCTGGCCTCAAGTGATACTCTCACCTTGGCTTCCCAGAATGCTAGGATTACAGACCTGAGCCATCCTGCCTGACCTTAAAAAGACCTTGTGTTTAAGACTACAGCTTTCATTAGGTGGGAGAGACAGTCCAGAATAGAGAAGTATGTCAAGGACCTTTATGATTTCATGTTGTTTTATAAACATGGAGAATAAAGGGATTATGTTCAAGAAGTGCATAGCCTTGGAGGTAATAAATAATCAGTAAGTACTGGGAGAGCCGGGGAATGGTGGCTCATGCCTATATTCCCAGCACTTTGGGAGGCTGTGGCAGGAAGATCACTTGAGCCCAGGAGTTTGAGATCAGCTTGGGCAATATAGGGAGACCCCATCTCTGCAAAAAATTTAAAAATTAGCTGGGTATGATGGCAAGCATGTGTGCTCCAAGCTACTTGGGGGGCTGAGGTAGGAGGATCATTTGAGCCCAGGAGTTCAAGATTACAGTGAGCTATGATCACACCACTGGACTCCAGCCTAGGAGACAATGACGAGACCCTGTCTCAAAAAAAAAGAAGAAAGAAAAGGAAAAGCAAAGAAACTGCTGGGAGAGATGGGAGAGATCTATGACCAGAGCCTATCAGATGCTCCCTTAGACTGTGCTCTTTGAGCACAGGCTCATTGTGTAGTCACACTCTAGAATGCTGGGGTGGGAGATGAGATAACTGGATAGAGAGCCTGTAAAACAGATGATAATTGACTAAGACAAAAAGGTAGCAACAGCACGTTACTCCCTGCAGTGGCCTGACAACTGAATCAGCTCCTTAGCCAGGGTCTCTGCACATTCATCTTCAGATGGAGTTTTTTTCAAGCTGTTCATTCACAAGGTCACGAAAAATATGCATGCCAATCACCATGGAGGTGAGTGCTTCCTTTCTTTTTGTTTTTTATTCTGCTAAGCATATTTACATTCACATACTTTGAAAATGAAGAACTTTGAGACATTGACAACTAGGGGCTGCTCCAAATAGGGCAATGATCAGGGCCTAGGACTCTTGGATACTTTTGTTGTTACATGACTTGAGGGCATATTATGGCATGGTAGGGGCTGAGATATCCCTAAAAAGTTGAAATTTTGTAAGGAGCCAATTTTACTTTTGAATATCATCCAGATTATGAAATGGCAACAAAGTAGTAACTTTGCCCTATTCCTTCATCTACTTTTTTTTTTTTTTTTTTTTTGAGACTGATTGTCACTCTGTCACCCAGGCTGGAGTGCAGCGGTGTGATCTTGGCTCACTGAAACCTCCGCCTCCTGGGTTCAAGCAATTCTCCTCCCTCCTGAGTAGCTGGGATTACAGGCGCTTGCCTCCGCGCCTGGCTAATTTTTGTATTTTTAGTAGAGACGGGTTTCACCATGTTGGTCAGGCTGGTCTTGAATTCCTGACCTCGTGATCCGCCTGCCTCAGCCTCCTAAAGTGCTGGGATTTTACAAATGTGAGCCACCGTGCCCGGCCTCCCTCATCTACTTTTAAAGTATTGTCTTTTACCCCCACCTGTTATATCTCCCTTTTTACCATCCTTCTCCTGACCTTCCCTGGCAGCTCACTGTCTCATCCCCATCCACCTCCTGTGTGTACCCACACACACACACACACACACCCTACCACCACCACCACCACCACCAGTTACCATCAGTTACCGGGCCTTGGCAAGGTCCTGCTATGCGTAGAGCCAGAGTATAAACTGGTGTTTCCCTCAGTTCTCAGCAGTGGCCAAACTGGAATCTTTAAGCAGGACCCTACTGAAGGTTTGAGTTTGACAGAAGACAGGTTCCAGCAACCAGATTGTCAAGGTGACAAGTTGTCGGACGCTCTCTTTAACTTGGATTTGCCTGTAGTGTCACTCCATATGGCAGACACTTTCTCCTTCTCTCCCTTTTTCTTGCTGCCTCCCCCCGCTTTATTCTTTATATCTCTCAAGAAACAAAACATGAGAGATATTGAAACCTCCTTTAGTTCTCTTTAATAATTTATCCATTCCCAGAAGGAAACAAAGTTCTAAAGTTAGTGTACCTTGTTTCTCCTCCAAGTTTTTATACTTTAGTTATAGGCTGGCTGTGCTGGCTCATGCCTGTAGTAGCGCTTTGGGTGGCTGATTTGGGACAATCACTTGAGGCCAGGAATTCAAGACCAGCCTGGGCAAATATGGAGACCCCGTCTCTCCAAGAAATCTAAAAAATAAAAATTAGCCAGGTGTAGCAGTATGCGCCTGTAGTCCTAGCTACTTGGGAGGCTGAGGTGAGAGGATTGCTTGAGCCCAGGAGTTCTATGCTGCAGTGAGCTATGATCACATCACTGCACTCTAGCCTGGGCACTAGAATGAGATCCTGTCTCTAAATATATATGTGTACGTATATGTATGTATACATATATATAAATAAACAGAATCTATAGTGTTGCTTTTTAAAATATTGGCATAAGTGGTATATTTTTAATATATATCCTTTTGCATCTTGCTCTTTTACATTTTTTTGAAGATTTTCTGTGTGTATTAATGCTAATAATTCTAGTTCATTTTTATCTGTATGTCATTATATGAATAAATCGTAATTCATTTATTAATTTCCCCATTGATGAATATTTGGGCTGTTTCCAGTTTTTTTGACATTATAGAGAAGGTTGTGATGTTTACACCCTTGACCAACACAGGTTTGAACTGTATAGGTTCACTTATACATGGCTTTTTTTTCAATACATAAATTGGATTTTTTTTTTTTTAAGAAAGGGTCTTGCTCTGTCACCCAGGCTGGAGTGCAGTGGCAAGAACATGGCTTACTGTAGCTCAAGTGATTTTCCTACCTCAGCCTCCAAGTAACTGGGACCACAGGCATGCACCACCAGGCCTGGCTATTTTTTAAAAATTTTTTGTAGAGACAGGGTCTCACCATGTTGCCCAGGCTGGTCTCAAACTCCTGGGCTCGAGCAGTCCTCCTACCCCAGCCTCCCAAAGTGCTGGGATTACAGGCATGAGCCACCACACACAGTCAGAAAGCTTCCGGAGATTTGTAGCAATATGAAAAAACCCACAGCGGGGCAGGATGGCTCATGCCTATAATCCCAGCACTTTGGGAGGCCAAGGCAGCCAGGTCACCTGAGTTCAGGAGTTTGAGACCAGCCTGGCCAACATGTTGAAATGGTATCTCTACTAAAAATACAAAAAATCAGCCAGGTGTGGTGGCGTGTGCCTGTAGTCCCAGCTACTCAGGAGGCCAAGGCAGGAAAATCACTTGAACCCAGGAAGTGGAAGTTGCAGTGAGCTGAGATCGGGCCACTGCATTCCAGCCTGGGTGACAGAGCAAGACTCTGTCTCAAAAAAAAAAAAAAAAAAAAGAAAAAAGAAAAAAACTCGCAAATTATGTAACCTAGAACTATTGGAAACATTCGGAAAAAGGTATGTCATGATTGTATAAACTATATGTAGACATTAGTCTATTTTATCATTTACTAACATAAAATATACACAAATCTATTACAAAAAGTTAAAATTTATGCACACACTTATAGATCATACATGGCACCATTCATGGTTGAGAGAAATGTAAACAAATGTAAAGATGCAGTATTAAATCTTTTTTTTTTTTTTTTGAGACAGAGTTTTGCTTTTGTTGCCCAGGCTGGAGTGCGATGGCACGGTCTTGGCCCACTGCAACCTCCGCCTCCCGGGTGCAAGCGATTCTTCTGCCTCAACCTCCCAAGTAGCTGGGATTATAGGCACCCGCCACCACGCCTGGCTAATTTTTGTATTTTTTAGTAGAGATGGGGTTTCGCCATACTGGCCAGGCTGGTCTCAAACTCCTGACCTCAGGTGATCCACCAGCCTCAGCCTCCCAAAGTGCTGGGATTACAGGTGTGAGCCACTGCGCCCGGCCCTGAACAGATTTTAATGCAGACAAAAGTGCCCTATTCTTGGGGGGGAAAAAACCTGCCACAAAGGACATATTAGTAAGGAAGAGAAATGAGCACCAGAATTTAAGGCATGAAGGGATGGGCTAACTCTGTTTTGTGTAAATGCGGCCAGGTTTATGATCAGGACTGCCCTATCTTTAAACTTGCAAACCCCTAAGCTTTGAAGGGAAACAAAAAACACCAGCTGCCAGTGTTTTGATTGTACAGCAAGAAGGCCTAGATAATGAGAACACTTTTTCTGGATTGGTTCCATCTACGCTTTGTCTCTGAAGTCACAAAATACCTTGCCAGTGAGAGGCTGCCTTTCAAAGTTCTTTTGATATGGACAATGCCCCTGGCCACCCAGAACCCCAGAACTTCAGTATTGAGTTAAATACTGAAGGTGTCTAAGTGTTCTACTTGCCCTCAAACACAGTATTTCTGATTCTGCCTCTAGATCAGGGGGTCATAAGGACCTTTAAGTTTCATTATACATGGTACTTTATGGAACAGATTGTCAATGCTGTGGAAGAGAATCCCAATAGATGGAACATCATAAAAGTCCGGAAGGATTACATCATTGAAGATGCCATTGTTGTTATAGAAAAGGCCAGAGGCGGCCGGGCGTGGTGGCTCACGCCTGTAATCCCAGCACTTTGGAAGGCCGAGGTGGGCGGATCACGAGGTCAGGGGATCGAGACCATCCTGGCCAACATGGTGAAACCCCATCTCTACTAAAATACAAAAAATTAGCTAGGCATGGTGGCGCGCGTCTGTAGTCCAGCTACTTGGGAGGCTGAGGCAGGGGAATCACTTGAACCCGGGAGGTGGGGATTTCAGTGAGCCAAGATTGTGCCACTGCACTCCAGCCTGGTGACAGAACAAGACTCCGTCTCAAAAAAAGAAAAAAAAGAAAGAAAAAGCCAGAGGCCACACGCGGTGGCTCACACTTGCAATCCCAGCACTTTGGGAGGCCAAGGCAAGCAGATTGCTTGAGCTTAGAAGTTCAAGGCTAGCCAGGCACAGTGACTCACGCCTGTAATCCCAGCACTTTGGGAGGCCAAGGTGGGTGGATCACCTGAGGTTAGAGTTTGAGACCAGCCCAACCAACATGGTGAAACCCCATCTCTATTAAAAATACAAAATTAGCCAGGTGTGGGGATGCACACCTGTAATCCCAGCTACTTGGGAGGCTGAGGCAGGAGAATCACTTGAACTGGGGAGGCAGAGGTTGCAGTGAGCCGAGATCACACCATTGCATTCCAGCCTGGGCAACAAGAGTGAAACTCCATCTCAAAAAAAAACAAAGTTGAAGGCCAGCCTGGGCTATCGGGGGAATCCCCCAATATTTCAGTGTAGGTTCTTTTCTATTTTCCCTAAGTGTTGGCTGGTCTGAGAAATAAAGGGAAAGAGTACAAAAGAGATAAATTTTAAAGCTGGGTGTCCGGGGGGAGACATCACATGTCGGCAGGTTCCATGATGCCCCCTGAGCCGTAAAACCAGCAAGTTTTTATTAGCGATTTTCAAAGGGGAGGGAGTATACGAATAGGGTGTGGGTCACAGAGATCACATGCTTCAAGGGCAATAAAATATCACAAGGCAAATGGATAGGGCAAGGTCACAAGGGTAGGGCAAGGTCACAAGGCCAGGGCGAAACTAGAATTGTTGATGAAGTTCCATGTCCCGCTGTGCATGCATTGTCATTGATAAACATCTTAACAGGGTTCAAGAGCAGAGAACTGGTCTGACTAGAATTTGCCAGGCTGGAATTTCCTAATCCTAGCAAGCCTGGGGGCGCTGCAGGAGACCAGGACGTGTTTCATCCCTATCTACAACTGCATAAGGCAGACACTCCCACAGCGGCCATTTTAGAGATCCCCCTCCGTCCCCCCAGGAATGCGTTCTTTTCCCAGGGCTGTTAATTATTAATATTCCTTACTGGGGAAAGAATTCAGCGATATTGCTCTTACCTGTTTTTGGCAATAAGAGAAATATGGCTCTGTCCTGCCCAGCTCCCAGGCAGTCAGACCTAATGGTTATCTCCCTTGTTCCCTTGAACATCACTGTTATCCAGTTCTTTTTTCAAGGTGCCCAGATTTCATATTGTTCAAACACACATGCTCTACGAACAATTTGTGCAGTTAACGCAATCATCACAGGGTCCTGAGGCGACATACATCCTCAGCTTACGAAGATGACAGCATTAAGAGATTAAAGTAAGGACAGGCATAGGAAATTATGAGTATTGATTGGGGAAGTGATAAATGTCCATGAAATCTTCACAATTTATGTTCAGAGATTGCAGTAAAGACTGGCATAAGAAATTGTAAAAGTATTAATTTGGAGAACTAACAAATGTCCATGAAATCTTCACAATTTATGTTCTTCTATCACGGCTTCAGCAGGTCCCTCTGTTTGGGGTCCCTGACTTCCTGCAACACTGGGCAATATGGTGAAACCTTGATGCTACAAACAGTACAAAAATTAGCCGAGCATGGTGGCATGCATCTATGGTCCCAGCTACTTGAGAGGCTGAGGTGGGAGAATTGCTTGAGCCTGAGAGGTGGAGAATGCAGTGAGTTGAGATCACGCTACTGTACTCCAGCCTGGGTGACAGAATGAGACCCTGTCTCAAAAAATAAATAAATAAATAAATAAATAAAAGGCCTTGAAAGCCATGAAGCTGAAAACAATAAATTTCTGCTGGAGAAAACTGTGTAGAGATGTTGTATATGACTTCACAGGATTTACAACAGAGCCAATGAAGGATCATTACAGAGATTATGAATATGACCAAAAAAAGGTGGGTCATAGGATGAAGGGTTTCAAGGTATGGATTTTGGAGAAATTTAAGAGCTAGTAGACACCACACCAGAGTAATTAGCAGAAGACAACTTGATGGAGATGAATGCTTCTGAACCAGTGCCAGGCAATGAGGAATATGTAGAAGAAGCAGTGCCAGAAAACAAATTGACATTAGACAGCCTGGCAGAAGGGTTCCAGTTATTCAAGACTGTTTTTCACTTCTTTTATGTCAGGAACTATTCTGTGATACGCACACTTTAACTAAAGTAAACAGTGGAAGAAGGATTGGTACTGTATAGAAACATTTTTAGAAAAATGAGAGTGTAAAAAGTCAGACAAATTACCATGTATTTCTGTAAAGTTACATCAAGTGTGCCTGCCTCCCCTGCCTCCCCTTTCACCTCCTCCACCTCTTCCTTCTTTGCCACCCTTGAGATGGCAAGACCAACCCCTCCTGTTCCTCCTCGTCCTCAGCCTACTCAACAAGATAACAAGGATGAAGACCTTTATGATGATCCACTTCCACTTAATGAATAGTAAATATATTTTCTCTGCCTTACGATTTTCTTAACATTTTCTTTTCTTTAGCTTACTTTATTGTAAGAATACAGTATATCAGTGGTCCTTAACCTTTCTGGCACCAGTGATCGGTTTTGTGGAAGACAATTTTTCCATGTATTTGGGATGGTTTTGGGATGATTCAAGCACATTACATTTATTGTGCACTTTCTATTATTACATTGTAATATATAATGAAATAATCGTGCAACTCACCATAATGTAGAATCTGTTGGAGCCCTGAGCTTGTTTTCCTGCAACTAGATGGTCCCATGTGGGGGTGATGGGAGACAGTGATAGATCATCAGGCATTAGATTCTCATAAGGAGCACACAACCTAGATCCCTTGCATGCTTAGTTCACAATAGGGTTCATGCTCCTATGAGAATCTGATGTCACTGCTGATCTGATAGGAGGTAGAGCTCAGGCAGTGCAACGGGGAGTGGCTCTTAAGACAGAAGCTTTGCTCTTACCTGCCACTCACCTCCTCCTGTGCGGCTCGGTTCCTAAGAGGGCACAGACTGGTACCAGTCTGTGGCCCAGGTGTTGGGGACCCCTGCAGTTTATAATATAACATACAAAATATGTGTTAGTTAGCTATTTATGTTATCAGTAAGGCTTCTGGTCAATAGTAGGTTATTAGTAGTTAAGTTTTGGGGGCATCAAAAGTTATATGTGGATTTTTGACTACACAGTGGGTTGGCACCACTAACCCTTGTGTTGTTTGAGGGTCACCCGTACATCTCTGCACATGTCCTTTTGTGTATATGACCATGTTTGATAGTTTATTTAGAATATATATATACACACATATATATACGTATATACATATATATACACATATATATGTGTGTGTGTATATATATATGTGTGTATATATATATGTGTATATGTGTGTGTGTGTATATATATATATATATATATATATATATATATATATTTTTTTTTTTTTTTTTTTTTTTTTTTTTTTTTTGAGACAGGGTCTTGCTGTCACCCCGGCTGGAGTACAGTATTGTGATCATAGCTAACTACAGCCTTGACCTCCTGGGCTCAAGCCATTCTCCTGCCTCAGCTTCCCGAATAGTTGGGATTACTGGCACATGCCATCACACCTGGCTAATGTTTTTATTTTTTTGTAGATATGCAGTCTTGCTATGTTGCCAGGGCTGGTCTCGAACTCCTGGGCTCAAGCGATCCTCTCACCTCAGCCTCCCAAAGTGCTGGGATTACTGGCATGAGCCACCACCACTGCCTTGGTTAAGATCCTTTAGGGGTATAAGGTGCAAACCCACCCAATATAGCTTAAACCAGAGGCAATCCAGGGATGTCTCAGAATTTACAAATACATACAGCTAGCACCAGAAATCTAAGGCCCCAGCCTTAGATTATATCTATATGTAAAATTGCTGTAGGGTAAAATTTCTGTAGGGTAGACACCTCTTAACTTTACTAGAAATTACCAAAGTATTCTCCTGGTAGTTGTTCCAGTTTATATGCCTTACCAACAGTATATGTTGATTCTTGTGGGGCACGGTGGCTCACGCCTGTAATCCCAGCACTTTGGGAGGCCGAGGCAGGTGGATCACTTGAGGTCAGGAGTTCGAGACCAGCCCGGACAACATGGTGAAACCCCATCTCTACTAAAAATACAAAAATTAGTGGGGCTTGGTGGTGCACACCTGTAGTCCCAGCTACTTGGGAGACTGAGGCAGGAGAATTGCTTGAACCTGGGAAGTGAAGGTTGCAGTGAGCTGAGATCGTGCCACTGCACTCCAGCCTGGGCGGGCGATAGAGTAAGACTCCGTCTCAAAAACAAAACAAAACGTAAAAAACAGTATATGTTGGTTCTTAGTTATTTCTCTGCATCCTGGTCACCACTTAGCATTATCTGACTTTACATTTTTGCCATTTTGGTATGTATGAAATAGTATTTTATTGAATTTAATTTCCATTTTCCTGTCTGTTTAGTGAAGGTAATGTCTTCTTACTTTTCTATCGTAGCACCCTAGTTGTTTCTTTTATAGCACCTATCACAAGCTATTATTACAGGTGGATTTGTTTCTGTGTTTATTGTGTGCCTCCCTATGTAGAACATAATCTCTGTGAAGACTGGGATCACATTTCTCAGGTTTACTGTTTTATCCCCACAACTCAGACCAGGGTCTGGCATGGAGTGGCATTCAATAAATAGATGTTTAATGAATGAACCAGGGTCGGGAAGTGAGTCCTTTAATAAGTCTGACATTACTGTAAGAGAAATACAGAAATAGGAAGTTATTTCTTTATATTCCTCCTATCCAAACCTTATGCTTTATTTGTTATATTTTTTTGAGACAGAGTCTCACTCTGTCACCCAGGCTGGAGTGCAGTGGTGTCACAATTTCGGCTCACTGTAACCTCTGCCTCCCGGGTTCAAGCAATTCTTCTGCCTCACCCTCCTAAGTAGCTGGGATTACAGGCACCTGCCATCATGCCTGGCTAATTTTTATATTTTTGTAGAGACAGAGTTTCACTGTGCTAGACAGGCTAGTCTTGAACTCCTGACCTCAGATGATCTGCCTGCCTCGGCCTCCCAAAGTGCTGGGATTACAGGCATGAGCCACCGCGCCTGGCCTATACTTTATTTCATAGCCAGTTTCACAGTACCTGATTCTAGTCTTCATTTCTTATGTTCATTTTTGAAGGCTTTGAATAGACTTGACTAGGAGGTAGTAGTAATAGAAAATAACAGAAATATTGAGTCACACATGGTTTGATTTGGTAGGGATGGCTATCGGCTCCAGCCTAGGGCCTGTAATTTGAGATATACTGATGTCCAATTAGCTTAAGATTGTCTTCTGGTGCCCACATCAGAGAAGAAACCAAAGCTCTTATGAGGTTCATTATTAGATAGGAAATTAAACTGGAAGCCCTTTGCCTTTTTTGGGATTCTCATTGACAGAGTTAATCTTGTCTTACCTAATGTAAGACTTTGTAAGATAGATACAGGCTTCATCAACAGAAATTCGCTAGGATAGGAATGGTAATTTTTTTATTTTTGAGAAATATAAAACTTGAGCACGACTAGAATAAATCTCAGTTAACTTTTCAGTAGTCCCTTTTTTTTCCACCCAACCACTCTTAGTGCGGCATCTACTCTCAGCAGCTCGGTGCATCTTTTGTCTGCTTTATTCAGTTCCTGAGCTTTGCTCGGTGCATCTTTTGTCTGCTCTATTCGGTTCCTGAGCTTTGCTCGGTGCATCTTTTGTCTGCTCTATTCGGTTCCTGAGCTTTGCTCGGTGCATCTTTTGTCTGCTCTATTCGGTTCCTGAGCTTTGCTCGGTGCATCTTTTGTCTGCTCTATTCGGTTCCTGAGCTTTGCTCGGTGCATCTTTTGTCTGCTCTATTCGGTTCCTGAGCTTTGCTCGGTGCATCTTTTGTCTGCTCTATTGGGTTCCTGAGCTTTGCTCGGTGCATCTTTTGTCTGCTCTGTTGGGTTCCTGAGCTTTGCTCGGTGCATCTTTTGTCTGCTCTATTGGGTTCCTGAGCTTTGCTCGGTGCATCTTTTGTCTGCTCTATTGGGTTCCTGAGCTTTGCTCGGTGCATCTTTTGTCTGCTCTATTGGGTTCCTCAGCTTTGCTCGGTGCATCTTTTGTCTGCTCTATTCGGTTCCTGAGCTTTGCTCGGTGCATCTTTTGTCTGCTCTATTGGGTTCCTGAGCTTTGCTCGGTGCATCTTTTGTCTGCTCTATTTGGTTCCTGAGCTTTGCTCGGTGCATCTTTTGTCTGCTCTATTTGGTTCCTGAGCTTTGCTCTGGCTACATCTTTAACTGATTGGCTTGGTTAAGATCTTTTAGGAGTAGAGGGTACAAACTCACCCAATATAGCTTAAACCAGAGGCAGTCCAGGGATGTCTTAGAACTTAGAAGTATACACAGCTAGCACCAGAAATTAGAGTAGTGGAAATGCCTACTAAAATCTCCCAAGTTGATTCCTCTTTTCAAGAGGAGAGCCAAGCTGAAGTTAGAATCTCTTAGTTCCAATTACAGGCTGGGCGCGGTGGCTCACGTCTGTAATCTCAGCACTTTGGGAGGCGGAGGTGGGTGGATCATGAGGTCAGGAGATCGAGACCATCCTGGCTAACACAGTGAAACCCCGTCTCTACTAAAAATACAAAAAATTAGCTGGGCGTGGTGGCAGGTGCCTGTAGTCCCAGCTACTTGGGAGGCTGAGCCAGGAGAATGGCGTGAACCCAGGAGGCGGAGCTTGCAGTGAGCCGAGATCGCGCCACTGCACTCCAGCCTGGGTGACGGAGCGAGACTCTGTCTCAAAAAAAAAAAAAAAAAAAAATCTCTTAGTTCCAAGGGAAAGGTGCTGACCCAGCCTGGGCCAGATGCCTCCCTGACTCCAGTAAGCTATGGCCGTAAGTTTATGTTCCACAAACATGGTAGCCAAGATCCACCCCTGTAACGTGTGGATGACACAGAAGGACAGCTCCCAGGAAAGAAGGGATCCTAGGCAGATACACCCATAGGTGTCTGGTGAAATTATCTACTGAAATTAATTATAAATTATCTGAACATGTGTTCAGAAGCTCCAAAACCTCTGATTTTTTACCCAGCAACTTCTTCATATCTTCCATTTCCTTTTTTCCCCACAAGTCTTACCTGGCTCCTTACCCAATTTGCTGATTTCCTTTCCATAGCCAATTGCAAATGTATTCTCAACAGATCCCTGGGCTCGTAAGTGAGCTTTGGAGATAACAAGGTGTGTTTTGCTCCCTATTTATTTTTCTGGAAGAATTGGAAAGTAGGAATATTATGTATACTCTAGCATCTCTCTGGTATGCATTTATTTTATTTTATTTTATTTTTTGAGACGAAGTCTTGCTCTGTCACCAGGCTAGAATGCAGTAGCACGATCTCAGCTCACTGTAATCTCTGCCTCCCAGGTTCAAGTGATTCTCCAGCCTTAGCCTCCTGAGTAGCTGGGATTATGTGCGTGTGCCACCATGCCTGGCTGATTTTTTATTTTTAGTAAAGACAGGGTTTCATCATGTTGGCCAGGCTGATCCTCAAAGTCCTGACCTCAAGTGATCCGACCACCTAGGCCTCCCAAAGTGCTGGGATTACAGGCGTGAACCACCACGCCCAGCCACATGTAATTTATTAATGTGTCCTGCCCCAGCTCGTGGGAAACGGTGGTAAAGCAGGTATTGTGAAACTTTGGCAACCTGGGAAGTTCATTCTGCTTTTTCTGAGAACTTACATTCTCTTGTTACAGGAACATGATATAGAAACAACTCATGGTGTGGTCCACGTCACTATAAGAGGCTTACCCAAAGGAAACAGACCAGTTATACTAACATATCATGACATTGGCCTCAACCGTATGTATTTTATTTTACACCTTCCCTTCTTATCATACTTGATCTTTGTATGTTAAAAACCAAACAACAACAATATTCTAATAGAGCAGAGGTTTCCCCCTCTCTGTGGTAACTTTCCCTCCTTGTTCCTACATTCGTTAATGGTATAAAGTTCCTGGGAAGTGTGCAGGGGAATGTATTCTGGGGATACTGGAATCACATCTCGCCTTCATGTCTGCTAAAGGATTGCAGATTATACAATGCACTGCTAAGAAAGTAGAACTGAAATCCATGTTTTCAAGCCTGTACTCTGTTTTTTTTTTTTAAATATGTTTCAGGTTAGAAAATTCAGAGTTGGAACTTAACTTTGTTGTGAGCTCTTCAATGAATTAGTAAGAATTCTTGCTAGAGCCTGTCACCAGTGACTTTAAGTGGACTTTTCTAGATGGTAGTGTAAGATTCTGGCCCCAGCCATAGACACACAGAGTCTGCATACATGTGTTTTCTTTCATGCTGCTCTGGCTTTCATAGATGCCCTGCATTTGAGGCCACAGTTGAGTGTTAAAGCTTTTGTAGCTGCCTTGGCATGAGAAGTGATTTAAGCAGGTATACAAAGAGGGTAGAAGTGGAAGCAGCAGCCCCTCCCTTCACTCTGGCAATTTTGCCAAGAGACAAACTCCCGTGTGGTGAATGTGAACAGCTCAGGACATTCACGCCACCTGTGCTCTTGGGGTATAATCAGTGTCTGTTTGTGAGATAGAGGAATAATGTCCATGAGAAATGACAGCATTATGGGTGTAAGATTATTTTGTGCAATAATCGGAAACCACCAAATATTAACAAAGTAATTTCTACTTTGCAGACATTATTTAGAATTAAGAATTGTTTTCAATATGTATCTCAATATGAGATGTCTTATATTCAGCCTTTAGGGCAGCTTGAATCAGACAGATTGTTCAGACACCTCACTTTGGTGGAATGGTGGTTAAAAAGCAGGGAAAGAAGGTGATAATAGGCATTGACTGAGTAGAGGAAAATTGGGGCGATATGGAGAGCCTGTGACTTATGGGTATTTTTATTCTTATAGATAAATCCTGTTTCAATGCATTCTTTAACTTTGAGGATATGCAAGAGATCACCCAGCACTTTGCTGTCTGTCATGTGGATGCCCCAGGCCAGCAGGAAGGTGCACCCTCTTTCCCAACAGGGTAAGGCCACGAAAAGATCATCTGGGAGACGTGCACTCAGTAGAGCAACTGGCTGAGCTCCAGTGGGAGAAGTGGTGTGTGCTTCCCTTTGATTTTATTACCGTCTATAGGTTATGCTTATTGACCAACCATCCTCATATTTTCTCTCCTTGGGCTGAGAGGACTGTTATGTACAGTTTTTTGGGGGAAACTGTGTGTTTTCCCATATCCAGGAATGGCTCTCCATAGCAGGTGCCTGCTTTCCTGTAATCTCAAGGCATAAGTGTCTGGAACATCTACTCCTCACTGTCTTTATCTTTCCCTTCCTTATCTGTTTGAAAGCTGTCATTTTTTAGCGAGACGTGGTGACTCACACCTATAATCCTAGCACTTTGGGAGGCAAAGGCAGTAGGATTGCTTGAGCCCCGGGGTTCAAGACCAGCCTGGATAACATAGGAATACCTTGTCTCTACAAAAAATTGAAAAATTAGCCAGCCAGGCATGGTGGTGTTCACCTGTGGTCGTGTCTGCTTGGGAGGCTGTTGTGGGAGGATCACTTGAGCCCAGGGGATTGAGGCTGCAGTGCCTGGATGACTGAGCAAGACCCTGTCCCCAGAAAGAAAACAAACAAACAAAAAAACCTGTCATTTTTGTGTCCTTCCTCAAAACTCCCAACTACTTAGGCCCAAATTCAGATCTCTCTGAGCTTTCCTGGGAGCATCTCCCCATCCTTAGCTCTCAAACTAGTAATGGAAATTTGACTATCTGTGTAACTGTTTATTCTGAGAGGCTGTCCTGGCAGATAGAGGTGTGGGGTGATTGATTGGCTTTGGCACTCTCAGCTTCCTCCTACATCTGCTTCGCAGGGCAGAGTCATAGGCTCCCTACCTGTTTGTTCCCTGGACGGGTGCTTATTGAGAAGACCTTAGGAGGAGTGAGCACACACTCTGTGGAATGCTAATTCTTCCCCTATCCTTTCACTCATCTCCAGAGCTGCCTTTGGCCAGTGACTGCTGGGAAATAGACAATTGCAGACAAATAATAGCTAATATTTAAATAGTACTCAAACCGTGTTCCAGACCCTGCTTTAAATGCTTTACATTTGTTAACTCATTTACTCCTCACAACCCTATGGGATAAGTTTACTATTATTCCCATTTTATAAGTGAGGAAACTGAGGCCCAGAAAAATTAAGTAACATGGCTAACATTACATAACAAATAAGTGGCAGAGCTAAGATTTGAACCCAGACAGTCTGGTGCCAGAATCTGACTCTAAAATGCAAATTGGCCAGTGGTCAGTTTATATCCAACAAGATTTGTATCCAGTTCCTTTTTTCTATTTTGTGGACAAATGGTTCCACAGCACACCATCCCCTTAAGTGTTCAGGCAGAGGCAGGCTGACTTCCCTGTCAGATGTAGAACAGATCCTGCCTCATATATAAGTGGTCATCTTAGGATCAATTCCATCTCCAATTCTGTAATACTTTTTCTTTCTTTCTTGAGATAGGATAGTGCTTTGTTTCCCAGGCTGGAGTACAGTGGCGTGATCATGGCTTACTGCAGCCTCAACCTCCTGGGCTCAAGTGATCCTCCCATCTCAGCCTCCCTACTAGCTGGGACTACAAGTGTGTGCCAACACGCCTGGCTAATTATTGTTATTTTCTGTAGAGACAGGGTTTTGCCCTGTTGCTCAGGCTGGTCTCGAACTCCTGGGCTTGAGCAATCTGGTTGCCTCAGCCTCTGAAAGTGTTGGGATTACAGGCGTGAGCCAACGCTCCCAGTCGGATGCTTACTACTTTTCTAGGAATTCTGATCTGGGTCTGTTCCTGGGCCTGCTCGAACATCTTAGGATCAGATGGTTCATATTATGAACCAAATTCAAATACAATAAAATAACCATGCCAGACACAGTGGCTCACACCTGTAGTTCTAGCACTTTGTTAGGCTGAGGTAGGAGGATCACCTGAGGCCAGGAATTCAAGACCAGCCCTGGCAACATAGCGAGACTCCATCTCTACAAAAAATTGAAAAATTAGCCAGGCATGGTGGCATGCGCCTGTAGTCCCAGCTACTCAGAAGCCTGAGGCAGGAGGATAGCTTGAGCCCAGGAGTTCAAGGTTACAGTGAGCTATGATTTCACTACTGCACTCCAGCCTGGGTGACAGAGTGAGACCATGTCTCTTAAAAAATTAATAATAATAATAATAATAATAATAAAATTTTAAAAATAACTATGTTATTCTATGCCTAAGTGAAACAAATAAGCATTCATGCTAAGGGTTTGTAACTGTGTGCCCATACCTAGAAAAGCTTTATTTTTGCATTTAGTTGCCTAAATATAGCAGTAGACCAAGACCCCCTTTCTGAGTTGACTCTTACTGCCGGAGGTTTACTGAGCCTGGACTCCAACTGAAGAGATTGTTAGAGGTTTGGAAATACCCTAAGAGAGAACCATGTTACTAGTTCTTTTCATGTGGCACCCTCTGGTCCCAAGGGCTGCTTGTTAGGATATAGAAACCGTGGATTATTTTACTTTCTCCTTAGCATGGCAGTTGTAGAGAGTTACACAATATGCCACAATCATTTTCAGGGTACCACATCACCTCCTTTGAGCCTTTGGTAAAAGGAAATGCTTTTATCTAAGATTTTTTTTTTTTTTTGAGGCGGAGTTTTGCTCTTGTTGCCCAGGCTGGAGTGCAATGGCATGATCTCCGCTCACGGCAGCCTCCGCCTCTCAGGTTCAAGCAATTCTCCTGCCTCAGCCTCCCAAGTTTCTGGGATTACAGGCATGTGCTACCACACCCAGCTAATTTTGTATTTTTAGTAGAGATGAGGTTTCTCCATGTTGGTCAGGCTGGTCTCGAACTCCCAACCTCAGGTGATCTGCCCACCTCGGTGTCCCAAAGTGCTGGGATTATAGGCATGAGCTACTGCGCTCAGCCTTTTATCTAAGACTTCTGGACCTTTCCAGCTGTTCTAGCAACTGGGAATTGTGAGTGCTTTCTAATTCAGGAGATATCCTTCTGGATTGCAGGTATCAGTACCCCACAATGGATGAGCTGGCTGAAATGCTGCCTCCTGTTCTTACCCACCTAAGGTAGGTTCATTCTGCAGTCTTTCATGCAGTTTTTATTGACTTTCTATGGTGAATTATTTAGTGTCTGTTTCAGAGGATATGATGGTTAGGAAAAATATTATCACTGTCCTCCTAGAGCTTAGTGGGGTAACAAGTAAGCAAACAAATAATAAAGTTCTATAAAATAAGTCAGTGGGGGTGTTGTGATAGAGAATAAGGGTGGGATCTACATTAGTAAGGCAAGTTAGGGAATTCCTCTCTAGGAAGGTGGCACACACGCTGAGACCTAGAAGATTTAAAAATCTACCTTGAGCTGGGCCAAGTGGCAGGAAGATCACTTAACAACAGCAGTTCAAGGCTACAGTGAGTTGTGATCCCACCCCTGCACTCCAGCCTGAGTAACAGTGAGACACCCTGTATCTAAAAAATAAAAATAAAGCTGTTTAAATTTTTTTAAAAACGTTCATCTCACTGAGAAGAGAATGGTTTGGAGAAGAATCAGAGAGAGAAAGCAGGGAGAACAGTTAAACTATTAACAATAGTCCAGGCAAGAGATAATGATAGCATGGTACTGGATGCTGCTGTTGGGGGATGATTGAAGTAGATAGTAGTAGGTAGATGGATATATTCTGGAGATAGACTCCACTGACTTGCTGATGGGTTGGATACTGACAGCTACCAAGGATAACTCCCAGGTTTCAGTTATATATATTTTTATATGTGTGTGTGTGTGTGTGTGTGTACATATATGTGTGTGTATATATATATGTATATATACATATATATACATATATTTATTTATTTATTTATTTGTTTTGAGATGGAGTTTCACTCCATCACCCAGGCTAGAGTGTAGTGGTGCGATCGCAGCTCACTGCAGCCTCTGCCTCCTGGGTTCAAACGATTTTCCTGCCTCAGCTTCCCATTTAGCTGGGATTACAGGCACAGGCCACCATGCCTGGCTAATTTTTTTTGTATTTTTAGTAGAGACGGGGTTTCATGATGTTGGCCAGGCTGACCTCGAACTCCTCACCTTCAATGATCCACCTGCCTTGGCCTCTCAAAGTCCTGGGATCATAGGCGTGAGCCACTGCCCCCGGTCTCAGTTATATTTTATTTAACCATTAAAACCAACTTGAAAGTAGTTGGTGGGATCCTTGTTTTTTTTGGTTTTGTTTTTTGTTTTTTTTGAGACAGAGTCTCACTCTGTCACCTAGGCTGGAGTGCAGTGGCGCATTCTCGGCTCACTGCAAGCTCCACCTCCCGGGTTCATGCCATTCTCCTGCCTCAGCCTCCCGAGCAGCTGGGACTACAGGTGCCCGCCACCATGTCTGGTTAATTTTTTTTGTATTTTTAGTAGAGACGGGGTTTCACCGTGTTAGCCAGGATGGTCTCGATCTCCTGACTTCGTGATCCGCTCGCCTCGGCCTCCCAAAGTGCTGGGATTACAGGCGTGAGCCACCGTGCCCAGCCTTTGTTTTTTTTTTTAACAGGCGCACGCCACCATGCCCGGCTAATTTTTTGTATTTTAGTAGAGACGGGGTTTCACCATGTTGGCCAGGATGGTCTTGATCTGCTGACCTCGTGATCCGCCGACCTCGTGATCCGCCTGCCTCGGCCTCCCAAAGTGCTAAGATTACAGGCGTAAGCCACTGCGCCCAGCTGAGATCCTTGTTTTATAAATAAGGAACTGAGGCTCAGAAAGTTAGGGGAAAGAAAAAAAACACTTGCCCAAATTCTCACATCTAATAAATATCAGAGCCAGGATTTCAACCCAGGTTGTATGCTTTCAATTATGCAATGCTGCCTGCAAATGAAGTTGACTCTGTCAGTTGTCGTTATGTCCCATTCACAGCCTGAAAAGCATCATTGGAATTGGAGTTGGAGCTGGAGCTTACATCCTCAGCAGATTTGCAGTAAGTATGTAGAGGATTAGCCTCAACATCCTTGAGGCAGTGCCTGGGTCACAGCTATTACTGCTGTGTTAAATGACCAGGCAGTATTCTGGGCCTTATGTCAGTTTTTCTGTAACTTCTGTCAGCTTTAGATACAGGTTGTATAAAGCCTAGCTTTGTACTTAACAATACCTGAAAAATCACAAATGGGGACAGTACATCATCAATAAAAAGCAAGTCCTAGATGCTGCTTATAATGGAATTTTGTGCGGCCATTAAAATTAAGTTTACGAAAAGCTTTATAATGATACATGGTTTGCATACATTATAATGTTAACCAAAAAGTTAGAATATAGATTGACATAAAGTTTGTCATAGCCATAGGAAAGGACTGGAAGAAAATGTACCAAAAAATATTAATGGATTGATATGTGGTAAGATAATGTGAAATTTTTATTTTCTGCTTTTTATAATTTCTCTGCTTATCAAATTTTCTATCGTGAATATAATCACTGTAGTCAGAGAAAAAAAGTAAGCCAGGGACCAGGCACGGTGGCTCACGCCTGTGATCCTAGCACTTTGGGAGGCCGACACGGGTGGATCACCTGAGGTCAGGAGTTCGAGACCAGCCTGGCCAACATGGTGAAACCCCGTCTCCACTAAAAATACAAAAATTAGCTGGGCGTGGTGGTAGGTGCCTGTAATCCCAGCTACTCAGGAGGCTGAGGCAGGAGAATTGCATGAATCCTAGAGGCCGAGATTGTAGTGAGCCGAGATAGCATCACTGCACCAGCCTGGGCAACAAGAGCGAAACTCTGTCTCAAAAAGAAAATTAAATTAAATTAAATTAAATAAGCTAGAGAGCTAGAGCTCCTATTATAAATTTTTTTTTTTTTTTTTTTTGAGATGAAGTCTTGCTGTGTCGCCCAGGCTGGAGTGCAGTGGTGCAATCTCGGCTCACTGCAACCTCCGCCTCCTGGGTTTAAGTGATTCTCCTGCCTCAGCCTCCTGAGTAGCTGGGATTACAGGCGCCCACTACCACACCCAGCTAATTTTTGCATTTTTAGTAGACATGGGGTTTCGCCATGTTGGTCAGGCTGGTCTCTAACTCCTGACCTCGTGATCCACCCTCCTCAGCCTCCCAAAGTGCGGAGATTACAGGCGTGAGCCACCGTGCCCGGCCAGACATTATTATCATTATTTTTTTTTAATACGTCCTCAGTGATAGGAGAGTCTTCTGAGGATGATACAGACTGTTCAGATGGTTTCAGAAAAAAAAACTTCAGAAGCCTCTGTTGAGAACAAAGATATATGAGCATGGAGCAGCTGCTTGTGCCAAGCGCACTTTCCCAATGAGGAAGATCCACCATGAATTGAACAACTGCATATAGATCTTTGCAAGACAAGATAATTTGATAGTAAAATAAGTAATTTGATAGCAAAACCAGAAACTGGTTTCCATATGCTAAGTCAGATTTCAAGAGCTATTTTTCCACATGTTCTCCCTCTTTGTAGTCTTACTTTCAAATGTGAGGCATTAAGGCATGTAAGTAAGAATTGATCAACCATGTTCCAACTGTTTAGAAGAACTGTGGGAGTGTAGCTTTCATACTATTGTCTTTGCCTCATCTTTCAGCTCAACCATCCAGAGCTTGTGGAAGGCCTTGTGCTCATTAATGTTGACCCTTGCGCTAAAGGCTGGATTGACTGGGCAGCTTCCAAAGTAAGTACCACATGAAGGTGTCCATCGGCTTATCTTGGCCCATCTCAAAACAGCTTACCAGTTTTTCATTGAGGTATATATACAGTTAAGGGTAAAAATGTTAAGTATATAGCTTGAAGAATGTTTACATATAAAATCACCATCCAATCAAGATATAGAATATTCCCAGCTCACTAGGGGATTCCGTTGTATCTTTTCCTAATTGATACTTCCTCTCCTTCCCAGAAATTACCTGTTCTGACTGTTGTTACCAGAGATAAGTTTTATCTGTTTTTAAACAGTTTTATCTGTTAAATTGGAATCATAGAAACTGTATTTTTTTTTTTTTTTTGAGATGGAGTCTCACTCTGTTGCCCAGGCTGGAGTGCAGTGGCATGATCTTGGCTCACTGCAACCTCCACCTCCCGGTTCAAGCAATTCTCTGCCTCAGCCTCCCGAGTGGCTGGGATTACAGGTGCCCACCACCATGCCCGGCTAATTTTTTTGTATTTTTAGGAGAGACCAGGTTTCACCATCTTGACCAGGCTGGTCTTGAACTCCTGACCTTGTGATCCACCCGCCTCGGCCTCCCAAACTGCTGGGATTACAGGCGTGAGCCACCGCACCCAGCCTGTCTGGTTTCTTTTCTTTCATCACGGTGTCTGTGAAACTCATCCAAGTTGTATGTAGCAGTAGTTCTAAATTACAGTTTGGACTGGGCACGGTGGCTCATGCCTGTAATCCCAGCACTTTGGGAGGCAGAGGCGGGAAGATCACCTGAGGTCGGGAGTTTGAGACCAGCCTGACCAACATGGAGAAACCCCATCTCTACTAAAAATACAAAATTAGTCGGGTGTGGTGGTGCATGCCTGTAATCCCAGCTACTCGGGAGGCTGAGGCAGGAGAATCACTTGAACCTGGGAGGCAGAGGTTGCAGTGAGCTAAGATCGTGCCATTGCACTCCAGTCTGGGCAACAAGAGCAAAACTCCATCTGAAAAAAATAAAAATAAATAAATAAATAAATTACAATTTGGCCAGGCGCGGTGGCTCACGCCTGTAATTCCAGCACTTTGGGAGGTCAAGGTGGGCAGATCACCTGAGGTCAGGAGTTCAAGACCAGCCTGGCCAACATGGCGAAACTCCGTCTCTACTAAAAATACAAAAATTAGCCGGGCGTGGTGGTGGGTGCCTGTAATCCCAGCTACTCGGGGGGCTGAGACAGGATAATCACTTGAACCTGGGAGGTGGAGATTCCAGTGAGCTGAGATCACACCATTGCGCTCCAGCCTGGGTGACAAGAGTGAAACTCTGTCTCAAAAAAAAAAAAAAAATTGCAATTTAACAGGAGTTCTAAACGGTTCTTTAGTAACCTATTGTGTGAATACACAGAACGAGTTGTTTCTGTTATTTGGATCTTATGAGTAAAGCTGCTGTGCATATTCCTTATGTCTTTCAGTAGACATACACATTTATTTCTCTTGGGTTTATACCTAGGAGTGAAATTGCTATGTCATAGGGCATTTGTATGTTTAGCTTTAGTAGATATAATCAAACAGTTTTCCAAAGTATTTGACCAAGGCCAGGCATGGTAGCTCACGCCTGTAATGCCAATACTTTGGGAGGCCGAGGTGGGAGGATCACTTGAGGTCAGGAGTTCAAGACTAGCCAGGCCAACATGGCAAAACCCTGTCTCTACTAAAAATACGAAAATTAGCTGGGGTGTGGGGCATGATGGTACACATCTGTAATCCCAGCTACTCAGGAGGCTGAGGCAGGAGAATTGCTTGAACCCAGGAGGTGGAGGTTGCGGTGAGCCAAGATCGTGCCACTGCACGCCAGCCTGGGCAACAGAGTGAGACTCTCTCTCAAAGAAAACAAAAATAAAAATAAAGTAAATGAAAATGTCTTCAAAGTATTTAACCATTTACACAACAGCAGTGCGTGAAAGTTTCAGTTGCTCCACATCACCAACATTTGATATTATAAGTACTTTTAATTTTAGTAAAAGACAAGCAGTTTTATTTGTGATATTAGTTTGTTTTTATGTTTTCCATTACCAAAATAGCTTTAGTCATTAAAATAAGAATTTTTAATTACATCATCTTTTAAATGTTAAGCTATGCTTATAGATAGATAATCCTGTTGTTGTTTGTTTGAGACGGAGTCTCGCTCTTGTCGCCCAGGCTGGAGTGCAGTGGCATGATCTTGGCTCACTGCAACCTCTGCCTCCCAGGTTTAAGCAACTCTCAGCCTCAGCCTCCCGAGTAGCTGGGATCACAGGTGCCTGCCACCATGCCTGGCTCATTTTTGTATTTTCAGTAAAGACAGTGTTTCACCATCTTGGCCAGGCTGGTCTTGAACTCCTGACCTCGTGATCCACCCACCTCAGCCTCCCGAAGTGCTGGGATTACAGGTGTGAGCTACCGCACCCGGCCAATCCTGGGTTTTAATTTGCATCTCCCTAAGGGGCAGTGATGTCAAGCATCTTTTCTTGAATATCCTCTTGTGAAGTGTTTGTTCAACTCTTTTGCCCTCACCCTCATTCCCCTCCCCACTTTAAAAAATATTCTGTATGTGCGTCCTGGGTACATGTATCTCAAATAGCTTCTCCTAGTCTATAGTTTGCATTTTCTTATTCTTACTGAATGAAATGAATGAATCACTCCACAGTGAACCCCAGCACTTTATCTGTGCTACTCCTTCCAACGACATGTGGATTGCTGGTGTTTGCTAACTCAAAAAGGAAGGAATTTAACCTCTAAAATCCATTCAAGGAGATAGGAAACTAAAGGGAATGCTAATGACTTTACAAATATAAGCACTCCCAGTCCCAGTCCCAAACCAGAGTAAAAAATGGGTGATTCTGTTGGGAGAGGACATTTTTTTAAAACAGAAAAGTGGGAATAAGGAAAAAATTATATCCCTTGTGTTATGGGATCTCTGGGGTGTTGATTTGTCTAGCCAGAAACTTCTGTGGCCACAGCACCTTTGCCTGAGTTCCTGTCCTGCATCCAGGAAGAGTGAGGTACACAGACAAGTGAAGGGTGAAGAAGAGTTTTATTTAGTGTTAGAACAGCTCAGAGGAATGGGTAGCTCCTCTCTGTAGGCAGGTCGTCCAGTCGAGTGTTCAGCTCTTTGCCGACAGGAGGCCCTGGAGAAGGTGGTTCCTTTCCACAGGCGAGTCATTCCGACTTCTCTGCAGGTCTCTGAAGCTCTCAGCAGAGAGAGTAGCCCTTCTCTGCCAGCAGGTTGTCCCTGAAGCGCTCAGTGGAGAGTGTATTCCTCTCTGCAGCTGGTTGTCCAGTGTCTCTACCTTCTTTGTCCTCTGGCCATCCTCTACCCTGCGCTGGCTGAGCCCAAGGCTTTTATGGACCTCAGAAGGGAGGAAGTGCATGCTGATTGGCCCATGGGCGGCCATGGGCAGGCCGGGAAGAGGTGCCACAAGTCCTGACTGGTCTGGGCGACTGGCAATCCAGCCCGTAGCCTTCAGGGCCTCCCTGGCCTGAGGGTGGGGCCTTACTGGGAACCCTGCCCCCTTCTGCCCAGGACTCTGCCTGCGTCCCGCTCCATTCATGGCCCCGGGGCTTGGAGGGGCCCTTCCTGGGGCGCCCAAGGGTGCAGGCTGCAGAGATGCCCCAGTCCTACGCCTGGGAGGGCGGCTGCAGCTGCACCTGGGAGCTCCCAGCCCGCCAGCTGGGAAGGGGCCCGGCTCCCGCTTGTCCCCAGCTCCTGCTCGCTTCCCGGAGCCAGAGGCCCAGGTCTGCAGCCACAGGCGCAGCGGCTGCAGCTGTACCTGGGAAGGCAAATCCTGCCTGTTCCCAGTTCCCCCAAGAGCACAGGGAGGCTGAGATCCACAGCTGCAGTTTGGGCGGCTGTAGCCCTGCCCAGGAGGGCGGGGATCCTGCTTGCTCCATAGAGCAGGAGGCCTGGGTCTGCGGCTCTGGTCCCAACCCGGAAGGGGCGGGGCTTCCGCCAGCTCCATGGCGTGTGCAGCCCCAGCCACACAGCGTGATGGCAGCAGCCACTGCCATCACTTGCATTCAACTCACCTATGCTAAAAATAATTCACTGTTAGGCCAGGCACGTGGCTTACGCCCATTATCCCAGCACTTTGGGAGGCGGAGGTGAGTGGATCACCTGAGGTCAGGAGTTCAAGACCAGTCTGGCCAACATGGCGAAACCCCGTTTCTACTAAAAATAAAAACATTAGCCAGGCCTGGTGGTGTATGCCTGTAATCCCAGCTACTCGGGAGGCTGAGGCAGGAGAATTGCTTGAACCCAGGAGGCAGAGGTTGCAGTGAGCCAAGATCGTGCCATTGCACTCCAGCTTGGGTGATGAGCAAAACTCCGTCTCAAAAAAACAAAACAAAACAAAAAACAAACAAACAAAAACACTTTTTAGGTTAGAAAAAGTTTTGAACCATTTTCTTGATGAAGTACAAATGTTATGTGTATGTTATTTTAATCTAAAACTATGGTATTTTATAATAAATCACTGATTTCCAGAGAGAAAATTAAGGTTTTATTTCCTGCTAAAAGATGCCTAATCTGTTAATCTCATTTTATTATTTATTTATGTATGTATTTATTTTTTTTTGAGACGGATCTCGCTGTGTCGCCCAGGCAGGAGTGCAGTGGCACTATCTCGGCTCACTGCAAGCTCCGCCTCCCGGGTTCACGCCATTCTCCCACCTCAGCCTCCCAAGTAGCTGGGACTACAGGCGCCCGCCACCAAGCCCGGCTAATTTTTTGTATTTATAGTAGAGACGGGGTTTCACCGTGTTCGCCAGGATGGTCTCGATCTCCTGACCTCATGATCCGCCCGCCTCAGCCTCCCAAAGTGCTGGGATTACAGGCGTGAGCCACCGCGCCCAGCCGTTAATCTCATTTTAAACAAATGCTTACTTCTCAGTACTTTTACATTGCCGTAAATGTTCTAATACACCATTGCAGGATAAAGTCTCCAAAATACCACCACCCAACTTGTCAAATGTATCAAGAGTCTTTATTGGCTGGGCACGGTGGTTTATAAACCTCTGTAATCTCAGCACTTTGAGAGGCTGAGGCAGGAGGATCGCTTGAGCCCACGAGTTAGAGACCAGCCTGGGCAACATAGTGAGACCCCATCTCTACAAAAAATTTTAAAAGTAGGCCAGGTGCAGTAGCTTACACCTGTAATCCCAGCACTTTGGGAGGCCGAGGTGGGCATATCACCTGAAGTCGGGAGTTCGAGACCAGCCTGACCAACATGGAGAAACCCCGTCTCTACTAAAAATACAAAATGTGCCAGGCATGGTGGCGCATGCCTATAATCCCAGCTACTCGGGAGGCTGAGGCAGGAGAATCACTTGAACCCGGGAGGTGGAGGTTGCAGTGAGTCGAGATCGTGCCATTGCACTCCAGCCTGGGCAACAAGAGCAAAACTCCATCCCCCCCACCCCCCAAAAAAAAACAACTTAAAAAGTAGCCCGTTGCGGGCCAGGTGAGGTGGCTCATGCCTGTAATCTCCGCACTTTGGGAGGCAGAGGCAGATGGATCACCTGAGGTCAGGAGTTCAAGACCACCCTGGCCAACGTGGCAAAACCCCGTCTCTACTAAAAATACAAAAATTACCCGGGCCTGGTGGCACATGTCTGTAATCCCAGCTACTTGGGAAGCTAAGGCAAGAGAATCGCTTGAACCTGGGAGGTGGAGGTTGTAGTGAGTCAAGATCATGCCACTGCATTCTAGCCTGGGCAACAGACGAGACTGTCTCAAAAAAAAAAAAAAAAAAAAATGCCAGTTGTGGTGGCACACGTCTGTGGTTCCAGCTACTCGGTAAGCTGAGGTGGGAAGAATACTTGAACCCAGCAGGTCGAGGCTGTAGTGAGCCATGATCACACCACTGGACTCCAGACTAGGTGACAGAGACCCTGTCTCAAAAAAAAAAAAAAAAAAAAAAAAAAAAAATCTGGCTGGGCATGGTGGCTCATGCCTGTAGTCCTAGCACTTTGGGAGGCCAAGACAGGAGGATCGCTTGAGGCCAGGAGTTTAAGACCAGCCTGGTCAACAGAACAAGACTTTGTGTCAACAAAAATTTAAAAGGTGGTACACGCTTGTAGTCCCAGCTACTCGGGAGGCTGAAGGGAAAGGCTTGCTTGAGCCCAGGTGTTCAAGGTTGCAGTGAGCCATGATCATGCTACTACAGTCCTGCCTGGGTGACAGAGAGAGACCTTGTCTTAAAAAAAAAAAAAAAAAAAAGCTTTATTGATACTCAAACCATGAGATTCAATAAGTCCATATCTAGGAACTTTTTTGAAAGGTAGTTAGTGATCCTTAAAAAGACTTAAAGAGGGCTGGGCGTGGTGGCTCACACCTGTAATCCTAGCACTTTGGGAGGTCGAGGTGGGCGGATCACCTGAGGTCAGAAGTTCGAGACCAGCCTGACCAACATGGAGAAACCCTGTCTCTACTAAAAATACAAAAATTAGCCAGGTGTGGTGGCACACGCCTGTAATCCCAGCTACTGGGGAGGCTGAGGTAGGAGGAGAATCACTTGAACCCGGGAGGCAAAGTTTGCAGTGAGTCAAGATTGCACCACTGCACTCCAGCCTGGGTGACAGAGTGAGACTCCATCTCAAAAAAGAAAAAAAAGATTTAAAGAGATGGATAATAAATTTTTAAAAAAGGTAACACCTATGTAGTGCTTACTGTGTACCAGGCACTGTTCTTAAATGTTTTTTTGTTTTTGAGACGGAGTTTCACTCTTGTTGCCCAGGCTGGAGTGTGCAGTGGCGTGATCTCGGCTCACTGCAACCTCTATCTCCCAGGTTCAAGTGATTCTCCTGCCTCAGCCTCCTGAGTAGCTGGGATTACAGATAACGTGCCACCACGCCCAGCTAATTTTTGTATTTTTAGTAGAGACAGGGTTTCACCATGTTGGTCAGGCTGGTCTTGAACTCCTGACCTCATGATCCACCCGTCTTGGCCTCCCAAAGTGCTGGGATTACAGGTGTGAGCTACTGCGCCCGGCCAAATGTTTTAGATATACTTAACTTTTCAGCCTCAGGACAATCCATTGGTATCATTACTATCCTACAGAGACATTATTTACTTAAAATTACACTGCTAGTAAATTGCAAACCCAGAATATTCATTAAAGCATTGTTTTAATGCTTTAAAGTATTCATTAAAGTGGGCGGATCACTTGAGGTCAGGAGTTCAAGACCGGCCTGGCCACCTGGCCAACATGGTGAAACCCATCTCTACTAAAAATACAGAAACGTAGCCAGGTGTGGTGGTGCACGCCTGTGTTCCCAGCTACTCGGGAGCTGAGGTTGAAGAATCACTTGAACCTGGGAGGTGGAGGTTGCAGTGACCCTGGATTGCACCACTTCACTCCAGCCTGGGTGATAGAACAAGAGAACGAGACCCTGTCTCAAAAAAAAAGAAAACAAACAAATGATGTCTTTTGTATTCTGTTTTTTCGTAATTTCTTGTGATAAGCATATTTTTATTAAAACTTAAAATATTCTAGTCATCAGCAAACTAGATTCTAAATCATTTATCCATCTCTTCCTATGTTTACATTTTGGAGAAATGAGGTATTTCTTAGCTAAAACACATTAACAGTGCTATTGCCAGATGCTATGGAAATTCCTTCTCACAGCCTGGCTTATTTAAAATATGTCCTGGCTGGGCGCAGTGTTTCACATTGGTAATCCCAGCACTTTGGGAGGGTGAGGCAGGAGGATTGCTTGAGCTCAGGAGTTCAAGACTACCCTGGGCAACACAGTGAGACCTCGTCTCTACAAAAATTTAAAAAATTAGCCTGGCGTGGTGGTGCACAACTGTAGTCCCAGCTACTTGGGTGGCTGAGGCCGGAAAATCGCTTGAGCCTGGGAGGTCAAGGCTTCAGTGAGCTATGATGGTGCCACTGCACTCCAGCCTGGGTGACAGAGAGAGACCCTGTCAATCAATCGTGTCCTAATTCTTTCTTAATATGTGGGTACATTTTTTTTTTTTTTTGAGACGGAATCTTGCTCTGTTGCCCAGGGCGGAGTGCAGTGGCATGATCTCGGCTCACTGCAACCTCCACCTCCTGGGTTCAAGTGATTCTCCTGCCTCAGCCTTTTGAGTAGGTGGGACTACAGGCGCACACCACCACGCCTGGCTAATTTGTATATTTTTAGTAGAGACAGGGTTTCACCATGTTGGTCAGCCTGGTCTCAAACTCCTGACCTCAGGTGATCCGCTGGCCTCGGCCTCCCACAGTGCTGGGATTACAGGCATGAGCCACCACGCCCAGCCTACTTTTCTATAGTTCATAACCTGTGCATCACTGATAACCTATGTGAAGATTTCAGGACTTCTTTCTTCCTCAGTCTTTCTGGAACTATATGATCCTACTCCAGGCATAGCCATGTCTGTCTCCCTCAGTGCCTCTTCTCCATTCTTACCCCCAATTCAGTACTTCATCCCTGATCAGCAGTACAGGTTCAGCATAAAACCAAGGAAGAAGGCCGAACAGGAATCAGCAACATAATTTGAGTTGGAAATTTTTCTGAAAATAGACTACAGTATGCAGATTTACACAGATTGCTGCATTTATTAGACTGTGAGATGCATCATTTTGAAAAGGGAAAAATTAGGAGAAAAATGTTTAAAACTCAAGAACATTCTGTAAACAACTCATTTCCTCCCACTCCCTGAAATGAAGATAGCAAAAACTGGAAGAAAGAGGAAAAAAATTGTTTTTGTCTCTTGGAAGTCATGGGAGTGATTGTTAAGTTAGTCCTTATCAGCCATAAATCCAGTGTAAATACAGAAATACAGACAGGAATAAAGTAGCAAACAGCCGTGAGGTCTAGGTCTCAGGCTTTCAAAGAAGGAATTGACATTGTCCTTCCAGTCCCCTATTTCATAGCAGGCTTTATTATTACCCTGCAAAGGAGACTTAGTTTTTCTGACTTGTTTCTCATCTCTATGTTTCTTTGAAACCACCATCTCATGAAATGTATAACACTGAATTGTGGGGTTTTTTTTTTTTTTTTTTGAGACGGAGTCTCACTGTGTCGCCCAGGCTGGAGTGCAGTGGCGCAATCTCGGCTCACTGCAAGCTCTGTCTCCCAGGTTCATGCCATTCTCCTGCCTCAACCTCCCGAGTAGCAGGGACTACAGGTACCTGCCACCACACCTGGCTAATTTTTTGTATTTTTAGTAGAGACAGGGTTTCACCGTGTTAGCCAGGATGGTCTCAATCTCCTGACCTCATGATCTGCCCGCCTCAGCCTCCCAAAGTCCTGGGATTATAGGCGTGAGCCATCGCACCTGGCCAAGGGTTTTTCATTTGTTTTTAAAGAGATAACATATATAATAAAGTGCACTCATTTTAATTGGGCAGCTTGATAAATTTTTGCATATGCTTACATTCTTAACACAGAGTTTTTATCTTTTCAGCTCTCTGGCCTGACAACCAATGTTGTGGACATTATTTTGGCTCATCACTTTGGGCAGGTAAGTACCTGTTCCACCCAGAAGAGCTGTGTTTATTGGCTTGCATGCAAATTCTTATTTTACCTTAGGAAAGAAGGGCTGCCTTAGAATTTACCTGATCCTAGCAAGTAACAGTTCCAATGTAGTCTGAAAGGCATGTGGCCCTGCAAAGGTGAATCTTTAACTCATTGCCACATAGCTGTTGACATGTGGAGCTATGAGAGAAGACAGCATCTCCTGCTACCTGTTCCTGTAAGTAGAATGCCATCTGTTAATGTTTGACATCACGTGCCTCCCCAAACATCTTTAGAGCCATTAGGAGGTCTGGGAAAGGCTTCACAGAAATAGAAATTTCAGGGGGAAAAACCTTGAAATAATAGTGCTAAAAGAAGCTTAGAGATTATCTTGTTCAAGCCCCATGTTTTTCAACTGGTGAGGAAACAAGTCTTCACAGAAAGTGGCAGTTATCGTGTTCATAATTGCTGGGTAGGGGAGGGAGCTTAATTGGTAGGTGAGGGGGAACCTGGTCTTCTTCAAAGGGAAAAGTGAGTTGGGTGACTGACAAAGGAGTGATGGAGTAAATGAGCAGTGAGGTCAGAAAGCTGTGAGGTGTCTAGAATGGGGAGACGAGAGTGGGTGCTCAATTGTTTTCTGCTTAATTTTAAATGTTATCTGAAGGAAAATGGCAGATGGGAAGAAAACTAGCATTTATCGAGTACTGATTATTTATAATACTTTAGATGTGCAAACCAAGTTGTTTTTTACATGGTTCTATTAGTCTGATTTTAAGATAGGGAAACCAAAGACCAGAGAGGCAACATAACTTGCCACCACTATCCAGATTGTAAGTGTGGAGCTGACATTTGAATCCAGGTCAGGCCAAGTCCAAAATCCACAGTCTTTTATTTCATCATATTTTTATCAAAGTTACAAATTCACATATATTTTAGAGTAGAGAAGTTCTATAGGGCTTATTACAAAGAATCTGTCACCTACCCCATATTCTGCTTTTTAGTGGCAACCACTTTAATTCTTCCAGCTGACTCCTTTGAGTTTTGCCTCCATCTTGCCCTCTCTTTAATTGAGGTAATACTTACAGTGTAATGCACACATCCTAAGTGCACCTCAGTGACCATTTACTGATGTATATAGTTTCATGTAACTACCACCCAGAACACAAAACATTTTCATCACCCCACAAAGGTTTCCTCATTATCCTTTCCCACTCAATAATTCCCCACCCCAAACAAGATTTTCACTATTCTGTTACCTCCATAGATTAATTTTGACTGTTCTGAAACTTCATATAAATGGAATGACAGAGTGTGTACTTCTCTGAGTCTGGCTTCTTTTGCTTAACATACTGTCTTGAGATTCATCCATGTCATTCCATGTGTCAGTAGTTCATTCTTTTTTATTACTGTGTAGCAGCAGTTCATTGTATTAATATACTACAAATTAGGGGTCAGGCGCAGTGGCTCTACATCTGTAATCCCAGCACTTTGGGAGGCTGAGGTGAGCAGACCACTTGAGGTCAGGTGTTTGAGACCAGCATGGCCAACATGGTGAAACTCTGTCTCTACTAAAAATACAAAAATTAGCGGGATGTGGTGGTGTATGCCTGTAGTCCCTGCTACCTGGGAGGCTGAGGCAGGTCCGCCATAGTGGGACCCTGTCTTTATAAAAATTCAAAAATCGGCCGCGCGCCATGGCTCACGCCTGTAATCCCAGCACTTTAGGAGGCCAAGGCAGGTGGATCACCTAAGGTTGGGAGTTCGAGTCCAGCCTGACCAACACGGAGAAACCCTGTCTCTACTAAAAATACAAAATTAGGCTGGGCACGGTGGCTCATGCCTGTAATCCCAGCACTTTGGGAGGCCGAGGCAGGTGGATCACGAGGTCAGGAGTTCAAGACCAGCCAGGCCAACATGGTGAAACCCTGTCTCTACTAAAAATACAAAAAAAATTAGCCACGTGTGGTGCACGCGCCTGTAGTACCAGCTACTTGGAAGGTTGAGGCAGGAGAATTGCTTGAACCCAGGAGGCAGAGGTTGCAGTGAGCTGAGATCGCACCATTGCACCCCAGCTCTGGGCGACAGAGCAAGACTCCATCCCAGAAAAAAAAAAAAAATACAAAATTAGCCGGGTGTGGTGGCACGTGCCTGTAATCCCAGCTACTCGGGAGGCTGAGGCAAGAGAATTTCTTGAACCCAGGAGGTGAAGGTTGCGTTGAGCCGAGATCGCGCCATTGCACTCCAGCATGGGCAACAAGAGCGAAACTCTGTCTCAAAAAAAAAAAAAAATTCAAAAATCAGACGGGCTTAGTAGCCATGCCTGTGTTCCCAGCTACTTGGGAGGCTGTGATGGGAGGATCACTTGAGCCCATAATTCGAGACCAGCCTGGGCAACATAGCAAAAAGAAATACTACTTCATATAAGCCTCTGAGGGGAAAGCTAAGGCCAGTATTTAATAATTTCTGAAAAGCAAGAACATCCTCACTATATATATAGTTACATATATATATATATTTCTCTCGCTATATATACAATTTATCTCTCTCTATATATAACTATGTATATATATAACTATGTATGTACATATATATAAAAAATATATGTTTAATTTAAAACATATGAGGTCATAGTGGATTGTCATAAGACTGAAGAGTTCATTTAAAATTTAAGCATCCAGGCTGGTCTGAAGGTAGGGAATTATCTGAATTGATTGTTCACAGTTAGTTACAGATTGAATTCCCTGTTCCACTCTTTCCCCTTTCTCACCACTGCTCTTGACCAGTCAAAAAGATAATAAAAATTAAAAATAAATTTTAAAACATGTAAGCAAGTTAATGCTTGTATTAATTTGAAATGGAAACAAACATGGTTTTTAAACATGAATAATGCTCAACTTCACCAATAAGAGAAAAAAATTAAAAATACGTTTGTACTAGCAAGGATGTGGGAAGATGGGTAGTGTAAATAAATGAGATAGCTCTATATATCCGGATAAGGAATGATCTCTACCATACTTTACAAGGGAAAGCAAGTGTAGAACAATATCTAGAGGACTATAATTTGTGTTTTTAAAAAGATGGGAGTCTGTTTATTTGTTTGTTTGTTGAGACAGGGTCTTGCTCTGTTGTCCTGGCTGGAGTGCAGTGGTGCCATCTTAGTTCGCTGCAGCCTCGACCTCCTGGGCTCAAGCCATCCTCCTCCTTCAGCCTCCTGAGTAGCTAGTACTACAGGCACGTACCACCACACTAAGCTAGTTTTAAATTTTTTTGTAGAGATGGGGGTCTCACTATGTTAACCCACGCTGGTCTCAAACTCCTGGCCTCAAGAGATCCTCCTGCCTCAGCCTCCTAAAGTGCTGGGATTACAGGCATGAGCCACCACACCTGGCCTGTCATTTGGTATTCACTTTTCTTATTATAATACCTTTAGAATGAGACTGGGACTCTCACAAAGTTTTCTAGTAGTGATTCGCGTACCCTTCAGTTTCAGGTAGACGCTTGTCAATTTCCAGCTGTATTCTGGGTTCATTTCATCCACATGGTTGTGAAAATGTGAAGAAATTTTTTCCATGTCTCTATTTCTCTAACAAGTCTTGGTGGTGAACTTTACACATTGCCCTGGATTAACGGACTTCTTAATTATCCCTGATATATTTCTTTCCTCCAATGCAATTTCTTTATGCTTAAAACTGCTTATTGATGTTGTGTGTATGCACACACGTATTTACATGTATGCTTATGTACTCAAGAATCTGGCAGCTAGCTCTGATGACATCTGAGAAGGCCAGCAACAGAGTGACCATTAAACAGTGGGTGGTGGAGAGGGAGACTTTTCACTGCATAGACCATTTTGTTTCTCTCGTATTTTATACCTTTAAAAGTATTGGTAATAAGATTAAAATAAATGAGCCAGGCACAGTTGAGTGTGCCTGTTGTCTCAGCTCCCCAGGAGGCTGAGGCAGGAGGATCTTGAGCCCAGGAGTTCCAAGCTGCAGTACATTATGATAGTGCCTGTGAACAGCCACTGCACTCCAGCCTGAGCAGCGTAGTGAGTCCCCATCTCTAAAATAAAATTTAAAAGATTAAAATAAATAATGAATTACTAAATCAATAAAGTGTCATAAACGCAATGGAATATATAATTATACAATGTGTAATATTAAATGGTGGTATATATAGATAGGTAATATGCTGATTATATCAGTGAAGCTATAGATTTATGGTTATTAAAGATTTATGGTTATTAAAAGAAATGTAGCCAGGTGCAGCAGATCACTTGAGGTCAAGAGTTCAAGACCAGCATGGCCAACATGGTGAGACCCCGTCTCTACTAAAAATACAAAAAAATTAGCTGAGCATGGTGGTGCATATCTCTAATCCCAGCTATTCAGGAGGCTGAGGCAGGAGAATTGCTTGAACCCGGGAGGTGGAGGTTGCAGTGAGCTGAGACTGCGCCATTGCTCAGCCTGGGTGACTGAACAAGACTCCATCTTATAAAAAAAGAAAAGAAATGTTACATTCCATTTGTTTTACACTTTATGGTTTATATGTTTATATAACTTTTCTTACTTAATCTTTAAAACAGCCTTGTCAGATAGCTGGTTATTGTCTTCATTTTACAATATCTCTGTTTTTGTGAAGAATGGCAGAACATTAAAAAAACATACAAAGAAATCAGGGTTCAGAGTGACGAGGTGACCTAAGTTCCACAGCTAGTACTTGAATCCATAATAGGTCTTTTGCTGCCCTCATCTGACACAGAATATAGCACTGAACCAGTCTGATGCAAATAATCAGTCATTCAGCCTACCAGTACATCAGTAGTCCCCAGGCTCTGCCCCAGTTCCCATCATGAGCCGCACGATTTGGCTTGTGGTAATGAAAATGCAAACCAAACAAGATGGACTTATTCTGGAGCTCAGAAGCTTACCCATGTCTTCTTTCAATTGTTCTAGGAAGAGTTACAGGCCAACCTGGACCTGATCCAAACCTACAGAATGCATATTGCCCAAGACATCAACCAAGACAACCTGCAGCTCTTCTTGAATTCCTACAATGGGTATAGTTTTTTCCTGTTTCTTCACTTAAATGTAAACAGGTTCTAAAAAGAGGAGGGTGGGAGAAGGAGAGAGGACTGTATCTAATCTTGGGACCAGCTTCTCCGAGGTGAAAATGTGAGCCCCTTCTGGCTTTCTAGAAACATGGACAAAGATTGAGGAAATGGATCAGCTGTAACTTACCCAAAATTATACAGCCAGTAAGGAGTAAAGCCAGATTTTGAACCTTGTCTCTTTAGCTCTTTCCTCTGTATAACAGAGCCTCCCTATTTTTAGTTGAAATCAGAAAGATTAAGCCCTGTGCTAAACTCAGTTACAAGGAAAACACCCCTCCCCCCTCCTCAAAGTGTAAGTCATTCTCTTAAGGAATTTATTCCTGTAAATTAAACACTTAGGGCTGGGCGTGGTGGCTCATGCCTATAATCCCAGCAGTTTGGGAGGCCGAGGTGGGCGGATCATGAGGTCAGGAGTTCAAGACCAGCCTGGCCAACATAGTGAAACCCCATCTCTACAAAAATACAAAAATTAGCCGGGTGTAGTGGCGGGCGCCTGTAATCTCAGCTACTTGGGAGGCTGAGGCAGGAGAATCGCTTGAACCCGGGAGGCGGAGGTTGCAGTGAGCTGAGATCGTGCCACTGCACTCCAGCCTGGGTGACAGACTGAGACTGTGTCTCAAAAAAATACATTAATTAAACACTTAGGACTTGAGAGTTTCAGTGGTGTTGCTGTTGGGTGTTGAGGCTGTCTCCTTGTAGCATCCCAAAGAGTCCTTCAGGGTTGAGCCAAGAGCTTCCTTCCTGCTCCATACCACCCAGGATGCCACTGAAATGGCGACTCAAGAACCAAGTCATAGGGCCTCTTCCCTTCTCAGGTGTGAAGGAAAGATAGTTTCGCATTCCTTGATAAATTTTGGTGTTTATGACCAGAAAATAACCTGAGTTGCTATGACTTTACCCAAAAAGGGCATTGCTTCTGCTTTGTTTTTCTAGACGCAGAGACCTGGAGATCGAAAGACCCATACTGGGCCAAAATGATAACAAATCAAAAACATTAAAGTAAGTTCCTCAGTTTCCTCAGCTGACTTGCCAAATATAGACTAATTTGGTGTTCATAGACTTTCATAGACTAATTTGGTGTTCAGTGGAATTTATGTGCCTATTTGCTGAGTGACACCTCTTACTTTGCCTACCTAGGTGTTCTACTTTACTGGTGGTAGGGGACAATTCGCCTGCAGTTGAGGCTGTGGTAAGTATGTCCTCATGCTGTGAAGATGAATGAGATCAAAATGTAATAAAATGTGTAGGCCAGGTGCAGTGGCTCACGCCTGTATTCCCAACACTTTGAGAGGCTGAGGCAGGAGGATCGCTTGAGCCCAGGAGTTTGAGACCAGCCTGGGCAACACAGTGGGACCCTAACTCTACAATATATATTTTTTTAATTAGCTGGCATGGTGACAGCCTGTAGTCCCAGCTACTCTGGAGGCTGAGGTAGGAGGATTGCTTGAGCTCAGGAGGTCAAGGCTGCAGTGAGCCATGATTGTGCCACTGCACTCCAGCCTAGGTGACAGAGTGAGACCGTGCCTCAAAAAAAAAGTATGTAACACACTGCTGACACACTAGAAACAGTCGGTAAATACTAGTTTTTGTTCTTTCTGATTGCACATATCAGGGTTTGCTCTTTGTCATACATTTTGGAAAATTAATTTATCCTTAGATTTCATTAGATGGGATCAGTTTTTTTCTTGATTGCTTTGTGTTGTGTAGTTCACTTTGTGGCAAGTAGTACAACTAAACACCATTTACTTATTGTCAGATTTCTGACAGCCTCAGCCTTTAATCTGGAATAGATTACCACCATAAATCCAGCAGGCTGGAAGGCCACCTCTGCCTCCTTCTGAAGGACATAGCACTTGGATAAAAATGATATATGCTCATTGTAGAAACTATGAAAAAAATTTAAAAATAGAAGGATGAGGGGAAAATCATGATCCCATTACCTAAAGACAGAGTATTATTTTTTGCCTTACGTAGACCTGATTATATTAAATATACAAGATTTGGGCACCTGACTTAACACTACTGATAGCATTTTTCCATTATATAATCAGTATGTCTGTAGGTTTACCACTATTTATTTAACTTTGTTCTCATATTAATTCTGATTTTGCATTATTAATAATGTTACTGTTGGCCAGGTATGGTGGCTCATGCCTATAGTCCCAGCACTTTGGGAGGCTGAGGTGGGTGGATCACCTGAGGTCAGGAGTTCAAGACCAGCCTGGCCAACATGGTGAAACCCCATCTCTACTAAAAATTAGCCGGGTGTAGTGGCATGCACCTGCATTCCCAGCTACTTGGGAGGCTGAGACAGGAGAATTGCTCAAACCTGGGAGGCAGAGACTGCAGTGAGCCAAGATTGCGCCACTGCACTCCAGCCTGGGCAAGACAGAGAAAGACTCTGTCTCAAAAAAATAAATAAAAATAAAAATAATGTTACTGTTGAACATCCTTAGGAAATCTTTGAATCTTTGATTATTTCCTTGGGATGGATTTCCAGAAGTGGAATTAATGTGTCCAAAATTATACATCTTTACAAAGTCTTTAATACATTTTGCCAGGTTCCTTTCCAGAAAGGATATACCAGTATATTGCCACCAGCACTGTATAAGCATGCCTGTTTCACTGCACACTGTCTAGCATTGAATCTTTTTTTTATTAGTAGTTAATTCGATTGGTTAAAAATAGTATCTCACTGTTTTAATTTGCATTTATTTGATTACAAATGAAGTTGATAGTTCTTCATATGTCTAATTATGTGTTTCCTACAGCATATATAACTTAACTAAATATCTCTGTGAAATTACTTGATTTCTTTGGCTGCCCTAAATAGAGCAAAACATTATGGAGTAAAGCTTTTTGGAAAGGAAGTCTAGCAAATAATCAGAGGTGTAGACATAGTTGAGAAGGTTTGTGGAGTGGGGAAATGTTTGTAGGGTGAGAATATGCAGATGTGAAAGGATAACATTCGCATCTCCCTGAACTGCCCTGTAAAACACTACGTGTCTGTTGTGAAATACATGGCATGACTTGCACATAGAGGCCAATAACCCTCAGTTCCCCTTCCTCAAAAAACATTCCCCAGAGGTAAAAAGGTTATAGTGGTGACCCCAATTTATCAAGAAGCAACTTTATAAAGGTCAGTGTTTTCTGGCTAAAAAGGTGGAGATACATGCTGCCAAACTGTCAAAAGCATTTTTAAATGAACATATATACTTAATACAGGAAAATATTTTTAGAAAATATTCCTAATCAGAATTTCCTTACAATGCTTAGTATTTCTGTTCATCTTGGATCTAGTCATTTGCCTTTTTTAAATTGTGTGGACTTAAAGCAACCTTTGCAGTTATTTTTCAAGACTGTAATAATTTGGCCATATAGATAAGGCCTCTCCCTCTTTCTGATTTCCACATCTTCAGTGTTTATGAGAATTCTGGAGCCCTGTCTATACCACAAGTAGATGCTCTTTCATACACAGTCAAACCTAGTTCCCCTGCCAGAGCATTTTATCCCACAAGTGTGTGGGGATTAAGAGGAATATCCACGCATGGAAGAGCAAGAAGAAACTCTACAAATTCTAGTCATTGTCAGTAACTGCAGTAACTATTCTTGCTTACTTATTCATTCAACATCATATTTTGAGCATCTCCTATTTACTCAGTGCTATGAAGAATATGAAAATGAGTAAGATTCAGGCAGCTGAGGAGAAAGTAGATGTCAAAAACCAGTGGTTGTGGCTCACGCTCGTAATCCCAGCACTTTGGGAGGCCGAGATTGGTGGATCACCTGAGGTCAGGAGTTCCAGCCTGGCCAACATGGCGAAACCCTGTCTCTACTAAAAATACAAAAACGAGCTGGGTGTGATGGCATGCACCTGTAATCCCAGCTACTTGGCGAGAGAATTGCTAGAACCCAGGAAGCGGAGGTTTCAGTGAGCTGAGATCGTGCCACTGCACCCCAGCCTGGGAGACAGAACAAGACTCCATCTCAAAAAAAAAAAAAAAGAAAAAGAAAAAACAGTGATTGTGGTTGTTCTACTAGGTATCAAGACTTCTTATAATGTTGTTGAAATTGCAAAGTAGTGAACCAAGGAAAGCATGATTTATTATGTTAAATCCAGATTTGAGAGTTCACTCTTCCAGAAAATATTTATAGTCTATCTACTATGTTCTAAGCACTGTGCCTAGCAGTTAGGGATCCAGTTTTTAAATTCTACCTTTTAGAGTTAATGCGCATTCTGTAGTGAACGGGTACATTTGTTTGTCACTGCCTGCATTGTCCTTTGTATAGAGCAAATCAAAACTCCGATTTGGTGATCCTGACTTTTATATTATCCCTGATTTTAGAAGAGTTTTGTATACCTGCCTACCCGCAATCCCCAGACTAAAAGTTCATCTGGATTACTGGGTCTTGCCTAGGTAATTTTAACCACTGCTTGCTGCCACTTGCAGTCTATCATGTAGGCCACTGCTCTCTTAAAAACAACTTAGATCCTGTCACTTCAGACACCTTCTGTGGCATCCTACCTTCCACAGTCAGCTCCAGCCTGTGCCCCAGCCTCACTTTCAGTCTACCTCACCTCACACTTGGCTCGGTAGCCATTCCGTTCCACCCCTGGGGCTTTGCTTATGCTTTCGCCTTGATTCTGGAAGTCCTCAAACACTCACCTTTTCCCTTTATCTATCTGTAGAAATCCCACTCCTTTCTGTGTTCACTCAGCTCAGTTGTGAAGTGTTTGCAGTGGTTTCATTTTGCTTTGTATTACATGTTTCACCCTGCTGGATCCAGATTCTAAGCACAGGTTTTGTATGTGTGTTCTTAGCAAACATATAAACGGAGAAATCCAGTTGATCAAAATAGCCCTAAAATAATATGGAACCAACAGATTGTCTCCCCAAAACATTTTCTTTGAGATCCCTGCCTTCATGAACACAAGGGTGCACGATATCAGACATGTGAATGCACAGGGCTGTGATTCTTAATTAAATGACTCCATGAGAGAAAAATGAGAAGAGTTCAACTTTGGACTGGATAGCCAAAGACCTTGAGATAGAAAAGAGTGAGGATATAAAGAATGGCAAACCCACTAAGGAAAGAGGTGAAAAGTGAGGTAAGGGAGGTGCCCAGGGCTTAGTCATTAGAACCAGTTGTACTCAGAAGCCATTAAAAGATCCCAGCAGGAGAGGACCCACGGTCCAGTCCATTTCTCAAAGAAGTAAGGTAACCTACTTTCATGTTATATAGCTAGTCAGTAGGAAGACTTAGATTCAGCTTGTAGTTTTTTAAAGACACGTAACAGATTCAGAAAATTAGATAAGTGAAATTTTTAGATCTGCTCAGAAATATCAAAGTATATCATATAAATATATCTCCCGGGCCGGGCGCGGTGGCTCACGCCTGTAATCCCAGCACTTTGGGAGGCCGAGGTGGGCGGATCACGAGGTCAGGAGATCGAGACCATCCTGGCTAACACGGTGAAACCCCGTCTCTACTAAAAATACACAAAATTAGCCGGGCGTGGTAGCGGGCGCCTGTAGTCCCAGCTACTCGGGAGGCTGAGGCAGGAGAATGGCGTGAACCCGGGAGGCGGAGCTTGCAGTGAGCCGAGATCGCGCCACTGCACTCCAGCCTGGGCGACAGAGCGAGACTCCGTCTCAAAAAAAAAATAAATAAATAAATAAATAAATAAATAAATATATCTCCCACTATGTATTTTGGTAATCTCTTTGGCTGGCTCAGCCTTCTCCAGACTGAGCTGTTGATCTTGCAAGATGATTCTCATACCGAGCTATTTCGTTTTTTTTCCTAGCAACTCATAAAATTATTTTCTTCTCTTTTTTTAAATTTTAGGTCGAATGCAATTCCCGCCTGAACCCTATAAATACAACTTTGCTAAAGGTAATGTGCCTTCTTCCCTCACTTCCAACCCTTATATGTGCTTCAGATTAATCATATTTTCTGGAATAATTGCTTAGAAAGGAGCAAAGCTTCCCTCTCTTTGGTTATCTCATTCTCTTCTTTTTCTTTGAGACAGAGTCCCGCTGTGTTGCCCTGGCTGGAGTGCAGTGGCGCCATCTCAGCTCACTGCAACCTCCACCTCTCGGGTTCAAGCAATTCTCCTGCGTCAGCCTCCTGAGTAGCTGGGACTACAGGCACGTGCCACCATGCCCGGCTAATTTTTCGTATTTTTAGTAGAGACGGGGTTTCACCGTGTTAGCCAGGGTGGTCTCGATCTCCTGTCCTCGTGATCCACCCACCTTGGCCTCCCAAAGTGCTGGGATTACAGGTGTGAGCCACCGCACCCAGCCTTCATTCTCTTTTTAAAATAATCCTTTTGGCCAGGTGCGGTGGCTCACACCTGTAATCTCAGCACTTTGGGAGGCTAAGGCAGTTGGATCACGAGGTCAGGAATTTGAGACCAGCCTAGCCAATATGGTGAAACCCCGTCTCTACTAAAAATACAAAAATTAACTGGGCATGGTGGCCCACGCCTGTAGTCCCAGCTACCTGGGAGGCTGAGGCAGGAGAATCACTTGAACCTGGGAGGCGGAGGTTGCAGTGAGCTGAGATTGCACCACTGCACTCTAGCCTGGGCGACAGAGCAAGACTCCATCTCAAAAATAAATAAACAAATAAATAAAATAAAGCTTTTTTCCTGAATATGTTCTCATTGTAAAACACTGCAAAAAAGAGGAAAGCATATGGAATAAAATAAATTTAAATTATTTGTAATCCTACCACCCAAACCTCTGGTAAAATACTGCTGTCTTTTTCCTATACATTTTTACATCATTAAAATTAGAGACGGGCTGGGCACGGTGGCTCACACCTATAATCCCAACACTTTGGGAGGCTGAGTTGGGCGGATCACTTGAGTCCAGGAGTTTGAGACCAGCCTGGGTGACAGAATGAGACCCTGTCAAAGAGTATTTACAACCCTGTATCTGTTTTCCTCAACTTTATGACATAGCCTTTCCCATGTAACTAAAAACTTTGGCTGGGTGCAGTGGCTCACACCTATAATCCCAGCACTTTGGAAGGCCGAGGTGGGAGGCCAGGAGTTCGAGAGCAGTCTGGGAAACATAGTGAGACTCTGTCTCTACAAAAACAATAAGAAAATTAGCTGGGCTTGGTGGTGCGCATCCGTAGCCCCAGCTACTCAGGAAGCTGAGGCGAGAGGATTCCTTGAGCCCAGGAATTCGAGGATTTGTGCTCCTGATGCTGCACTCCAACCTAGGTGACAGAGTGAAACCCTGTCTCTAAAAAAAAAAAAAAAAAAACTTCGTCAACATGATTTAATATTGTGAGAAGATAATGGATGTAAATTCTGTATATGCAAAATCCTGCTGTATTGGTAAGGAAGCTTTTAGTAACAATTCTTATGATGAGGGTGGATGCATTTTCTTTCTCTTAGGGCAAATACAGACCAACTCTTATGCTAAATATCTAGAGTTAGTATCAAGTGTCTCCCCTTTTGAGTATAACCGAGGCAAGAGTTTCTGCCTGTCATTGTTTCATCTTAGCTTTTCCTAGAGCCTCTACTAAAGTGTTGAGGTAGCTGACCTTCTAGTTTGAACTTGGGAACTTGGACTACTGTAGATTTCAATGCCGATCGTATGTTGCTTACTGCTACATTTTCAGTCTGAAAGACCTCTGCCATCTTCCTTTTCCCTTTGAAGTGTGTTTGAAAGGGAAGTGCTGTTACCACAAACGCCTGTAGTTCCTAGAAATCTAATGTGAAGTTAATGCTCTGAGGTGACCACATTCAAAATGTTCTGCCCTCCAGGCAATTGATGGGCTGGTCTAAAAATTTTGGGGAGGGGCTGGGCATGGTGGCTCACACCTGTAATCCCAGCACTTTGGGAAGCTGAGGCCAGGAGTTCAAGACCAGCCTGCCCAACATGATGAAACCTCATCTCTACTAAAAATACAAAAATTAGCCGGGCATGATGCTGGGCACCTGTAATCCCAGCTACTCCAGAGACTGAGGCAGGAGAATCGCTTGAACCTGGGAGGTGGAGGTTGCAGTGAGCCAAGATTGCACCATTGCACTCCAGCCTGGGCAACGAGAGTGAGACTTTATCTCAAAAAAAATTTTTTTTTAAGTTTATAGTTTCAAATTAGTTTCTCATTTCAGGTTTGAATCAATATACAAAAGCATAAAACTAAACCCTACAATAACCATAGACATAGTTATTTTTCGCAAAAATGCCCATCTACAACACCATAGAATAGAGTGGATAACTCCTATGGCAGATTGAACTGATTCTCAAACCATTTGATAGGTACCCATCTTGGAAATAGTTTCTCCCAGTATTCTCTCTGCATATGGGAACTGTTCTGTGTTCTAATCAGGTTTCAGCTCCTAAACTTCATGAAAATACAGTCTGTGCTGGTTTGGTTTTTTTGTATATTTGTTAAATGTTTGTTTATAATCTTATGCTTAGAATTTTCAGGGGCCTCTCCCTTGTTAATCTCAAACTTCTGCGTCTTCTGTGGCATTCTCCTCAGTAGTAGTCCCCCTTCATAATAAGTTTTAATGCCAGTGAATTGAAACCATGGGGTTCATGTTCCTTTTTAAAAAAAGCCAGTCAGCCTGAAGAATACCATCTGAGTCCAGAGTGTGTAACAGCTGGAAGAAAGAGAGCAGGCCTATGGCCAACATGCCCTAAAAACGCTTTTCTGTGGACAGTAGATTCAAATCACCTGAGATCTTATTAGAAATGTACGTTCCTTTTTTTTTTTTTTTCCTGGAGACGGACTCTGTCGCCCAGGTTGGAGTGCAGTGGCATGATCTTGGCTCACTGCAACCTCTGCCTCATGAGTTCAAGTGATTCTTCTGTGTCAGCCTCCAGAGTAGCTGGGACTACAGGTGTGTGCCACCACGCCCGGCTAATTTTTGTATTTTTAGTAGAGATGGAGTTTCACCATGCTGACCAGGCTGGTCTGGAACTCCTGACCTCAGGTGATCCCCCCGACCTCGGCCTCCCAAGGTGCTGGGATTACAGGTGTGAGCCACTGCGCGCGGCCAGAAATGCACAATCTCGAACCATACCCCAAACCTATCAAATCAGAATCTCTGGGATAGGAATCCAAGAATCTGAGTTTTAACAAGTCCTTCAGGTAATTCCAGGGCACACTAATGAAGCCATACCCTAGAAATCCTTGCACACGTGAGAATAACCAGCTGTAAATGTTTATGAAGTGAAAAGCAGCATTACCAAACCCAGCTATTAGAGGAAAGTGGCTGACTGAGCAAGCCGGCTGAATCAGTATCAGCTCCTGATGGCAGAGTGCCCTTACTCACGGAGGAAAGATAATGTAGAGTTGAAATGGGACTTGGAAAGCTTGATGCACAGAGAAGTTAGGGTCACACTGTTCGAGGGCTCTGAAAGGAACCTTCTTCAGGTGGTTTTCATGGTTGAGAGTAGTGGTTAACTTCACTATCACCTCAACAGAAAATTCCCACCATGGGCCTGAAAGTCAGGGCTTCAGTCTTATTGATAAATAAGTATGTAATAATTATTTCAGATTTTCATCCAAGGTTATAAATGTTTGTACGTAGGTGCATTGAGATGCAAACTTGCAGTTAAACATTAAAACCTAGAATTCAATCTTGTTCTGTTTGAAAGGACTTGGGGTGTTCAGAGCAATTCTCTTAAGGGTAAGTCCCAGCTGACTTGCATATTTTTCCTTTTCTAGATGGCGGACTGTGGGGGACTGCCCCAGGTAGTTCAGGTAAGGAGAATTTTTTTTAAACACCCATTTAATTCTGCTTCTCTGTCTATGCAAAAATTAATGCCCTCTTGTTTTATCCCCCCAGCCTGGGAAGCTCACCGAGGCCTTCAAGTACTTTTTGCAGGGAATGGGCTACAGTGAGTAGTACACAACTTTCTATCTAGCAACGATTTAGGAATATTGGGAGCCAGTTTCACATCTGGGAGCCCACAATTCTTGAGATATAACCTCTGTGGCAGCTAGCCTTAAGCAAAGTAGAAACTGAAATGTTTATGGAACATTCATTTGTCCGTATTTGTAAGCTAACACTCAGCACTTACTTTCATCAGGCAATATATATTCTTTTTTTTTTTTTTTTTTTTTTGAGACAGAGTCTCACTCTGTTGCCAGGCTGGAGTGCAGTGGTGTGATCTCAGCTCACTGCAACCTCCGCCTCCTGGGTTCAAGCGATTCTCCTGCCTCAGCCTCCCAAGTAGCTGGGACTACAGGCATGTGCCACCACACCCGAATAATTTTTGTATTTTTAGGAGAGACGGAGATTCACCATGTTGGCCAGGATGGTCTTGATCTCTTGACCTCATGATCTGCCTGCCTTGGCCTCCCAAAGTGCTGGGATTACATGCGTGAGCTACCGTGCCCAACCTATATATTCTTAATCTAAGAAGTCATTCTGTTATTAGTGCCAATTTATAGAAGAAGAAACTGAGGCTCAAAGAGACTAAGCACATTGCCAAGGGTAAAAATTCAGCTGCAGGGCCATGATTCAAACCCTGACAGTCTGACTCCAGAGCCCACATTTTGAACCCCTGCAGCTTAGGCTGTCCTAGGTGTGAATCTGAAATTATGATTTGCATTTAAACTCAGCTGGTTAATAACTCCTGACCTAGAGAAATGAAATGGAGACTCCAGGAGAAAAGGGCAGTATCCTTGGTAAAGTCTCCTCCACCCCAGGGGACGAACTTGGAGAGTGTTTTAGAGCAAGTCCAAGGGTGTGTCCATATCATATGCCATTGTCCTGGTCTCTTGTATTGTAAGACCTCTGAGCTTTTTCATGGTCACAGAATTATCTACACTTGCTCCTTTCTTGGAGTTTTTAGAAAAACTCTTTCACCCAGGTACAGAGCTCTTTACCCAGTAGGGTGATTTTTCTCCTGTCTTTGGTATTAGTGTGGATAATGGTCATTGGCGAGCTGTCTGGTCAGCTGCTCTGGGCAGCTGGGCCCTGGGTGCAGCCCTGTACCTGCCAGGCAGACCATGTATGTCTTGTCTCAAGTGGCTGTGTCATCCTTGCCTGTGAGCCGCTACCAACCGAGCCCACACCCACAGCCCTGTGGCTCACTGGGAGGAGCAGGAGGCCCTCTCCTAGTCCATTCTTATCCTTTTCCTATGAAATAGCTGATCTTCCAGCCCACTTCTGATCCAAAGCAAGATGACTGTTTATAGCAGAGGGGAAAACAATTGCCTTTGTCTAGTTGAGGAAAGTAACATTTGAGATGTTATTGAAGTATCTGTCAGCCTCACCTCCTCTCTGGGACCTTAAAATAAAATTTTATCCCTGGCTTAGAGTATTCTGTCAGTGTCTACCAGGCAGCTGAGGTTGCCACTTGGCACTCTGGGGTCACTAACCTGCCTTTTCCTGTGTCCATCCTGCTTCCAGTCCCGTATGTGCAGCTCAGTCACCTGAGCACCGAGTCAGGTACCTTCCTCTGTGCTGGCCCTGCCCCGCCTTCCAGTCTCTCCTGGCTGCACTGGCTGCCTGCAGCATGTCCGCGGTCTTCCTATGCAGTGAGAGCCCGATAGAACGTGGCTCAGTACGCCCCAAGAGATTTAGCCTACAGGTCCAGCCCTGGTCCCCCAGGAGGAGGAAAGGATCTGGTTGTAAGGGGCAGGCCTCCTCTTGTCATCCTAAATCCAGGGTCACAGCAGCAGCTGAAACTTGATAGGCAGGGCCCATCTTCCACCACCACCTACTGATCCTTGAATTAACCTCCAGACACAGGAATCCAAGGGCAGCCTTGGCTCTAAATAGGAGGGTCAGAGCCTGTGCCCAGAGAACTCTGCAGATGATAGCACCTTTTGACCCCAGCATTGAAATGACAGCTAGGGGAGTGGCTGCTGCCCAGGACGATAGGCAGGGAGGCTATGCCAGGTAAGGCCCAGTCCCAGCCAAGCTGGAAGGACCTTAGAGTCAAGCAGTGGCAGAACAGGAGTCTGAGTTAAACACCTGCTTCTCTGTCCCTGGCAACCTGTACCTCATCCCTGTGTTGAGGTCAGCTCCAAGCCAATCTGCCCTCCCCTTCACCTGCACCATCCTACAAATCTCCTCCCTGGTAGCAAGGTAGCCTGTGGACACGGATGGTAGTCTCGTTGTATCGGGCTTGCACTGTGTTTGTGAAACACCTTCATACTTGTGTGTGTGTCTTTCTTTTCTTTTGGTTTAGTCTTGCATGCACTGTAGGTTTTGGTTACCTGTTTGGGTTCCCAAAGCCTCCATTCTGTCACTGTCTGAATGGTGTGGGCATAGTTAAGAGGCTATACTCTGGATTTAGGGTTTCCCCTTGTTCTGCGGTGACTACAATCAGCTGAGATTCCAACCAGATCTAAAGGATTAAAGTGGCCTCACATATCGCCACTCACCTAGAGCAAATGATACAAAATGGGGATGGCTATATCTTGTCCTGGGTGTCATGGTAAATGAGTCGGAAAAGCTAAACATAAAGACTTTGATGAGACTCCTAGGTTAGCTGGGCTTAACCGGGGCTTCATCTTCTAGTCCCCTTGGTTCTCTGTTACAGTACCATCTGCCAGCATGACTCGGCTCGCCCGATCACGAACCCACTCAACCTCGAGTAGCCTCGGCTCTGGAGAAAGTCCCTTCAGCCGGTCTGTCACCAGCAATCAGTCAGATGGAACTCAAGAATCCTGTGAGTCCCCTGATGTCCTGGACAGACACCAGACCATGGAGGTGTCCTGCTAAGCAGATGCTCCTCCCCTGGACCATTGCAAGTCCATCCTTCAAATGACCACTCCATAATATAACATTTCATCCAGTAAACTGGCCTCTACTATCTTTAACTCATGCATGGCCACTGAACCTCTCTCTAGTAGCCTGGATTTATCATTCTCTCTGCCTGCCCACCCCCTTTTTTGTATAGCCCAAGAACCACTTCCATGCCATACTGTAACATTCCAACATCTTTAGCTGATCAGATCTCTCCATATCCTCTCTTGCCAGCTTTTTCCCGTGCTCCCCCAACTATGTATCAGATAAGATTCTTTGATCCCGACTCTGTGTGTGCGAGCACGCGTGTCTGTGTTTGTGTGTGCATAGTTCTGTGGTTTTAGACACGCTTTCTTGTAGTGCTTCTGCAAAAAACAAAAAAGGGACTTATTTTGCATTCTCAATGGTGTTTTTAAGGGAATTAGGCAGAACAGATTTCTAGGTTGGGTAGGCCACTGCATTCTCTTTTGTTTGCAAATTGGTCAACAAAATTTGCAAAGTGATTTCAGGAGAGAGCAGCTTTGAGGAATGTGGAAAATCATAATTGCCGTCTGGACCATTGATTGATTGTGACCAGTAGCAGAAGGGTGCCTGTTACATAGAGAGGCTCCTTCTGTCCAAATGAATTTCTGTATACTCTTCTATAAATAAAAGGGAGGAATATATTCTGCTGGAAGCCCATGAACCATCGCTGAGGTTCTGATACAACATAGAGTTTTTTCCAAGGAGTGAATGTGGTTTAATTACTGGACTCTCTTAGCACAGGAAGGTGGAAACAAAATGCCAGGCCTCTGCTCTGAAGAGCAAAACTGCTGTCGCTGCAGTATCTGATACCAGACATCCACATATCCACAAGAAGTGCCTCTTAGGTCTGTGACAGAGAGTGTGTCTCCATTCCTCAGTTCCCAGAAAGGGGAGAGGTTTGGCCTAAAAAGCATGTAGATGGGGGAGAAATGGGTGGGGGGAGAGGAACAGCCATTAACACAGTATCATGTTTAACAAGTATAGCCTTGATTTCAGTAGATGTAATGGAAGCCAAATTAAATTGATACAGAACCCATTTCTCAGAGTCTTTTTTTTTTTTTGAGACAGAGTCTCGCTGTTACCCAGGCTGGAGTGCAATGGCGCAAACTTGGCTCACTGCAACCTCTGCCCCCTGGGTTCAAGCGATTCTCCTGCCTCAGCCTCCCGAGTAGCTGAGACTACAGGCACCTGCCACCATACCCAGCTAAGTTATGTATTTTTAGTAGAGATGGAGTTTCACCATGTTGGCCAGGCTGGTCTCAAACTCCTGACCTCAGGTGATCCACCTGCCTCAGCCTCCCAAAGTGCTGGGATTACAGGCATGAGTCATTGCTCCCAGCCATTAGAAAGATTGTTAATCCTATGAACTCCCTTTTGTAGGAGAGAAAGGGCCAATCTGTAGGGGTAGCCCTGTCCAGGTAAAGTTGTTTTCAGCCTCATGTCTACTGTTAGGTGAGGGAGTCACAGCCAGACAGAGAGTATTGCTGGAGGGTGAGAGAATTGTGGAGACCAACTACCACATAGCAAGAGCCCAGCTCTTGGGAGCATTGAGATGTAAGCTCAGGGTTACACAGTTCCAAATCTTGGGAAGGGGCTTTTCAGACAGACTGTTTGCTTTCTGCTGAGATAAGGAATGCATCACTCTGCCAGAGTATGACTTTTTACAGATTATTAAATAAAGCTGCATATGTCTCATTGTTACCTGATTGCTGGTGTTATTTCTTTCAAGCCATTCACTGGGGTTCAGGGCAGGACCGAGTTGCTGTATGCTGGTTCTGTGTTGCCATTTTCACATGTGATTGCTTATCCACCAAGCGACACTGTCCATTTATAGGAGGAAATGAAGACTGATGATAAATCATTTGCCCAAGGTCATGCAGCCAATAAGTCCAGCCAGGATCAAATCCCAGGGAATTATGCAGAATTCTATCTGATGTGTCTGTATTTCCCTCAAGCCAAAAATCGTGAGAAGCCTGACAGTGTTGTTTGTGATGGAGGAGGAGAAGCTGAGGTCTTGAGAAGGTGGTCCACGTCACAGCTCCACCACCTGTGTGGGATTGCTGGGTTCCACCTCTCATTTTAATAATCTGCAACCACTTGTCTTCTAAGAGACCAGCTTGTGTTTCTCCAGAAATGGCTATATTTGTACCCATCAAGAATAATTTCAGACCGAGTGCAGTGGCTCACGCCTGTAATCCCAACACTCTGGGAGGCCAAGGTGGGCGGATCACCTGAGGTCAGGAGTTAAAGACCAGCCTGGCCAACATGGTGAAACCCTGTTTCTACTAAAAATACAAAAATTAGCCAGGCATGGTGGTATGTGCCTGTAATCCCAGCTACTTGGAAGGCTGAGGCAGGAGAATCACTTGAACCCGGGAGGTGGAGTTTGCAGTGAGCCAAGATCACACCACTGCACTCTAGCCTGGGCTACAGAGCGAGACTGTCTCAAAAAAAAAAAAAAAAAAAAAAGCCAGGCATGGTGGCTCACGCCTGTAATCCCAGCACTTTGGGAGGCCAAGGCGGGCGGATCACTGGAGGTCAGGAGTTCGAGACCAGCCTGACCAATGTGATAAAACCCTGTCTCTACTAAAAATACAAAAAAAAAAAAAAAAATTAGTCGAGCGTGGTGGCATGCACCTGTAATCCCGCTACTCGGGAGGCTGAGACAGGAGAATCGCTTGAACCCAGGAGGTGGAGATTGCAGTGAGCCAAGATTGCACCATTGCATTCCAGCCTGGGTAACAAGAGTAAAACTCCGTCTCCAGAAAAAAAAAAAAAAAAAAAAAAAAAGAATAATTTCAGAAGACCACCATCTCAGATGAGTTTTCAGTAACCCGGGGCAAGTGCCAGCAAAAGTGCATGTGGATTGCTACATCTGTGACAGGCACTCGTAAAAAATGACATGAACCACCGGGCGCGGTGGCTCACGCCAGTAATCCCAGCACTTTGGGAGGCTGAGGTGGGCAGATCACGAGGTCGGGAGATCGAGACCATCCTGGCTAACACAGTGAAACCCCATCTCTACTAAAAATACAAAAAATTCGTCGGGCGTGGTGGTGGGCACCTGTAGTCCTAGCTACTCAGGAGGCTGAGGCAGGAGAATGGCGTGAACCCGGGAGGCGGAGCTAGCAGAGAGCGGAGATAGCGCTACTGCACTCCAGCCTGTGCGACAGAGAAAGACTCTTGTCTCAAAAAAAAAAAAAAAAAAGACATGCCCATTCTGGCAGAGGAGTTGAAACAAATGCATATGAACAGATAAAGATTACCAGGCTGAAGCCTTACAATGCAGGCCAATGCTCCACAGAATGCTGACATGGGAAGGAACTGATCTGATGGCCTCAGTTGCCTTTTTTTTTGTTTTTTGTTTGGTTATGTTTTGTTCTGAGATGGAGTCTCGCTCTGTCGCCCAGGCTGGAGTGCAGTGGCATGATATCCACTCACTGCAACCTCCTCCTCCTAGGTTCAAGCAATTCTCCTGTCTCAGCCTTCTGAGTAGCTGGGACTACAAGCATGTGCCACCACGCCCAGCTAATTTTTAGTAGAGATGGGGTTTCGCCATGTTGACCAGGCTGGTCTGGAACTCCTGACTTCAAGTGATCTGCCCGCCTCAGCCTCCCAAAGTGCTGGAATTACAGGCATGAGCCCCTGCGCTGGGCCCTTTTTTTTTTTTTTTTTTTTTTTTTTTTTGAAACAGTGTCTCACTTTGTCACCCAAGCTGGATGGCAGTGGTGTAATCATAGCTCACTGCAGCCTCAAACTTCTGGGCTCAAGCCATCCTCCCACTTCAGCCTCTTGAGGAGCAGGGACTACAGGCATGCACCACCATGCCTGGCTAATTTTTTATTTTTTGTAGAGACAGCATATCACGTTGTTGCCTAGGCTAGACTTGAACTCCTGACCTCAAGTGATCTTGCCTCAGCCTCCCAAAATGCTAGGGTTACAGGTGTGGGAATCAGCCCTTTATTGAGCATCTATATATAGGCCAGGCCCTTAATGCCTTCCTATAAATTTCCTTCTATTGATCCAGTGAGATACATGCTATTCCCATTTTATAGATGCAGAAACAGGTCCAGAGATAACTAGCTTGTAAATGGTCACAAAACTAGTAAGTGGCTATATGGGAAACAGTTTCCTCCACTACACTCAACACTTCCAACACTGCTGTGACCAAATGTGTGAGCTTTTTTCCCATATACCAACCAGTTCTCCAACACCCCAGACACTGAGTAGGTGTCCTAAATTACCACACCAGCTTCCTGGAGTTAGTACAGACCCTACAGGTTAAGGGTTCAGGCCCACAAGACCGCCCCCTGCTTTAGATGCCAGGTGCAAGCAGTGGATCCCCAGGTTATTCATACTTCTGTCCAACCTGGCTACAAACTAGACCCCCTCCCTCAGGTTTGATAGTTCGCTAAGATGGCTCACGGAACTCAGGGAAACACTGAATTTACCGGTTTATTATTCAAAAGGATATGAGGCTGGGTGCAGTGGCTCACACCTGTAATCCCAGCAGTTTGGGAGGCAGGAGGACTGCTTGAGCCCAGGAGTTCAAGACCAGCCTGGGCAATATAGTGAGACCCTGTCTGTATTCTAGAAACAGAAAAAAATAAAATAAAAAGGATACGATAGGCTGGGCACGGTGGCTCACGCCTGTAATCCCAGAACTTTGGGAGGCCGAGGTGGGTGGATCACGAGGTCAGGAGATTGAGACCATCCTGGCTAACACGGTGAAACCCCGTCTCTACTAAAAATACAAAAAGTTAGCTGGGTGTGGTGGTGGGTGCCTGTAGTCCCAGCTACTCAGGAGGCTGAGACAGGAGAATGGTATGAACCCGGGAGGCGGAGCTTGCAGTGAGCCGAGATTGCGCCACTGCACTCCAGCCTGGGTGACAGAGCAAGACTCTGTCTCAAAAAAAAAAAAAAAGGATACGATAAAGGATACAGGTAAATGGCCAGATAAAGAAGTATGTAGGAGGCTGGACACAGTGGCTCAAGCCTGTAATCCCAGCACTTTGGGAAGCCAAGGCGGGTGGATCACCTGAGGTCAGGAGTTCGAGACCAGCCTGGCTAACATGATGAAACCCCGTCTCTACTAAAAATACAAAAATTAGCTGGGCGTGGTGGTGCACACCTGTAATCCCAGCTACTCAGGAGGCTGGGGCAAGAGGATTGCTTGAACCCGGGAGGCAGAGGATGCGGTGAGCCTAAATTGTGCCACTCCACTCCAGTCTGGACAACAGAGCAAGAATCTGTCTAAAAATAATAATAATAATACATAGAGCAAGGTCTGGAGGGGTCCCAGGGAGTTGGGGTGTGCCACCCTTCTGGTGTGTTGGATGTGTTCACCAACCTGGAAACTCTCTGAACCTCGTACTTTAGGGATTTTTATGGAAGCTTCATCACATAAGCATTATCAATTATTAACTCAATCTCGAGCTCCTCTCCCCACTCCAGAGGATGAGGTGGGACTGAAAGCCCCAAGCTCATAATGATGGCTTTGTCTTTCTAGTGACCAGTCCCCATCCAGGAGCCCACCAAGTGTTGCCTCATTAGAACAGAAAACACTTCTGTCACCGAGGAAATTAGAAGGGTTTTAGCAGCTCTGGCCAGGAGCCAGGGAGGAACACCAGTGCATATTTCTTAGTGGATAGACCTAGGATTTTAAATTTTGTAATTCTTAGGTGCCTCCCTAAGTAGAAAAGGAGAGTTATGCCGTGGGATTCTTTTAAGAAGAGACCAGAGATTCCCTACTTCCTGCCCCATTCATGAACTGCACCTTGAGGCTTGTTTTGAAGATGTGCGTATCATAAGAAGACGGGCATTACAGTTGTATGGCAGCAGGAGTGGGAAGGTGGGCTCAAGCTCAAGTCCCTCCCTGCCAAGGCCCACATCCCTGAGTGGCTGTCACCCATTCTAACGTCCTGATTAGAACTCTCTTGCAGAAGTGTGCCTCCACTCTGGCTCCTTCAGCTCTGTGTGCCAAGTGCCTACAAGGATAAAAATCAAACCAGCCTTCCCTAGGATCAAAGGAGAACCTGAGCAGGAGTGCTGTAGCTGGCAAGGCCCCAGAAAGGGCTGCATGGGCTGAGCTGGAGTCAGGAATCATTTCAGTGCAGTGGGCCCTTTGTCTCCAAGAGTACTAATCCCCCTAATGGGGAAGCAGCGAGAGGGTGTGGTTAAATCTTAATGAAGAGTGGGACTGAAGGTAACACACTGATCAAAGACAATTCAGCCAGAGTCAGATTCTTTATCCTAGACCAGTGATTCTCAAGCTTGGGCATGGACTGTGGCTCATGCTTGTAATCCCAACACTTAGGGAGGTGGAAGTGGGAGGAACAATTGAGGCCAGGAGTTTGAGATTAGATGGAGCAGCACAGTGAAACCTCATCTGTACAAAAAAAATTTAAAATTAGCCAGGAGTGCTGGTGCACACCTGTAGTCCTAGCTACTCAAGGCTGAGAAGGGAGGATTACTTGAGCCTGGGTCAAGGCTGCACTAAGCTATGATTGTGCCACTGCACTCTATCCTGGGTGACAAAGCAAGACCCTGTAAAAAAAAAAAAAAAAAAAAAAAAAAAAAAATCAAGCCTGGGCATGCATCGGAATCACCTGGAGGCATGAAAACAGATTGCTGGGCCTACCTCCAGAGTATGATTCCATAGATCTGGGATGCGGCCTGAGAATTTGCATGTCTAACAAATTCCCGCTGAGGCTGCTGGTCTAGGGACCATACTTGGAGACCACTGTCCAGATACTGCTGCTATTCAAAGTGTGGTCCCCAGACTGGCAACATGGGGGTCACCTGGGAGCGTATTAGAAATGCAAAATACTGAACTCTGCCCCAGACCTTCTGAATCAGAGCCTGCAGTGCAACAAGATCCCCAGGTGATTCCTATACACATTAAAGGCTGAGAAGGCAGTGCTTCCCACACTCGTCAGTCAAGGGAATCTCCTGCAGGGTTTAAAATTTAGATTCCTGGGCTCCCTATCTGGAGACTTGGATTTAGAAAGTTTGGGAGATCCCAGAAATTGCTACAATTAAGTCCCGCTGAGTGATTATTATGGTCAGGCCAGCATGGGAACTCCGGCTCATTTTCCTCAGTCCTGTGTTCCTTGGACAAGACTAAGCCACAAAGCCAGAGAAAAACCTTTTGCTCCACGATCATGACAAGGCAGCAGCTGCTCCCCTAGAAACAGGAACTTGGGGAAGGTGGCTCCTCGACGGTCTGTGATGCCGTCAGAGGAAACGGGTGGTTGTGAGAACCACAGAGTCTGCAGTCGGAGCTAGAGCTCCAAGGACCCCACGCCTGTGTCTCTGTGACAGAGCTCAAAGGGCCCTGGGCCTTCCCTCCCTGGCTCGGCTGTGCTTGGGAGGGTTCCCCAGTCCAGAATCCCTAAGGAGCATGGGGCAGCTGATCCATCCCTGGTGTACAAACTGCTGACTGCAGACAGATGCTGAGCTACCCAAACCAACACCTAGCCTCTCCCTGAAGATCCTCCCAGGCTGAGAGAGTTCTGGGTGTCCTAGGACCAAGGACACTGGCAGACTTCCAGAAGGGCCCCCAAAGCCCTAACCTGTCCAGCCAGAGCATGCGTCTCAGCAGAGCTGTCTTCCCAAGCCTTTGATGACAAACCAGTAAGTATGCTTGCTTTTGTTCTTGGATGGCCTGGAGACAGGTGAGGAAGAATGGTCTCCCCTGCCCCGACTGGGACTGGGCTTTATTTGCTGTTGGGAAAAAAACAAGCTCAAGGAGAAGGGGGAGTGGTTCTACTGAGGCTGTAAAGAGGGGTGGTTTCTGGGGGTCCCAGAAGAACCAAGACTCACCTGCTCCACCTTTGACCTCCTCTTGGAGCTTACGCTCTTCCGTGCAGCTTGTCTTCACGCCCGTCCTAGTCCCATCTCAGGTGCGCACTTGCTGTGTGACTTTGGGCCCCTCTCTGCGCTGCAGTCAGACTCCAAAGTCAGGAACGTGAGGGCTACCATCTCTCAAGACATTTCAGCTGTAGAGCCTACAGTGCACTCTCACTCTCAAAGGGGTGATATTTCTCAATTGGAAGAGAGGGAGAGGTCTCCCTTTAACTCAATCCAAATTCATTTTTTTTTTTGAGTTGGGGTCTCATTCTGTTACCCAGGCTGGAGTGCAGCGGCGTAATTATGACTAACTATAGACTTGAACCACTGGGCTCAAGTGATCCTCCTGCCTTAGCCTCCCAAGTAGCTGAGACTACAGGCATGTACCACCATGCCCAGCTAATTCGTTATATTTTTGTAGAGATGGCAGGCGGTGGTGGGGGTGGGGGTGGGGGTTCTCACTATGTTGCCCAGGCTGGTCTCGAACTCCTGGCCTCAAGCAATCCTCCTGTCTCAGCCTCCTAAATTGCTGGGATTACAGGCATGAGCCACTGTGCCTGGCCAAATTCATCACTCTTACCCCCACTGCTGAAAAATGATCTTCAGAAGCACAAAATACACATGATGGCAGGCCCAGTCCTGCACGAATGGGCTACATGAACAGAATCACATGGTTGTCCTCTCAGGGACTTGGTCACTGTATCTGAAATGGGACCCAAGTGAGATACTGAAAAAAAAAAAAAAAAAAAAAACACAATATTCTGGGCAGCGTGCTCATCTCGGCTGCCGTTGACTAACTTTTTCCTTTCACCCGATGCCTCATGTCCTCCGGAAAGTGCCTGGCACATAGTAAGTTTTTCAAAAATTTGTAGAGTTAATGATTTGATGCTGTCTTACAAAATGTGCGGCTAATACTCTGCCTCCTCCTAGGCTGGCCCATTGTATGGTCTTTATTTTGCCCCCAGGGGCTTATTGGCCTTGACCTGACCAAGTCCTTGACCAGGTGAAGGGAGCTGCAGAGACTTTGGGGAGGCTTTCAGCCTGAGTACAGCTCCCCTGTCTCCATCTGCCTTTGGGCCCAGCCCCCAGCTCCACCTGCGGCAGGAAGGAGTCTCTCAGTTTATTGCAGGTGGTAACTGTGGTCTTCCTGAAGGAGGGGAAAGGAAACTAAGCCTTACTGAGCACCCACTCTGTGCCAGACTCCTGCAACTCTCCCCACAGCCCCGTGGCGCCTGTAGTGCACCTTGTTCACAGATGAGACGGGGGAAGCTTGCATGCTTTGCCTGAGGCCACACAGCTCCAGCCAGGTTCAAGTGGGCACTCATGCTACCCAAGCCAGAGGTTCTCTCCCTGGGGTTTCCTGGTCTTGGGTTTGTAAAAATCCTCCCCAGGAGGATCGCTTAAGCCCAGGAGTTCAAGACCAGCCTGGGCAACACAGCAAGACCCCAATAATGTAAAACAAAAACAAAAAACCTCCTCAAGAACAGCAGCACCATTTCAGTGTACCCAGGCTGCAGGATCCTAAAAGGCTGAGCAGGAAGTGGCTGTCAGGACCCATTTCCATGCCATATGCCCATTCTGTGTTCAAGAGCTCCCTTCCAGATGAATGCCGAACTCCCCATACGGAGGGAGCAGCAAGCAGGTATTAGGTTTTTTGGGGCGGGAGGGGGGTACAGAGTCTCGCTCTGTCGCCCAGGCTGCAGTGCAGTGGCACAATCTCGGCTCACTGCAGCCCCTGCCTCCCAGGTTCAAGTGATTCTTTTGCCTCGGTCTCCCGAGTAGCTGGGATTACAGGTACCCACCACCACACCCGGCTCATTTTTGTATTTTTAGTAAAGACAGGGTTTCACCATGTTGGCCAGGCTGGTCTCAAACTCCTGACCTCATGTGATCTGCCCACCTCGGCCTCCCAAAGTGCTGGGATTACAGGCATGAGCCACCGCGCCCGGCCCAGGTATTGTTATTCCCATGTCAACAACATGAGACTGAAGAACAGAGAGGGCTGTTCCATGCTCTAAGGTAGGATCTTTACTCCCCAGACAGGACTGGTCCAGGACGCCACAGAAATCACTCCATGATATTGATGGACGCCCGTCCTCATCCAGGCAGTGTGGGGTTCAAAGGCAAGGAATGAGCCCACTCTGTCACCACCCCATTCAGTGATCTCCTCCAGAGTAAGGTGCATGGGTTCCCCTCCAGGGACCACCAGTCCTTGGCAGGTGCCTGACACAGAGCAGAAGCTCCATGAATATCAGCTGAACTGGGCCAATTGTGTAACTGTGCCTTGTCCCTACTGAAAAGAATGAAACCATCTGAAAAGAAAGACAAAGCTCCGCCTCCCACTCCCCAAACACTTTAAAATAGTGTTTGGAAAAATCAGCACTACCCTGGAAATCCGGGGATTTAAACTATTCTAACGATAAGACACCTACCTGTCTGAAGAGCTAACAGTCTCATTTAGTTAATGTGTGCTGAGTGCTTTCTGTGATGCCTCACTAAATGCTGAGTAATAGGCAAACAAAAGAAGTCTTTGTCCTCATGCAGTTACAGGATAGTGGCAGATTAAACAAGTAAACTCTCAAATGAATGATGAAAACTTCCCAAGGGAGGCTGGGTCCCATGGCTCACACCTGTAATCCCAGGATTTTGGGAAGCTGAGGTGGGAGGATTGGTGGAGCCCAGGAGTTCAAGAACAGCCTGGGCAACATGGCATGAGCCCGTAACTTAAGAAAAAAGGACCGGGTGCGGTGGCTCATGCCTGTAATCCCAGCACTTTGGCAGACCGAGGAGGGCGGATCGCCTGAGGTCGGGAGTTCAAGACCAGCCTGACCAATATGGGGAGACCCCATCTCTACTAAAAATACAAAATCGGCCAGGCGTGGTGGTGCATGCCTGTAATCCCAGCTACTCGGGAGGCTGAGGCAGGAGAATCGCTTGAACCCAGGAGGCGGAAGTTGCAGTGAACTGAGATCGTGCTATTGCACTCCAGCCTGGGCAACAAGAGTGAAACTCTCTGTATTAAAAAAACAAAACAAAACAAAATTTGCAAAGAGGCTGGATGTGGTGGCTAATGTCTGTAATCCCAGCTACTTGGGAGGCTGAGGTGGGAGGATCCCCTGAACCCAGGAGTTCAAGGGTGCAATGAGCTAGGACTACACCACTACACTCTAGCCTGGGTGACGGAGTGACACCTCCTGGGGAGGCTCCCAGGAGAGGCCGCTGATGAACTGACATTCAGGACGTGGTAAAGGAAACAGGGGGCTGGTCAGGGTTTTCATGTGCGTTATCTCTCGGACCTGTATGTTGAGTGTTGTTATCCCCATTTTTCAGATGAGGAAAAGGAGGCACAGAGAGGGGAAGTGGCTCAACAGTCAGTCCCCTAAAGCCTTGCAAGTCATCACTGCATCATACAACCCACGGTCCTTTTTTTTTTTTTTTTTTTTTTTTTTTTTTGAGAGGGAGTCTCCCTCTGTCACCCAGGCTGGAGTGCAGTGACTTGATCTTGGCTCATTGCAACCTCTGCCTCCCAGGTTCAAGCAATTCTCCTGTCTCAGCCTCCCACCTGAGTAGCTGGGACTACAGGTACACACCACCACGCCCAGCTAATCTTTGTATTTTTAGTGGAGATGAGGTTTCACCATATTGATCAGGCTGGTCTTGGTCTTGAACTCCTGACCTCAGGTCATCCACCTGCCTCAGCCTCCCAAAGTGCTGGGATTACAGGCATGAGCCACCACACCCAGCCCTCCTTGCAGACCTCTGATCCAAGCCACAGTTCCTGGTATGCCTGGAGGAAGCTCACTGTCCTGTCATTGTCCCCTGCCACCCAGTAGCCAAGTGTGATCCCGGGTCAGAGAAAGGGTTCTAAGTGAGCCATAGGAATTCAAAGGAGTGATCAACAAAGGCTAGGGGCTGGGAGGCTTCCTGGGGAAGGAAGAATGGGATCCAAACAGGACTGAAGGAGAGGAGAGGGCATGACTGCCCATCGGAGGGACCCAAGCAGAGGCCCAGAAAGAAAAAGTTGAGCCTGTTGTGGCATAAAAAAGATGAGATGTGGAGAAAACAGCGTCCAATGTGCAGGAAGCCTTCAGAGGCTGGCAGAGAGGCTGGAGCCTGGTCCCACAGGAGGGAGGTCATTCACATGCTCTGTGAGGAGGTAGCCAGGGCCGATCTGGGGAGGGAGAGGTATCTGAGATTGGGCCAGAAGCCTCGGCTCTGTCCCCATCACTGTGTCTCTTTCAGATTTCCCTCGATGATGTGCTTCTGAGTGCTCTGCTGAGGAACAATGGGAAGTCTGCCCAGCAGAAGAAAATCTCTGCCAAGCCCAAGCTTGAGTTCCTCTGTCCAAGGCCAGGGACCTGTGACCATGGAAGCAGGTAGGCCTCAGGGCCTGTGACAGCCAGGCTCTTCCCACACAGTACTAGACTTCACTGCCTCTGTGGGCCTTCCTGGCCAGCAGCTCCAACACAGTGTAAGCACCGCTGAGGGCCTGCTGCATACCAGGCCCTGCCTACTGAGCCATACAGCAGGGTCCCTGCTCCTATACAGCCTACCTTAGCAGTAAGAACAGTAAACAATGGCATAAATGAGAAAACAGGAGAAAGCAACAGGCACTAACCAGAATATTAAACCAGGAGGGCATGACAGTCCCCCAGGCATTTCCCAAGGCTTCCCTCCTTCTCAACCAGTTGTTTATCCAAACACCGAGCTGGCCAGCCCCACCTCCCCAGCCCCCAGAGCTGCACTGTCCATTGCAGTCGCCACCAGCCACACGTAACTGCTTAAATTTAACATTTTAGGCCAGGGTGGGGCACGGTGGCTCACGCCTGTAATCCCAGCACTTTGGGAGGCCAAGGCGGGCAGATAACCTGAGGTCAGGAGTTCAAGACCAGCCTGGCCAACATGGTGAAACCCCGTCTCTACTAAAAATACAAAAATTAGCCGGTCATGGTGGTGGGTGCCTGTAATCCCAGCTACTTAGGAGGCTGAGGCAAGAGAATCACTTGAACCCGGGAGGCAGAGGTTGCAGTGAGCCGAGATCATGCCACTATGCCACTGCACTCCAGCCTGGGCAACAGAGTGAAAATTCGTCTAACAAAAAAAAAAAAAAAAAAAGGTCTTTCATCACCCCAGCCACATTTTAAGTGCTCAATAGCACACGTAGTAAGTGACCACCTTGTTAGACAGCACACAATTATAGAACATTTCCATTGTTGCAGAAAGTTCTGCTATACTGTCCTAGTGGACCCGAGAGGTACTATGAAATTACCTGAAGTGAAATTAGGGCTGTCTTTTTATTTTTGTGGTATATATATATTTTTTAATACATGGTTTTGCTCTGTCTCCCAGGCTGGAGTGCAGTGAAGCTTACTGCAGCTTCAACCTCCCAGGCTCAAGCAATCCTCCTACCTCAGCCTCCCGAGTAGTTGGGACTACAGGCACATGCCACCATGCCTGGCTAAATTTTAAAATTTTTGTAGAGATGGAGTCTCCCTATGTTGCCCAGGCTGGTCTTGAACTCTTGGGGTCAAATGATCCTCCCGCCTTGGCCTCCCAAAGTGCTGAGATTTCAGGCATGAGCCACCATGCCTGGCCCTTGCCAGGGCTGTCTTAATGGTGGAAAAATAGCATATACAATGCATATGCTGAGTCTATAACCATGATTTTCTAATATAGTCTTGACTAAAACTCCCAGTTTCTTGGACAGTTGAACAATAAAAATATCCTAGCAATTCTAGTTTTTTTGTTCTTTTTTTTTTTGAGACGGAGTCTCACTCTGTCTCCAAGGCTGGAGTGCAGTGGGACAGTCTTGGCTGACTGCAAGCTCCGCCTGCTGCGTTCACGCCATTCTCCTGCCTCAGCCTCCCGAGTAGCTGGGACTACAGGTGCCCGCCACCACGCCTGGCTAATTTTTTTTTTTTTTGTATTTTTAGTAGAGACAGGGTTTCACTGTGTTAGCCAGGATGGTCTCAATCTCCTGACCTCGTGATCCACCCACCTCGGCCTCCCAAAGTGCTGGGATTACAGGCGTGAGCCACTGCACCCGGCCGCAATTCTAGTATTTTGATGTTGGAACTATGGCCCCAGGTCTGTTTCTTCTTCTCCCAAAACAGACCACAAATCCTTTCTCAAGTCACACCTTGATAGGGATTTCGATAATATATTAGGGTTCTCCAGAGAAACACAACCAATAGTTGTGTGTGTGTGTGTGTGTGTGTGTGTGTAGAGATTTTTTTTGAGGAGCTGGCTCACACAGTTGTGGAGGCTGTAAGTCTGAAATCTGCAGGGCAGACTGGAGACCCAGGGAAAAGCTGATGCTGCAGTCCTGAGTTGACCACAGTCTGGAGGCAGAATTCCCTCTTCCTCAAAGGACGTCAGTCTTGTTCTTTTAAGACCTTCAACTGATTGCACGAGGCCCACCCACATTATGGACGGTTATCTGCATTACTCGTTCTACTGATTTAAATTCAATCTCAGCTGACCGCAGTGGCTCACGCCTGTAATCCTAGCACTTTGGGAGGCCGAGGCGGGCAGATCACCTGAGGGTGGGAGTTTGAGACCAGCCTGACCAACATGGTGAAACCCCATCTCTACTAAAGATACAAAATTAGCCGAGCATGGTGGCGCACGCCTGTAATCTCAGCTACTTGGGAGGCTGAGGCAGGAGAATCACTTGAACCTGGGAGGTAGAGGTTGCAGTGAGCCGAGATCACACCACTGCACTCCAGCCTGGGCAACAAGAGCAAAACTCCGTCTCAAAAAAATAAATAAATTCAATCTCAATCACAGCAACATCTAGACTGGTATTTGACCAAATATCTGGGTTGTGTGGCCTAGCCACAATGACACATAAAATTAACCAGCACAGATAACAAGATCACACTACTTCATGGTGTATTTACTTGTTCCCCTGGACAGAGCCTAGGGACATGTGCCTTATATGGCTGTTGTGCAAGTTTTGCTACTGGGACTTTGGTTAAATCACCTAAATTGGCTAGGGGCGGTGGCTCATGCCTGTAACCCCAGCACTTTGGAAGGCTGAGGCAGGTGGATCACCTGAGGTCAGGAGTTTGAGATCAGCCTGACCAATATGGTAAAACCCTGTCTCTACTAAAAATACAAAAACTAGCCGGGCGTGGTGGCATGCACCTGTAGTCCCAGCTACTCTGGAGGCTGAGACAGGAGAACTGCTTGAACCTGGGAGGTGGAGGTTGCAGTGAGCCAAGATCGAGCCACTGCACTCCAGCCTGGGGGACAGAGCAAGACTCTGTCTCAAACAAAACAAAACAAAACAAAACAAAAACAATAAATTGCCTAAATTCCCCATCTCAAGTTTTTCATTTGTAACGTAGAAGTCTCCTCAACCATGTGATAATTAAAGATGTGAAAATCTTAGCACACTGTTTTACAGAGCTGACTAAAAAAAAAGCAAACTTCAGGCCAGGCGCATGCCTGTAATCCCAGCGCTTTAAGAGGCTGAGGAGGGCGGATCATGAGGTCAGGAGTTCAAGACCAACCTGACCAACATAGTGAAACCCCGTCTCTACTAAAAATACAAAAAATTAGCTGGGCGTGGTGGTGGGTGCCTGTAATCCCACCTACTCGGGAGGCTGAGGCAGGAGAATCACTTGAACCCAGGAGGAGGTGGAGGTTGCAGTGAGCCAAGATCATGCCATTGCAGTCCAGCCCGGGCGACAGTGTGAGACTCTGTCTCAAAAAAAAAAAAAAAAAAAAAAAGAGGCCGAGGCAGGCAGACCTGAGGTCAAGAGTTCGAGATCAACCTGGACAACATGGAGAAACCCTGTCTCTCCTAAAAGTACAAAAAAATTAGCCAGGCATAGTGGTATGTGCCTGTAATCCCAGCTACTCAGGAGGCTGAGGGAGGAGAATCGCTTGAACCCAGGAGGTCAAGATTGCAGTGAGCCAAGATCATGCCACTGCACTCCAGCCTGGGCAACAGAGCAGGACTGTCTCAAAAAAAAAAAAAAAAAAAAAAGCAAACTTCACAGAATATGAGCCTATGTTGAAGAAATAACATCAATGTGCCTGCAAATATGTAGCAAAGTTTACAACTGGACATTTCAAACAAGAGTACTGGGCTCAAAAGGATTGAAACCTTAGAGGTAGGCTGGGTGCAGTGGCTCACGCCTGTAATCCCAGCACTCTGGGAGGCCGAGGCGGGCAGATCACGAGGTCAGGAGTTCGAGACCAGCCTGACCAACGTGGTGAAATCTCATCTCTACTACAAAAAGTAGCCAGGCATGGTGGTGGGTGCCTGTAATCCCAGCTACTCAGGAGGCTGAGGCAGGAGAATCACTTGAATCTGAAAGGCAGAGGTTGCAGTGAGCCAAGATCGCACCACTGCACTCCAGCCTGGGCGACAGAGCGAGACTCCGTCTCCAAAAAAAAAAAAAAAAAAAAAAAAAATACACACACGCGCACCTTAGAGGTAGATCTTGACTAATAGAACAAGGGTCACCTCACTTCTATTTCAATTACAGAAAATGCTGACAAGCAAACACTGATGAGCCAAGACAATTCAGAGCAGATTTACTTACCCCAAAGAAGAATTATTGAGAATTGTGAGTGAATTCTGTCAAACAAGGTATTAATCTGTCACCACTACAGTAAAACAGATTAAAGCACATTTTCTTTTTTTGGGGGGGGTGGGGGACGGAATCTTGCTGTGTTGCCCATGCTGGAGTGCAATGGCGCCATCTTGGCTCACTGCAAGCTCCACCTCCTGGGTTCAAGCGATTCTCCTGTCTCAGCCTCCTAAGTAGCTGGGATTACAGGGACGTGCCACCACCAAGCCCAGCTAATTTTTGTATTTTTAGTAGAGACGGGGTTTCACCATGTTGGCCAGGCTGGTCTGGAACTCCCGACCTCAGGCGATCTGCCTGCCTTGGCCTTCCAAAGTGTTGGGATTACAGGCGTGAGCCACTGCGGCCACTCAGTCTTGCAACCATATATATATATATATATATATATATATATTTTTTTTTTTTTCTTTTTGAGATGGAGTTTAGCTCTTGTTGCCCAGGCTGGAGTGCAATGATGTGATCTCCGCTCACCGCAACCTCCGCCTCCCAGGTTCAAGTGATTCTCCTGCTTCAGCCTCCTGAGTAGCTGGGACTACAGGCGTGCACCACCACATAGGGCTAATTTTGTATTTTTTTTTTTTTTTTTTTTTGAGACGGAGTCTTGCTCTGTCGCCCAGGCTGGACTGCGGACTGCAGTGGCGCAATCTCGGCTCACTGCAAGCTCCGCTTCCCGGGTTCACGCCATTCTCCTGCCTCAGCCTCCCGAGTAGCTGGGACTACAGGCGCCCGCCACCGCGCCCGGCTAATTTTTTTTTTGTATTTTTAGTAGAGACGGGGTTTCACCTTGTTAGCCAGGATGGTCTCGATCTCCTGACCTCATGATCCACCCGCCTCGGCCTCCCAAAGTGCTGGGATTACAGGCGTGAGCCACCGCGCCCGGCCTCTTGCAACCACTTTAAATCTACCACATGCCAGGCCTTGTGACAGGACCTGGGGACACAGGAGTGGACAAGACTGGCACAGTCCATGACTTCAGGGACAGTTGAGCCCCAGGGACAGGTGCTAAACCCGTAACCAACTAGAACTTGGATTTTGGTGGCAGTATGTTTTAAGGGATTCTGACCAAGAGTGTGTGCAGAGGTGGTTGGTCAGGGAAGGCTTCCTGAAAGAAGGGACATTTCAGTTGGGAAATGAAGGATGAAGGTAAGCCAGCCAGGCAGAGTGAGGCCATTCAGGGGGACAGTGTAGTGTATGCAGCTGGGTGGCTGCCCCCGGGAGTGCAAGGCCAGGGCTTCCAGGAGGGGAAGGGGCCCTCCCAGGCCACATTTTCCCATTCTCATCAGAGAGCACCCATCACAAGGTGTGCATCATTTGTCCAAGCATCAGACATTTCTCTGCACTGTGGAATGGCCAGGCCTTATGCCTCAGAGACCTCAGAGGACAGACCCCTGGGGAGCTCTCCAGGCTGGGTTCACTGCAGGGTCTCCACACGTGTCTGGGAGGATGTGGGGAACTAGTCCATTTCCAGAATCAGCCTCGGTCTTCCCATGCCCACCCGGAGCACAGGCCCTTCAGCCCACACGGTGCCGCCACCCAACACCCCCATCCTTGTCTGCTCGTCTGCTTCCCCTGCCCCACTTCCTGGGGTCCCAGCTCCATCTGAAGGGCACACCAGAGTCCTCTAAGACCTTGCTTCCTACAGGGGCATCTAGGATGCAGAGGGACCCTTCTTGCTGACCCTGGCTGCTTCTCCTACTTAATGTGTTTATGTGCTAAGGAATCCTTACAGAAAAAGGACAAGGGGGAAGAAGGGAGGGATGCTAGGGTGCAGTGAGTGGCCTTCAGCAGCTGCTGAAACCTGGATTTTCAGGCTACAAGGCTCGGCGGTCATAGGGAGTCTGGTTGGCCTGAGCAGGCTGCCCTCTGGGGTGGCTGAGGGCGTGGGTGCTGTGCTGAGGGTGCCCTTGCCGCCTGATGCCCAGCCTTGAAATTGGGCCTTATGGTCACCACATTCTGAGCCTCATGGCCACCGTGTCCTGGGCAACATAGCAAGACCTCATCTCTACTAAAAAATTGTTTTAAATTAGCCGGGTGTAGTGGTGCACACCTGTAGTCCCAGCCACTCAGGAGGCTGAGGCTGGAGGATTTGAGCCCGGGAGGTCAAGGCTGCATTGAGCCTAATTTTTAGAGATAGGATCTTGCCCTGTCGCTCAGCCTACGTGCAGTGGTGATGGAGCAAGACCCTATCACTATTTTTTTTTTCTTTCTTTCTCTCTCTCTCTCTCTCTCTCTGGGCACTGTCAGGGCTCTGCAAAGTTCTGCTGGAAAAGCTTGATTCCAGGGTGGCCCTCTTAGGAAGTGGATGGGACTCCCTCAGGGTGCTTGTGGAGGGCTGATGCTGGGAGCCAGACCCAGGCCAGACTCCACTAGACCTCATGCGTGGAGCAGGGCTAGCTAAGTAGGTGACTATTTCTGTCCCTCCATCTAGAGAGAAGCAAGGCCACAGCCGTGGCCCTGGGCAGTTTCCCGGCAGGTGGCCCGGCCGAGCTGTCGCTGAGACTCGGGGAGCCATTGACCATCGTCTCTGAGTAAGTCCATGGGCACTGGATACCTGAATATGCACTAATAGAGCCAGGCATGGTGGTGTGTGCCTGTAGCGCTAGCTGTCTGGGAGGCTTAGGTGGGAGAATCGCTGGAGCTCGGGAGCTCAAGGCTGCAATGAGCTATGATCAAGCCAGTGCACTCCAGCTTGGGTGACAGCAAGACCCTGTCATCTCTAAAATAAATGAATGGGCCAGGCGTGGTAGCTCACACCTGTAATCCCAGCACTTTGGGAGGCTGAGGTGGGCAGATCACCTGAGGTCAGGAATTCGAGACCAGCCTGGCCAACACGGTGAAACCGTCTCTACTAAAAATACAAAAATTAGCCGGGCTTGGTGGCAGACGCCTGTAATCCCAGCTACTTGGGAGGCTGAGGCAGGAGAATCACTTGAACCTGGGAGGAGGAGGTTGCAGTGAGCTGAGATCACGCCATTGCACTCCAGCCTGGGCGACGAGCAAAACTCTGTCTCAAAAAAATAAAAGAAGGAAGGAATTAGAGATACTGTCCCGGGAGAAGGGGCCCTTCCCCCAGGTAGAAAAGCACAAGCCTTTGCTGAAGCGCTCACAGAAACCCTGTGGTGGAATTTCAGGCGGCTGGACACCCCCACAGGGAGAAGCAGTGGGTGGGCAGCGCCCTGTAGCAGGGAGCCTGGAATTGTGCATCTACCACCAGCCCCAGCCCTGACTCAGGAGGTACCTGGACAGGCTAGTGCAGGGAAGCCTGGGAAACAGGCAGGACAGGTGGCCACAGGATCCAGCCTGAGAGGGTCCTTGCAAGCCCTGAATGTGTGGTTGTCGGGGCCTTGGCTCATCTGAAAGAGGTGCCCCCACTCCTTTCTCTCTCCAGGGATGGAGACTGGTGGACGGTGCTGTCTGAAGTCTCAGGCAGAGAGTATAACATCCCCAGCGTCCACGTGGCCAAAGTCTCCCATGGGTGAGTTCCCACCCCAGGCCCGCCTTGCAGAGCTTCCTGCTTTCTCCTCCCACAAGAACTCCCCTTTGTGCACGGCTCTGCGCTGAGCAAAGCTGGGGATGGGGGAGAATCGAACCCAGGTCCTGCCCTCAAGAGGGGCAGACAGCTCATCCTAGCACAGGTTGGCCTGTGAGATGTGGGAGCCAGAGGAAGGGCTTGGGAAGGCCCACAGAGGAGGTGTGGAGCTCTGGGCTTTGGAGGTTGCCAGGATCTCGTGGTGGAAAATGCTGAAAAGTCCACGTAGGAGATGGCAGCATGTGGCGTGAGGGGCTGGCACAGTGGTGCGCACCTGTAGTCCCAGCTACTAGGGAGGCTGAGGTGGGAGGATCATCTGAGCCTGGAAGGTCAAGGCTGCAGTGAGCCGTGATTGCGCCACTGCACTCTAGTCTAGGCCACAGAGCAGGAGCCTGTCTCAGTAAAAAAAGAAAAAAACAGAGGGGCAGCTCTTGGAAAGCTGAGGCTTAGAAAGGTGAGTGGATAGAATCAGGGTGCTTTGGGGACTGAGCAGGGATAGCAGAGAGGCTGGGACCAACCCAGGTTACTTGGGGGAATGAGGTCTCCAGGCAGAGAAAGCTGAGGCTGTCCCCATGAGTTTGTCCTCCCAGGGCCCTGGAGCCAGGACTGGGAGGACAAAAATGGCATGGACCTCGGAGACCCTGAGCCCAGCTCTTCGTGGAGCAGATAGAACTCTGAGGCCCAGAGAGGGAGGGCCTTGTGAGGGTCACTCAGCGGTGGTGGTAAAATCTTGGCTTCCCTCTTCCTCCAGGCTGACCCTGTCCCTTGTCCCTCTCTTTCGCTCCGCCAGGTGGCTGTATGAGGGCCTGAGCAGGGAGAAAGCAGAGGAACTGCTGTTGTTACCTGGGAACCCTGGAGGGGCCTTCCTCATCCGGGAGAGCCAGACCAGGAGAGGTGAGTAAGCTCGGTGCCAGCCCAGGCCCTCCCTACGTGGAGGTCTCAGAAAGGAGCCCACAGATATATGGCTGCAGGTGCGGCCCAGAAAATAGGCTTTGCCTGACTTCTCAGTCAACCAAGATTTCCTGAGCCCCAGCTCCGTGTCCTGCCCATATGAACCATGTGGAGCCCAGGCTGGGGGAGATGGAGACAGGCCATGAAAGCAGAGGAGAGGCAGCTAACTTTGGAGCAATCAAGGGAGGCTTCATGGAGGAATAGACCATGAGTGGACCTGGAGGAGTGGACCTGGGATCCTGAGGGATGTTCCCACAGGATCCCAGGCAACAAGACACAGTGGTGCTGGGGTGGGCCAGTGGGCTGCACCTCGGGACAATAGGAGGTTAGAAGTGAGCAAGCTCCAGCACAGAGGCCTTGGATGCCGAGCTGAGAAGCTTTGGTTTTCTCCCAAGGCAGTGGGGTTGCTACTCAGCAGAGACACAGTGCTGGGCGTGTGTTTTGGGGGAAACGAGAGGATGCATTACAGGGACTCTCTGAGTGTGTTCTGTGGGCCACCTGCTTAGAAGTAGAGGAGATGGGGGGTCAGTTTAGGGGACCCCGAAAATCGTATCCTTCTCTGAGAGGTTCACAATCCGTGTTAACACAAGACTTCTTAAGGCGTCGCGTTTGCCTAACTGGGCATTTCCCAAGTGTTTCTGACACAGGAGTGTTTCATCATGCAGCACCAGTCAGAGTCACTCCATGTTCATTCATTCAGCAAATGCTTCTCCAGCACCTATGATGTGGGGAGGCTTCAGGGAAGGACAGGACCTACTGTATGTGTCAGGCCTTAGGCATCTCTGCTGAGTGAGGTGGCCATGGTCCCTGCTCTCAGGGAGCTCCTGGGTCACTGGAAGCCAGTGTTCCATGGCACAGAGTTTGGGAAACATACCTCTATTTGAGATCCACAGTGATGCCAGGGCTTGCCCCTCCAATGCCAAGAGCCAAGTGTGATATGACTTGAGGGTGGGGCAGAAGGCCAAATGTGAAGGGCTGGAGTTCCTAGCCTTGGTGTCTAGCAGTCTGGCTGTCATCTGCCATGTTGCTGCCATGAGAGCCTATCAGCAATAGAGCAAAAATCTGCATTTCTAAAAATAATACAGGCCGGGCACTGTGGCTCACACCTGTAATCCCAGCACTTTGGGAGGCTGAGGTGGGAGAATCACTTGTGCCCAGAAATTTGAGACCAGCCTAGCCAACATAATGAGACCACTTCTCTACAAAAAAATTTAAAATGTAGTGAGGCATGGTGGTGCATCCCTGTAGTCCGAGCTACTTCGGAGGCTGAAGTGGGAGGATCACTTAAGTCCAGGAGTTCCAGGGTGCAGTGAGCCATGATTGCACCACTGCACTCCAGCCTGGGCAACAGAGCCAGACTCCATTTCAAAAAATAAAAGTGAATGTGAATGGCCCACAGTAGGGATCTAGGCTCAGCCAACACATTGGCAACTAGGATTTTTAATAGAGTATAGTCACAGAATTTCTCTGCGTTGACTAGGAGGTGATTCCTCCTTCCCCAAGACACAACATGATTCTGATCTCTTGGCAAAACATTAAAATGGTGACAGGATCTCTTGGGTCAGTAGCCAGTCAGAGCTAGAAACCCACTGGAAGTCATCTCATGGATCCTCCTCGCTCCACTGTACAGACTGAAAAACTGGACCAAAGAGGAGTAGGAACGGGCCACATGCACATTCATGTGGGGCTTCTCCCACCCCAGGTGCAGGGTCTTTTGCAATCAAAACACAAAGTTGATTGTCTCTTTGATGACCCTGCCTCCCTCTGAGCTGCTGCCCCTGAGTCCTTTAAGGCAGAGGCAAAGAGGGATGTTGAAGGAGCAGCAGCCCCCACGTTTATGTTAAGCCCTTTAAGTGACTTAAAACAATGTATGGGGATTGTACTTCCATTGTCTTCATTTTACAGATGGAAAAACTGAGGCTTAGGGAAGAGAAATAATTTGCCTGGGGAAACACAGCTAGTAAGTGCAGAGCCAGGATTCAAACCCAGCCACACCTCCTCTCACTCCAGGCCCCCAAGAAAGGCCCACGTGGGGCAGTAATGTTGGCACTGCAAGCATAGCAACAGACCAGGGAAGGAGGTATCAGGAATGGACAGACCTCCTGGCGCCCGCCTTGATATGAACCAACTGTGATAGGCTGTCGGGACCCTTCGTTCTCTGCCTCAGTCTCCCTCCCAGGACCCTTTCCAGCTTCTTTGTCTCTCCTCTCCTGCCCTTGGGCGTTCTTGGGTTGACCTCTCTGAGGCCCCTCCTGCTATTTTCTAGGCAGCATCAGCACCCCCACCTCACATACATCCATAGGCTGGTAGAGGGGCTGGGGAGGCCAGCCCAGCACAGCAGCTGCAAACAGGAAACCACAGCAGCGTTGCGGAGTGGAGCAGGGCCCCACTGCAGACTGTCCCCTGGAGCTTCAGAAGCCACAGGAAGTGCTCAGTGCTCAGCTCCCCTCCCCTGGCCCATTCTCTGGCCTGGGTCAGCCCCAAGAATATAGTGGCTGGCCCTTATGGCCACTCTGCCCCTTACCTAAAAAGACACAGATGCAAAGAGAAAACTCTGTGAGTGAGAAGAGAAAGCCGTATGGAGACTTTTTTTTTTTTTTTGAGACAGAGTCTCACTGTGTCGCCCAGGCTGGCGTGAAGTGGCACATTTTGGCTCAGTGCAGCCTCTGCCTCCTGGGTTCAAGTGATTGTCATGCCTCAGCCTCCCTGGTAGCTGGGATTACAGGCGAGTGCTACCACACCGGGATAATTATTATACTTTTTTGAGACAGAGTCTCACTCTGTTGCCTATGCTGGAGTGCAGTGGTGCGATCTCGGTTCACTGCAACCTCCACGTCCTGGGTTCAAGCGAGTCTCCTGCTTCAACCTCCTGAGTAGCTGGGATGACAGGCACATGCCACCATGCCCAACTAATTTTTGTGTTTTTAGTAGAGACAGGGTTTCATCATGTTGGCCAGGCTGATCTCAAACTCCTGACCTCAGATGATCCACCCACCTCGGCCTCCCAAAGTGCTGGGATTACAGGAGTAAGGCACTGCACCGGACTATTTTTTTTTTTTTGTATTTTTAGTAGAAACGGGGTTTTGCCATGTTGGCCAGGCTGGTCTCAAACTCCTGACCCTCAGATAATCCGCCCACCTTGGCCTCCCAAAGTGCTAGGATACAGGCATGAGCCACCGCGCCCAGCGGGATCCATGAAGATCTTTAAAGACTCATAAGATCCACATAAGGCCTCACCTGAGGTCAGGAGTTTGAGACCAGCTTGGCCAACATGGCGAAACCCCATCTGTACTAAAAATACAAAAAAATTAGCCGGGCATGGTGGCAGGTGCCTGTAATCCCAGCTACTCAGGAGGCTAAGGCTAGAGAATTGCTTGAACCTGGAGGTGGAGGTTGCAGTGAGACGAGATCGCACCACTGCACTCCAGCCTGGGTGACAAAGCGAGACTATGTCTCAAAAAAAAAAAAAAAATCCTCATAATTACCGGGACTAAGGTCTCCAGGTCCCCATAGTCAATTCCAAAAGGAGATGGATCAGGATGCAGCTATTGTTATCAAAGAGGAAGATGAAAAATGTTAGTTGGGGGAGGAGAAAAGAAAGAAGAAATTTGCCAATTTTCCAGGAAAGGTAAAATTTTCCTGCGGGTCATGGTTGATTTGTGGGTCAAGAAATCAGTTTAGGGGCCAGGTGCAGTGTCTCACACCTGTAATCCCAGCACATTGTGAGGCCAAGGCAGGAGGATCACTTGAGTCCAGGAGTTCAAAACCAGTCTGGGCAACAAAGGGAGACCCCCATCTCTTAAAAAAAAAAAATTTTTTTTTAAGTTAGCTAGGTGTGGTGGCATGTGCGTGTTGTCTAAGCTACTTGGGAGGCTGAGGCAGGAGGATCACTTAAGCCCAAGAAGTCGATGCTGCAGTGAGCTATGATCACACCACTGGACTCCAGCCTGGGTGACAGACCAAGACCCTGTCTCAAATAAATAAATAAATTCAATAAATCAACACTGATGCCTGTACCCCACCTCCAGGGTTTCTGATCTCACTGGTCAGGGATGTGGCCTGCACACTGTAAAAGCTGCCCAGGTGATTCTGATGGGTAGCCAGGGTCGGAACCCACTAATTTAGTGCGTCTGGACCAGTGCGTGTTTGTAGTGAAATTGAGCAGAGAACATGACCATGGTTGGGGTAAACATTGCGTCATAAAACTTTTGTTTCAGATTTTGTATAAGGTGTGTCCTGCGTCACAGTGTAAACTTTTATACTGTGGTTTGACACCACAGTGACTCTAGGGGCCCAAGTGACGTCATAGAACAGTGGTTCTCAGACTTGAGTGTACAGGACTCATCAGGGGAACTTGTTGACACTGTAGACTTGTAGGCCCTACCGCAGACCTAACTGAATCAGACTTTTGGGGGCAGAGGTCAGAAATCTGCTTCTTGGACAGGCTCTCTGGATGGTTCTATTGTTCTCTTGAGTTTGAAAACAGAGTTCCAATCTAGGGAACCCAGAATGAAGTAATAAGAGACAATGTACTTTACATTATGCTCTTGTCGTATATAATGGGAATTAGCCATTGACCAAGTGAGTGAGTGATGCCAGGATCAGCTTTTCATTGGCCCAAAGGCACTGATTCCACACGAGCTTCAAGCCTGCATGTGGACCAAGGAGGAAGGCCTGGGGCCCTGAGCTACCAGGAACACTAATCAGAGTCCGGAGCAGGAAGACCCCATCTTCCCAAGTCCTTCTGGCATACCTGGCTATATGATAGGCCTCGGGACAGCCATGGCCAGGCTCTAGTCAGGCCCCAAATCTTGCTCCGTGAAGGGGGCCTAGAAGCTTTGTGGAGGTCACAGGATTGTGCAGAGGTCAGCACAGGGTTAGGGACAGGCCCCAGCAGCAGCCCCTCTGCGCTGTCCTGCTGTATATCTGTTCTGTGTCAGGCACTATAAGGGAGATTGATGAGCAAGACGTGGTTCCTGCCCCTGCAGGGCTCACCTCTGTCCACTGTCAGTTGGGAAACACTTACTGAGCATCTCCTCCGAGTCAGGCCTGCTAAGTCATGGCTTTTGTCCTCAGGGTGCAGACAGTGGAGGGTGCAACATTCAATCCCTAAAGCTTCTTAGAGGCCTCAGCAGAGAAGGTTCAGGAGGGTCCTGCTAGGCCCACTTCTCACATGCAGCTCCTTATCTGATCCCTCATCCCTCACTCCCAGCATCATCACTGGAATACCTGACCCCAGAGGTCCCGGAGGTGATGTTGCCTAAGCCTGCTGGAGCTTTCTGAAATTAGGACCTTATACTTGGCCTTTCTTTCTGGTGGGTCCTCCTCTAGGCTCCGCGTCCAGCCACAGCTTCCACTGTTCCCTCTGGACCCTCTGCCCACCAGCCACTCTGTAAACACCTTGTTCTTTCTACCGCTGCATCCTTACACATACCCCTCCCTCCATCTGGAAAGCCTGCCCTCCGCTTCTCCTCACGGCAAGCTCACACTCATCCTTCGCCATTCTTTCCAGTGGGACTTTCCCAGACTACCACCTACCCAGACTATCGCCTTCCCAGACTATCACCTACCCAGGCTATCGCCTTCCCATACTATGTCAATTTTTGTTCTCAACTCCCATAGCATCTTGAAAATACCTCTTCTGTAGCTATAATAGGTTTATCTCTTTTCTTTTCCTCTTTTTTTTTTTTTTTTTGAGATGGAGTCTTGCTGTCGCCCAGGCTGGAATGCAGTTGGCGGGATCTCGGCTCACTGCAAGCTCTGCCTCCCGGTTTCACGCCATTCTCCTGCCTCAGCCTCCCGAGTAGCTGGGACCACAGGCGGCTGCCACCACACCCGGCTAATTTTTTGTATTAGTAGAGATGGGGTTTCACCATGTTAGCCAGGATGGTCTCGATCTCCTGACCTTGTGATCTGCCCGTCTGGGCCTCCCAAAGTGCTGGGATTACAGGCATGAGCCACCGCGCCCAGACTTTTTTTTTTTTAAGACAGGGTCACCCAAGCTGGAGTGCGGTGGCACTATCTCGGCTCACTGCAACCTCCACCTCCCAGGCCCAAGCGATTCTCCCACCTCAGCCTCCTGAGTAGCTGGGACTACAGGTGAATGCTTCCACGCCCTGCGAATTTTTGTGTGTGTTTTTTTTTTTTTAGACGGAGTCTCGTTCTGTCATTGGGCTGGAGTGCAGTGGCACAATCTCGGCTCATTGCAACCTATGCCTCCTGGGTTCAAGCAATTCTCCTGCCTCAGCCTCCCGAGTAGCTAGGATTACAGGTGCGTGCCACCACGCCCAGCTAATTTTTGTATTTTTAGTAGAGACAGGGTTTCACCATGTTGGCCAGGATGGTCTTGATCTCTTGACCTTGTGATCTACCCACCTTGGCATCGTAAAGTACTGGGATTACAGGCATGAGCCACTGCGCCCAGCTGTATTTTTTTTTAAAGTCAGGGTTTTGCCATGTTGCCCTGGCTGGTCTTGAACTCCTGACCTCAAGTGATCCACCCACCTTGGCCTCCCAAAGTGCTCAGATTACAGGCGTGACCCACCATGTCTGGCCCAGGTAATTTTTGTATTTTGAGTAGAAACAGGGTTTGGCCATGTTGCCCAGGCTAGTCTTGAACTTCTGACCTCAGGTGATCTGCCCACCTTGGCCTTCCAAAGTGCTGGGTTTATAGGCATGAGCCACCACACCCAGCTTTTTTTTTTTTTTTTTTTGACAGGATCTCACTCTATTGCCCAGGCTGGAGTGCAGTGGCACAATCATGGTTCACTGCAGTCTTGAACTTGTGGGCTCAAGTGATCCTCCCACCTCAGCTTCTTGAGTAGCTGGAACTACAGGCGTGCACCACCATGCCTAACTTTTAAATTTTTGTAGAGACAGGATCTCACTCTATTGCCCAGGCTGGTCTCGAACTCCTGGGCTCAAGCCATCCTCCCGCCTTAGACTTCCCAAGTGCTGGGATTACAGGCATGAGCCACCACAGCTGGCTAAATTTATTTCCTAAAACAAAATCATGGCCGGGCACAGTGGCTCATGCCTGTAATCCCAGCACTTTGAGAGGCCGAGGCGGGGGAATCACCTGAGGACAGAGTTCGAGACCAGCCTGGCTAACATGGTGAAACCCCATCTCTATTAAAAATACAAAAAAATTAGACAGGCATGGTGGCAGGTACCTATAATGGCAGCTATTCAGGAGGCTGAGGCAGGAGAATTGCTTGAAACCAGGAGGTGGAGGTTGCAGTGAGCTGAGATCATGCAATTGTGTTCCAGGCTGGGCAACAAGAGCAAAACTCCATCTCAAAAAAAAAAAAAAAAAAAAAAATCAGGGTACGTGGTCTGATGAGAATAATACAGGAACTAAATACTTGAAATGAGGACCATTAAGGAAAATCCCAGCTGTGGATGTGCTGACAAGACAGCACTTATTTCCCCGAGTGTGATGATTTCATACCTGTGTCTGGGCCCAGAGCAGAGTGTCCAGCATGTGGTGGGTGCTCAGCAGATGTTTACTGAATAAATGAATGAGCAGGTGAGTACACCTATGCATGTTGAGAGGGGGAGAGAGGATGAAGAGCTGGGAGAGACTGCCCCCCAAACAGGAAGATTCAGGCTGTTTGTAGCATCAGTTCCAAGGACAGAACCAAAGTCACCTCCTCATCACCCCTAGTGACCTGCTCCCCTGTCAGTCAACTGGACCTGTGTGCCCCACAGCACTCCGTCTTCAGCTAAGGGCTGGCTCTGGGTGGGCCCTCTGTCCTCAGGGAAGGGTAGGTCTTAGTAAATGCTCAATATGTGTTTGCTGCAAATCATGCAATGATAGGCCTTCAAGAATCATTCCCAACACCATCTGTGCTCACAGACAGTAGGAGTGCAAATGGTGATGAGCTCTCCTTAAAACTGCTTGTAATCGTGGCTCCGTCCGAGTGTTTATCACAGAGACTCAGTCATTCATTCAACAAATAGATACTGTGTGCTGACTTTGTGCCAAGCACTGTTCAAAACACGAGATTCTGCAGTATGAAAAGCAAGATTCCTGCCCACAATCTAGTTGGCAAGGTGGACAGTAAACAAATAAGAAAAGAGTGTGAGAGTGATAAGTGCCAAGAGGAAACAAAGCAGCGTTCAGAGGACACAGAGTGCCAGGGTGTGAGTGTGAGTACAGGCCTCAGGGAGGCGCGTCCTCAGCAGGCGGTCAGGGAAGACAGGATGAGGGGAGTGGCGAGTTTAGAGTCAGGTCACACAGAGCCTTTCCAGGGAGAGGACTTGGGATTGATTTTAAGTGTGACAGGGAGGATTCTGAGTAGGGGCATGAGACGACCTGACCCCTCCTTCCTGCTGAGAAGAGAGGATGCCGCGCAGGAAGCCGTAGTAGGCTCTCTCCAGGTGAGAAGTGGTTGGATCTTAGCTGTGTTCTGACCACACCCAACAGGGCTTTCTGTTGGGCTGGATGTGAGGCTGAGACAGGAAGCAATCAGGAATGGATGACTCCTGACCTCTTTATCCCTGAGACCACCAACCAGATCCCAAGTGTAGCTACCCTTTCTGATTCTAATAACTGTCGTGACAGTGGCTGGGGTGGGTGGTTCAAGAACCATGCAAAAGTTATAAGGTCTTGGTCACTAGTTCAGCTGGGTTGGTTGGCCTTCTGGGCCTATTTTCAAATATTTAGCGCATTCCCAGCCACAGAATTTTTTAGGGTTACAGCACAGCTCAAGAAGAGACTCTTCTCAAAGGTACAGAATACAGGCCAGGCGTGGTGGTGCACACCTATAGCCCCAGCTACTTGGGAGGCTGAGGCAACAGGATCACTCAAGCCCAGGAGTTTGAGGCCTGCCTGAGCAACACAGTGAAACTGTCTCTAAAAAAGAAAAAGAAAAAAAAAATAAAGGTACAAAGGTCAAAGGGCTCCCAGTCAGGCAAAGAAAACAAAGAAAACGAAGCAGAGACCCTACTGGGGTCAATACACTTCTCAAAGCATATTGACTCTGGGTCACCTTACTAAATTTACTTTTAGTTCTAGTAGCTTTTTGGCAGATTCCTTATGATTATCTACATATGATTGTATTACCTGTAAGTAAAGGCAGCTGTATTATTTTCCAATCCATATACTTTAAATTTATTTTTCTTGTGTTATTGCACTTGTTAGGACCTTTAGTACAACACTGAGTAGAAGCGGTAAGAACATTATTGCTTTGTTCCCAATCTTAGATGGAAAATAATCAATCTTTCCTATTAAGCATGCTGTCGATTTTTTTTTTTTTTTTTTTTTTTTGAGATGTAATGTCACTCTGTCACCCAGGCTGGAGTGCAGTGGCCTGATCTCGGCTCACTGCAACGTCTGCCTCCTGGTTCAAACAATACCTTGCCTCAGCCTCTGGAGTACCTGAGATTACAGGCACACGCCATCATGCCCAGCTAATTTTTCTATTTTTGTAGAGATGGGGGTTTCACCATGTTGGCCAGGCTGGTCTTGAACTCCTGGCCTCAGGTGATCAGCAAGCCTCGGCCTCCCAAAGTGTTGGGATTACAGGCATGAGCCACCGCACCTAGCCTTAGCTGTAGATTTTTCACAGATGCTTTGTATCAGGTACTCTTCTGTGGTAGGCAGAATCATCATCCCCCCCAACAATGTTCAGGTCCTGATCTGCAGCACCTGTGAATATGTTACCTTACATTGCAAAAAGAGTTTGCAGATGTGATTAAGGATTTTGAGGTGGGAAGATTATTTTGGATTGTCCAGATGGACCCAATATAATCACCAGGATGCTTACGAGAGGGAGGTAGGAGGGTGAGAGTTAGAGACAGGAAGATGCTACTGGCTGTGAAGACTGAGGAAGGGGCCATGAGCAGAGGGATCCATATGGCTTCTAGAAACTGGAAAAGGGAATGGATTTCTTCTCTAGAGTCTGCAAAAGGAACATTGCCTTGCTGACACCTTGATTTTTGTCCAGTGAAACTCATTTCAGACTTCTAACCTCCAGAACTGTAAAATAATAATTTGTGTTATTTTAAGCTGCTGAATTGATGGTAATTTGTTACACCAGCAATAGGAAACTAACATATTCTATTCATCGTTTTCTGCTTTTTTTTTTTTTAATCATGAAGGGTGTTGAATTTTGTCAAATGATTTTTCTGCATTTTTTCAGGTGATCGTGGTTTTTCAGTTTTTTGTTTTTTTTTTTTGAGATGGAGTCTCGCTCTGTTGCCCAGGCTGAGTCACCACAACCTCTGCTTCCCGGGTTCAAGAGATACTCCTGCCTCAGCCTCCTGAGTAGCTGGGACAACAGGCGCATGCCACCATGCCCAGCTAATTTTTTTTTTTTTTTTTGAGATCAAGTCTTGCTCTGTCACCCAGGCTAGAGTGCAGTGGCATGATCTTGGCTCACTGCAACTTCCACCATGGGTTGGCCAGGCTGGTCTTGAACTCCTGGCCTCAGGTGATCCACCTGCCTCGGCTTCCCAAAGCGCTGGGATTACAGGTGTGAGCCACCGCACCCAGCCAATGTTCAGCTATTGATTGATTGAGACAGAGTCTTCCTCTGTTGGCTAGGCTGGAGTGTAGTGGCACAGTCATGGCTCACTGCAGCCTCAACGTCACAGGCTCAAACGATTCTCCTGCCTCAGCCTCTGGAGTAGCTGGGACCACAGGCATGTACCACCATGCCTGGTTAATTTTTAAATTTTTTGTAGAGAAAGACTCTCACCATGTTATCCAGGCTTGTCTCAAATTCCTGGCTGGGCTTAAGTGATTCTCCCACCTCCACCTCCCAAAGTTCTTGGATTACAGGCATTAGCCATTGTCCCTGGCCAATGTTTAGTTCTTATTTTTAAAATAAATTTTAATTTTACATTTATCCTCATTGTTAAGCAAGTGATGTTCAGTTTTTGTTTTTTGTTTTGTTTTGTTTTGTTTGAGATGGAGTCTTGCTCTGTCACCCAGGCTGGAGTGCAGTGGCGCGATCTCGGCTCACTGCAACCTCTGCCTCCCGGGTTCAAGCGATTCTCCTGCAGAGATCCTGCAGTGAGCCGAGATCGCGCCACTGCACTTCAGCCTGGTGACACAGCAAGACTCCGTCTCAAAAAAAAAACAACACTATAGCCTTTTTCTGCTGTTTTTAGAACCTTCTGCTACTATATCTACCACTTACACCACCACATCCATAAGCACCACCATAGGGACTGCCTGAGCTTCTTCCACCAAAACTGCCTCCTTTCATAGGTCCATAATTTGATTGCTGTTGTCCACTATAATTGCTAAAATCATTATAGTTCCCATCACCAGCATAGTTACCAGCGCCAAAATTTCCTCCTTCATTGTAACCATCATATCCTCCGCCACCGCCACCATATCCACCACCTTGGTTTTCATATCTTGCTCCACCACCACAGCAGCCCCGTCTACTGCTATAAGCAGGCTCACCATCATTGATGCCACCATCACCTCCTCCATAACTACCTCTGCTGCCACCATCTCCACCACCACAGTCTTCTCTTCCACCAAAGTTTCCACTGCAGCCAAAATTACCTCTACTACCTCCAAAGTTTCCTCTGTAACCTGTAAAATTGCCAGATCCACCTCCACGACTACTTACCATCCAGCAGGCTACCTCTGTTATTTAGTAAGGGCCTTTTTCACTTCACCATTATGCCCATTAACAGTGTGGTATTTCTGGCTGGGCGTGGTGGCTCGCACCTGTAATCCCAGCACTTTGGGAGGCCTAGGCGGGTGGATCACGAGGTCAGGAGTTCGAGACCAGCCTGACCAACAAGGTGAAACCCTGTCTCTACTAAAAATGCAAAAATTAGCCAGGCTTGGTGGTGCACACCTGTAATCCCAGCTACTCAGGAGGCTGAGGCAGGAGAATCCCTTGAACCTGGGAAGCGGAGGGTGTAGTAAACCTAGATTTCACCACTGTACTCCAGCCTGGGCAACAGACGGAGACTCTGTCTCAAAAAAAAAAAAAAAAAAAAAAGCCAGTGTGGTATTTCTGAACAATTTTAAAAACTATATCTTGATCATCAAGTTACAAAAGCAAATCCTTTTTTCGACTCTGCTTGTCTTCCATAACTTCTATGGTTTTAATCTTGCCATACTTTTCAGAGGTCTCTCAAATTATATTCTTCTGTATCTTCTTTATTTTATTTATTTTATTTTTTTGAGACAGAGTCAAGCTCTGTTGCCCAGGCTGGAGTACAGTGGCGCAATCTCGGCTCACTGCAACCTCTGCCTCCTCGGTTCAAGTGATTCTTAGCTCCCTGAGTAGCTGGATTACAGGCGCCCACCACCACGCTCAGCTAATTTTTGTATTTTTAGTAGAGATGGGGTTTCACCATGTTAGCCAGGCTGGTCTTGAACTCCTGACCTCGTGATCTGCCCGCCTCGGCCTCCCAAAGTGCTGGGATTACAGGTGTGAGCCATCGCGCCCAGCATTGTTTTTATTTTTTCTTGAGGTGGAATCTCGCTCTGTCGCCCAGGCTGGAGTGCAGTGGCATAATAATTGCCTCTGCCTCCTGGGTTCATGTGATTCTCCTGCCTCAGCCTCCTGAGTAGCTGTGACTATCGGCTCACACCACCACACCTGGTTAATTAAAAAAAAATTTTTTTTTGGCCAGGCACGGTGGCTCACACCTGTAATCCCAGCACTTTGGGAGGCCGAGACAGGTGGATCACAAGGTCAGGAGATCGAGACCATCCTGGCTAACATGGTGAAACCCCGTTTCTACTAAAAATACAAAAAAAAATAGCCACGTGTGGTGACAGGCACCTGTAGTCCCAGCTATTTGGGAGGCTGAGACAGGAGAATGGCGTGAACCCAGGAGGCAGAGCTTGCAGTGAGCCGAGATGGCGCCACTGCACTCCAGCCTGGGTGAGAGAGCGAGACTCTGTCTCAAAAAAAAAAAAAAGAAAAAAATTTGTACAGACATGGGAAGGGGGTCTCTATGTTGACCAGGCTGGTCTTTAATTCTTAGCCTCAAGTGACCCTCCCACTTCAGTCTCTCCAATTTTTTTTTTGACACAGAGTCTTGCTATATTGCCCAGGCTGGAGTGCAGTGGCGTGATCTTGGCTCACTGCAACCTCCTGCTCCCAGGTTCAAGCAATCCTCCTGCCTCAGTCTCCCAAGTAGCTGGGATTACAGGCGTGTGCCACCATGCCTGGCTAATTTTTGTATTTTTAGTAGAGATGGGGTTTCACCATGTTGGCCAGGCTGGTCTTGAACTCCTTACCTCAGGTGATCCACCCACCTTAGCCTCCCAAAGTGCTAGGATTACAGGTGTGAGCCACCGCACCCAGCCTTTTTTTTTTTTTTTTTTTTTTTCCCCCAGAGTCTCACTCCATTGCCCAAGCTGGAGTGCAGTGGCGTGATCTCAGCTTACTGCAACCTCCACCTCACAGGTTCAAGCAATTCTCTTGCTTCAGCCTCCCAAGTAGCTGGAATTACTGGCACCAAGCCTGGCTAATTTTTTTGTATTTTTTGTAGAGATGGAGTTTCACCATGTTAGTCAGACGCATCTCAATCTCTCGACCTCAAATGATCTGCCCACCTCAACCTCCCAAAGTGTTGGGATTACAGGCGTGAGCCACCAAACCTGGCTTCTAGATACTTTTTTTTTTTTTTTTTTTTTTTTTTTTGAGATGGAGTTCACTCTTGTTCCCTAGGCTGTAGTGAAATGGTACAATCTCGGCTCACTGCAATCTCCGCTGCCTGGGTTCAAGCAATTCTCCTGCCTCAGCCTCTCAAGTAGCTGGGATTTATAGGCATGTGCCACCATACCTAGCTAATTTTATATTTTTAGTACAGATGGTCAGGCTGCCTTGTTGGTCAGGCTGGTCTTGAACTCCTGACCTCAGGTGATCCAACAGCCTCTGCCTCCCAAAGTGCTGGGATTACAGGCTTGAGCCACTGCGCCCAGCCTAGATACCTTTTCCTTATTAATTTCTAATTTAATTCCATTGTGGCCAGACAACATATTTTTAATGATTTCAATCCTTTTAAATTTGTTGGCCGGGCACAGTGGCTCACAGCTGTAAACCCAGCACTTTGAGAGGCCAAGGTGGGCAGATCACAAGGTCAGGAGTTCAAGACCAACCTGGCCAACATAGTGAAACCCCATCTCTACTAAAAAAACAAAAAAATAGCCGGGCATGGTGGCACGTGCCTGTAGTCCCAGCTACTTGGGAAGCTGAGGCAGGAGAATCACCTGAACCTGAAAGGCGGAGGTTGTGGTGAGTCAAGATCATGCCACTGCACTCCAGTCTTTTGAATTCTATTGTCTGATATTAATATCCCACTAACATTCTCCCATTAATAAGCCATTCTAGCTTACTTATGGTTGTCTGCATGATATATCTTTTTTCCATCTTTTTACTTTTAGCCTTTTTTTTTTTTTTTGAGACGGAGTCTCGCTCTGTCACCCAGGCTGGAGTGCAGTGGCACGATCTCGCCTCACTGCAACCTCTGCCTCCTGGGTTCACGCCATTCTCCTGCCTCAGCCTCCCGAGTAGCTGGGACTACAGGCGCCCGCCACCACGCCCGGCTAATTTTTTATATTTTTAGTAGAGCCAGGGTTTCACCGTGTTAGCCAGGATGATCTTGATCTCCTGACCTCGTGATCTGCCTGCCTCAGCCTCTCAAAGTGCTGGGATTACAGGCTTGAGCCACTGCGCCTGGACTAATTTTTTTGAGACGGAGTCTCACTCTGTCGCCCGGGCTGTAGTGCAGTGGCTGATCTCGGCTCACTGCAACCTCTGCCTCCTGGGTTCAAGCGAGTCTCCTGCCTCAGCCTCCT